>NC_000012.12:17709650-18334650 GCF_000001405.40 Homo sapiens
GATCAGAGTTTCAAGCCATACCTCGGAGTTTCCTGACATGTGGTATTTATATTTTTCCTGAATTTTTCCTGGAGAATGAATTGTAATAGCATGTTTTTCACCATCTTGCTACTCGGGAGTTTCCCTCTCTCTTGTTTCTCAGCAGAATGCAAGCATGGCTGTTAATAACTTTGTAGAAAATGTCTCTTTCTCAATTAAAACAACAATGATTCTCTTAGATCACCTGTCCTTTGCTTGTGTAAAGCCTTCAAAGGTTTGTATCCCTGGGTGATTAATGAGGGGAAAGAAAAGAATTAAAAAAAAAATAAAGCTATTCATTCCAGTTAAAGTCAACGTTGGAGTTTAAAATACAGTAAGTAAAGCTTAAATTCTTTCAGTTATGTGGATAATATCACAGAAGCAAAAATAAAGGTAATGGAAAGGAAGGGCATAATGTAAAATATATGGGCAGAAAAAGAGACATTTACCGAGTAAAATAGCTACGTGGGTCACTTAATAGGTTATTAGGCTGAAAACAAAATCATGTAGCATTTTTGCAACTTTAAATGAAAATTAATTTGATTGATAAAGTAGATAGAATTCAGTGAATTCTTATCCCTGAACTTTTATTTCACATAAAGTTGCAAAGTGGCATTATTTTAATTGATATTCAGAATATTATAAACCTAAAGATTCAATTGTTTAAAGTAAGAAAACATTATTTTCTGTATAATTTGCAAAGGGATTTCACTGGCATCTCATTAAATCCTCCTAACAACCTAAGGTAGGCAGAAATTTTAATCATCATTCTGAGATATGAAAATTTAGTTTCAGCAACTCAACTTGGATTACTATCCTATAATAATCCTTACATCTATATTATCATTATTTAACCTGTTGGCAATTGTCTTTCTTTTATATGACTTCATAGTGTTTGTTACACGAAAGGGTCTTAATACAAAAATTGACATGCACCCCGATGAATCAGATTAATTCAGTCTAATACACCTTGACCATAAAATACGCCCATCTTATCATGACATAGTTTTCCTTCCTGGTATTAAGCTTCAAGTCTAATTATATCTGTCTTAAAGTACTTGGATCCATTTATTTTAAATGAATCATCTGACAAAAAAAGTACTTAGAGAAAGACTAGGAAGATGAAACAATAATTTGGAATTAGAAATAAATATAAGTGAATAAAGAGGATGCTCTAATTTCTTAGAGGAAATCTGAAAGAAAGTTGTAAAAAGAAATGAAAAGAGAATAGAGTATCAAAAAAAGAAAAAAAAAAAGAGTAAATAGGCTGGTCCGAACATACTGAGTTACCTCAAATGACTATTCAAAAACATTAACAGACAGAATTTCTTGTCATACTCTTTCCTCCCTTCTCACTACTGTACTTGACTAGTCTTAAAAAAAAAAAAAAAAAAAAAAAAGGAATACTCAGTAGCATTAAATGCTGTAAAGAAAAAAAGTCAAAGGAAAAGGAAAGCTGGAACATATATATTATTTAAGATCATGTGAAGAAGATAGGCAAGGGCCAAACAGCAAATGTTCACACAAGACACATTAAAGATTTCGGTTTGTAGCCACTTTTTTGAGGCATACAATATGTTTCGTTACCTGCACCCATTTAAATTATACATTTCAGAATTTTGACAAGCGTATATAAACCTGAACATTACAGATATTGAAATTAAAAGAATAATGAGAAACTATCAGATTTAGCAAGTAAAGGTTAGTGGGAGGCCTGTGAGAAATAAATTAGTGAGATTTGAAAATAAGTAGGTTATAATCACCACGAATGTCTTCAAGAAACTTTCTTTAGCGTGCTTAATCATGATGTATGGCCTGATAGAACAAATATTTGAAATGATAACTGGCAACTTTTTCCAAGAGTTCTTTCTTTGTTGTTATTAAAAGCTATTTTTTTTGCATTAGTTTTTATTATGATGGGTTTACATATAGTCGTTTAAAAGGTAAATCTAAGCATACTTCTTATTTATTTTTAAATTTTTTGTGGTACGTAACAGTTGTACATTAGTTATGCAGTATGTGAACTAGTTCAATGCAAGTATACTATGTGTAATAATAAAATCTGAGCTATTAGAATATCCATCACCTCAAACACTGAGAATTCTTGTGTTGGGAACATTCCAAATCCACTCTTCTAGCTCCTTTAAAATGTACAATCATTGCTAACTATAGTTGCCCCATTGTGCTTCCACACACTAGATCTTATTCCTACTGTCTAACTAGTTTTGTACTCATTAGCCAATCTCTATTTACATGCCCCTCCCACTACCCTTCTGAGTCTCTCTAACCATCATTCTACTATCTAATTCCATGAGACCAATTTTTTCAGCTCCCAAATATGAGTGAATACATGTGATATTTGTCCTTTTGTGCCTGACTTATTTCACTTAACATAATGTTCTCCTGTTCCATTCACATTGTTGCAAATGACAAGATTTCATTTTTCAATATGATTCTGTGAATGTACCACATTTTCTTTATCCATTTATTCAGTTGATTCATATCTTGGCTATTGTAAATAGCGCTGCAATAAACATAGAAGTGCAGATATCTCATTGATATACTCATTTCCTTCCTTTTTAATATATACCCAATAGTGGGATTGTGGGATAACATGGTATGTATATTTTTAGCTCTTTGAGGAACCTCCATACTGCATAATATTTACGTTAGTGTCTGTACTAACTTACATTTTCACCAACAGGGTAAGAGCGTTCATCTTTCTCTGCCTCCTCACCAGCATCTCTGCTTTTTTTTCTTTTTTTTTTTTGATAAAAGACATTTTTAACTGCATTGAGATAATATTTCATTGTGGTTTTGATTTCTATTTCTTTGTTAATCAGTGATGTTGAGCACATTTTCATATACCTGTTCCATATACCTGTTTCGTATACTTTTTCACTGTGTCTTCTTTTGAAAAATGTCTATTCAGATCTTTTGCCTATTTTTTAAACTGGTTTATTAGATTTTTTCCTTTTCTTTGAGCTCCTTATATTTTCTGGTTATTAATCCCTTGACAGATGGGTATTTTGCAAGTATTTTCTCTTATTCTGTGGGTTCTCTCTTTACTTTGTTGATTGTTTCCTTTGCTGTGCAGAAGCTTTTTAGCTTGTAATCTGGTTTGTCTGTTATGTTTCTGTTGTCTGTGCTTTTGGGATATTACTGATGAATATTTGCCCAGATCAGTTACCTGGAGAGTTTCCCCAATGTTTTCTTTTAGTATTTTGATAGTTTGAGGTCTTAGATTTAAATCTTTAATCCATTTTGTTTTTTTTATATATGGCAAGAGAGGAGTGTCTAGTTTCATTCTTTTGCTTATGGATATCCAGTGTTCCCAGCACCATTTATTAAGGAGACTGTCCTTTCACCAATGTATGTTCTTGGAACCTGCATCAAAAATGAGTTCACTGTAAAAACATGAATTTATTTATGTGTTCTCTATTCTGTCCCATTGGTTTATGTGTCCATTTCTATGCCAATACCATGCTGTTTTGGTTACAGTAGCTCTATAATATAACTTGAAGTCACGAAATGTGATTCCTCCAGTTTTTCTCTTTTTACTTAAGATGGCTTTGGCTATGTTGGGTCTTCTGTAACTCCATATAAATTTTAGAATTATTTTTTCTATTTTTTAAAAAAATGTCATTGGTATTTTGAGAGATTGCATTGAATGTGTAGATTGCTTTGGGTGGTATGTGCATTTTAACAATATTGATTATTCTAATACATTAACACACTTTCCATTTCTTGTGACCTCTTCAATTTCTTTCATCAGTGTTTTATTGTTTTCGTTGTAGAGATATTTCACTTCTTAGGTTGACATTATTCCTAGCTATTTTATTTCTAGCTATTTTAAATAAAATTACTTTCTTGATTTGTTTTTCAGATTGCTCGCTGTTGGCTTATAGAAATGTTATTTATTATTGTAAGTTGATTTTGTATCCTGCAACATTACTGAATTTGTTTAACAGTTCTAATTGTTTTTCAGTGAAATATTTAGCTTTTTTTCAAATATAAGATCATATCATGTACAAACAAGGATAATTTAACTTCTTCCTTTCCAATTTGGATGCCCTTTATTTATTTCTCTTCTGTAATTGTTTTAGCAAGGAATTCCAGTACTATGTTAAATAACAGTGGTGAAAGTGGATATTCTTCCCTAGTTCCATATCTTAAAGGAAAGACTTCCAGTTTTTACTCGTTCAGTATTATACTAGCTGTGAGTCTATCATATATAGTTTTTATTGCGTTGAGGTATGTTCCTTGGTTGGCAGATTTTTATCATGAATGGCTGCTGAATTTTATCAAGTGCTTTTTCAGCATCAATTGAAAGGATCATATAGTTTTGTTCTTCATTCTGCTGATATGATATATGACACTCATTGATTTGCATGTGCTGAACCCTCCTTGAATTCCTGGGATAAGTCCTACTAGGTCATGATGAGTGATCCTCTTAAGGTGTTGAATTCAGTTTGCTGAGAATTTTTACATCAATTTTTATCAGATGAAACACTATATTGCCTATAGTTTTATTTTTGTGATGTGTCTTTGTCTGGTTTTGGTATCAGGGTAATACCGGCCTCAGAGTGTCCTTGGAAGTATCTCTTTTCTAATATTGTTTTGTAATAGGTTAAGTAGGATCGGTGTTAGTTTTTATTTAAATAATTGGTAAAATTCAGCAGTGAAGTTACTGGGTCCAGGGCTTATTTATGCTGAAAAACTTTTTTTATTACAGCTTCTGTCTCATTATTGTTATTGATATGTTCAGGTTTAGGATGTCTTTGATTCAATTTTGGTAGGTTGAATATGTCTGGGAATTTATTCATTTCTCCTCGGTATTCCAATTTATTGGCAGACAGTTGCTCATGGTAGTCTCTAATTATCCTTTGAATTTCTGCTGTATCACTTGTAATGTCTTCTTTTTCATCTCTGATTTTATTGATCTAGGTATTCTCTCCTTTTTTCTTAATTAACCTTGCTAAAGGTTTGTTGATCATGTTTATCTTTTTTTAAAAAATCAACTTTTCATTTCATTGACCTTTTGTATTTTTCAATTTCAATTTATTTCTACTCTGATTTGTATTACTTATTTTCTTCTACAAAGTTTAGGTTCAATTTGCTTTTGCTTTTCTAGTTTTTAAAGGTAAATCATTAAGTTGTTTATTTGAAGTTTTTCTAATTTTTTAATGTAGGTGTTTATTGTTATAAATTTCCCTCTTAGTACCACTTTCACGATATCCTATAGGTTTTAGTATGTTGTGTTTTCCTTTTGTTTCAAGACATTTTTAATTTTCTTTCGTAATTTCTTCATTGACCCACTGGTCATTCAGGAGCATACGAATTACTTTTCAGGTGTCTGTATAGTTTCCATAGCTCCTCTTATTATTGATTTCTAGTTTTATTCCATTGTAGTCAGAGAAGATGCTGGATATTATTTCAATTCTTTTGAATTTTTTAAGACTTGTTTTGGGACCTAACATATGGTCTATTCTTAGATATGATCCATGTGCTGAGGAGAAGAGTAAGTATTCTGCAGTTGTTGAGTAAAATCTGCCAGAAATATCTATTAGGTCCATTTGGTCTGTAGTGAAAATTAAGTCCGATGTTTCTTTGTTGATCTTCTGTGTGGATGATCTGCTCAATGCTGAAGATGAGGTGTTGAAGTCTCCAACTGTTATTGTATTGGGATCTACCCCTCTCTTTAGTTTTAATTTTTTTGCTTTATGTATCTGTGTGTTCCAGTGTTGCATGCATATATATTTATAATTGTTACATCCTCTTGCTGAATCGATCCCTTTATCATTATGTAATGACTTTGTCTCTTTTCATAGTTTTTGTTTTTATATCTATTTTATCCAAATAGATGATATGATAGTTTATGCCTATTTTATTCCTGCTTTGTTTTGGTTTATACAGATAGATATTCCTGCTCTGTTTTGTTTTTTATAATAGATAGTTTATATCTATTTTATTCCTGTTCTGTTTTGGTTTGCATTTGCATGGGATATCCTTTTCTATTCTTTTGTTTTCAGTTTATATGTGTCTTTATAGGTGAAGTATGTTTCTTGTAGGCACCAGATCGTTGGGTTTTATATTTTGATCCATTCAGTCACCCTATGTCTTTTGATTGGAGAGTTTAGTTCATTCATGTTCAATGTTATTAATGAAAAGTAAGAATGTATTACTTCCATTTTGTTACTGGTTTTCCAGTTGTTTTACCATGCTCCCTCCCTCCCATCCTTCCTTCCTTCCTGCCTTCCTTCTTCCTGCCTTCCTGTCGTTCTACCTTCCTGTCTTTCTACCTTCCTACCTATCTTCCTTCTTCCTTTTTCTGAAAGTGATTTTCTCTGACGGTGTTATTTATTTTTTCTTTTTATGAGACACAATCTTGTTCTGTCACACAGACTGGAGTGCAGTGGTGTGATCTCAGCCCACTGCAACCTCTGCCTCCCAGGTTCAAGTGATTCTCCTTCTTCAGCCTCCCAAGTAGCTGGTACTACAGGTGTGTGCCACCACACCTGGCTAATTTTTTGTATTTTTAGTAGAGACAAGGTTTCACCATGTTGGCCAGGCTGGTCTTGAACTCTTGACCTCAAGTGAACCACTCACCTTGGCCTCCCAAAGTGCTGGGATTACAGGAATGAGCTACTGGGCCTGGCCTGGTGACGTGTTTTAATTTCTTGCTTTGTATTTCCTATGTGTCTGTTGTAGCTTTTTTGATTTGAGGTTACCATTAAGCTTGCAAATAACACCTTTTAATCCATTATTTTTAAATGATGAAAACAACTCTGATTGCAAAAACAAGTAAAGAGAAAACTAACAAAAACTCTGTACTTTAACATCACCCCCATTTTAAACATTTTGTTGTTTCTATTTATATCTTATACTATGTCATAAAATAATGTTGTAGTTATTATTTTTGATAGGTTCATTTTTAATCTTCCCACTCAAGATATGAATAATTTACACACCACTATTACAGTGTTATAATATTTTGTATTTGTCTGTGTACCCACAGTTACCAGTGAGTTTTGTACCTTCACATGATTTCTTATTGTTTGTTAATGTCATTTTCTTTCAAATTGAAGCACTGTCTTCATCATTTCTTGTAGAACAGGTCTGATGTTTGCAAAATCCCCTCCTTTTTTTTTTTATCTGGGAAAGTCTTCATTTATCCCTCATATTTGAAGAATATTTTTGTTGGATATAATATTCTAGAATAAAAGAGATTTGTTCCACTTTCATTGCCTTAAATATATCATGCCACTCTCCCCTGGCCTGGAAGGTTTCCACTGAGAAAGCTACTGCCAGATGTATTGGAGCTCCTCTATATGCTATTTTTTCCTTTTCCCTTTTTACTTTTTAGGTCCTTTCTTTATCTTTAAGCTTTGGGAATTTAATTATTACATATCTTCAGGTTATTTGGGTTAAATCTGCTTGATGTTCTATAACCTTCTTGTACCTGAGTATTGATAGATTTCTCTTGGCTTGCATAGTATTTATTATCTGTTTGAATAAACTTTCTATGCCAATCTCTCTATCTACCTCCTCTTTAAGGCCAGTGACTCTTAAATTTGCCCTTTTAAGGTCATTTTCTAGATCCTATAGGTGTGCTTCATTATTTTTTGTTCTTTTGTCTTTTAACTCCTCCTGCTGTGTATTTTCAAATACACTGTCTTCAACCTCACTAATTCTTTCCTCGGCTTGATCAGTTCTGCTAGTAAGAGACTTTAATGAATTCTCTATTATGTCATTGCATTTTTCAGCTCTAGTGTCTCTGCTTCATTCTTTTTAATTGATTTAATCTCTTCCTTCAATTTCTCTTATAGGATTCTGAATTCCTTCTCTGTGTTATCTACAATTTGATTGAGCTTCCTCAAAACAGCTATTTTAATTCTCTATCTGAAAGGTCACATATCTCTGCAAATCTGGAATTAGTCACTGGTGGTTTTTTTAGTTCATTTAGTGAGGTTATGTTTTCCTGGATGGTATTGATGCTTATGGATGTTCATCAATGTCTGGTCATTGAAGACTTAGATATGTATCGTAGTCTTCTCAGTCTGGGCTTGTTTGCACCTGTCTTTCTTGGGAAGCATTTACAAGTAGTCAAAGGGAATTGAGTGGTGTGATCTAAGTATTTGGTCACTACAGCTCTGTATGCATTGGGGACACCCCAAGCCCAGTAATGCTTTGACTCTTGCAGACTTGTAGCAGTATGACTTTGGTGTTCTTGCATAAGAGCTGGGAGAATTCCCTGGATTACCAGGAGTCTCTTGTTCTCTTCCCTTACATTTCCCCAAACAAATTCTCTTTCCATGCTGAGCTGCCAGGACTTGGAGGGAGAGTGACATAAACACTCCCATGACCACCACTGCTGGGACACTGGGTCACACCTGAAGCCAGCACGATACTCACACAAGGCATGTGATGACTATTTCCTAGATATTGCTGATGTTTATTCAAGGCCCAAGGGCTCTTTAGTCAGCAAGCTGTGAATCCTGCCAGGCCTGAGTCTCTGTTCAGGTAAGTAGGTCCTTCTGGACCAGGAAAGATCTAGAAATTCCCCATAGAACCCTGGAGCCAGAGACCTTGGGAATCTGTTTGATGTTATATTTTATTGTGGCTAAGCTGGTACCTAAGTTGCCAGAAAAAGTCCCTTTTGCTTCTCCTCCTTTCCTCAAGGAGAAGGAATTTTTCCCTGTAACCATCACAGCTGGGAATGTGCTGTATCATACCTGAAGCTAGCATGGTACTGGGTCTTGCCCAAGGCCCATGGTTACGACTGCCTGGCTACCACTAGTTTATTCAAGGCCCAAGGGATTTTTGGTCAGCATGTGGTGAATTCTGCCAGAAATGGGTCCTTCCCTTCAGGGCAGTAGGTTCTCTCTGGCCCAGGGTGAGTCTAGAAATGTGTCACAGGAACAATGGCCCAGAATAGGAGCTTCAGGTCTCTGCTTGGTGCTTTATCTTATTGTGGCTGAGCTGGTATCCAAGTTGCAGCAGCAAGTCTTCTTTACTCTTCCTTCTTTTCCCATAGCTGCCAGATGTACTGCCTGGAGTTGGAGGAAGGATGATACAAGCACTGCTCCCTTGGCCACTCCAGCTAGTATCTCACTGGGTTGTGTGCACCACAAGTCTACTGGCTTGGAGCCCAGCACAGCACCAAGTCTTGCCCAGTAGTTGCAGCCGTCTGGCTTAAAGTGCCCTGGGGTCCTATTTTGAGGTTTAAATAAACTAAATAGGACTCCAGGGCACTTTAGGCTATGGTGGTGAGGTTAGCTGGAACTTAGTTTTTGACTGCTGGGATGGATGATTCCCCTCGCTAAGGCCAGTTTAAATGTTCCCTCAATGGGCCCCAGCTGAATCTTCCCTGTGTTGCTTTCCACTGTGACAGGGAAGCACTGAGTTCCAATGTAAAGTTCCACAGTCACTGGGCTCTCTCTCTCTCCCAAGCATAGGGGTACTTTCTCCGCACCACGCTGCCCTGCCAGAGGTGGGGGGAGAGGTGTTGTACACAATTTAAGATGATCTTTCCTACCCTATTCAGTGTCTTTTTCCTTGATATAATGTTAAAACCAGATACTGTGATTGCTCACCTGATTTTGGTTATTATAAAGGTGCATCTTTGTGTGGATAGTTGTTCAGTTTGATGTTCCTGTGCAGGGAATGTTCTCTGGGGGGCTCTAATTAGCCATCTTGCTCCAACTACTCTTTGCCAATATTTTTGAAAAGCTTTATAAGTGGGTGGAGTGTTTGACTTACAAATTCTTCATTATCTTAAAGGATCAATCAGACAAATGCACAAATATTTATATAAAATACATTATTCACAGTGTTATACAAGAATAAGGAACTATCTATCTTTTTCTTTTTTTTTTGAGACAGATTCTCACTCTGTTGCCCAGACTAGAGTGCAGTGGCACCATCTCTGCTCACTGAAAGCTCTGCCTCCCGGGTTCACGCCATTCTCCTGCCTCAGCCTCCTGAGTAGCTGGGACTACAGGTGCCCGCCACCACACCCGGCTAATTTTTTTGTATTTTTATTGGAGACAGGGTTTCACCATGTTAGCCAGGATGGTCTCGATCTCCTGACCTCATGATCTGCCTGCCTTGGCCTCCCAAAGTGCTGGGATTACAGGCGTGAGCCATCGTGCTGGGCCAGAAACTATCTTAATATTTAGTTAGAATTAACTAAAATGCCCAAAGATATTTATTATTTAAATACCCTCTGGTATATCTGTAATGTGGAGTACTATGCAGGCACTAAAAAAATAAATACAATAACTTAAATGTTTGTGTATAATATTAGGCTTAAAAGATGTAATCAAACAGTATGAATTGTATTAATTTTCTAAAAGCCATGGAATTTATTTTAAATCTTTCTCAGAAGCATTTTCTTTAATGTATAAATAAAAAACACATTAAACTGCAAACTTGTGTGGATGTGAGAAAATGATGCTACCACTGAGTGGTTTCAGACCACATTTTGATAATTAATTACTTCGCATTTGCAGCAAATTTTTATAAGGGAAGTATATTCCATTAAAGTTAAAGATCCATGAACACTTTGAAAGCCCCCTCTTTCATGTGCATCCATGTGAAGAGACCACCAAACAGGCTTTGTGTGAGCAATAAAGCTTTTAATCACCTGGGTGCAGGCAGGCTGAGTCCGAAAAGAGAGTCAGTGAAGGGAGATAAGGGTGGGGCCATTTTATAGGATTTGGGTAGATAAAGGAAAATTACAGTCAAAGGGGATTTGTTCTCTGGTGGGCAGGACTGGGGACCACAAGGTGCTTTTTGAGCTTTTTGAGCCAGGAAAAGGACTTTCACAAGGTAATGTCATCACTTAAGGCAAGGACCGGCCATTTTAACTACTTTTGTGGTGGAATGTCATCAGTTAAGGCAGGAACTGGCCATCTGGATGTGTAGGTGCAAGTCACAGGGGATATGATGGCTTAGCTTGGGCTCAGAGTTCTGACATTCCTGTCTTCTTATATTAATAAGAAAATTAAAACAAAATAGTGGTAAAGTGTTGGGATGGTGAAAATTTTTTGGGGGGTGGTATGGAGAGATAATGGGTGATGTTTCTCAGGGCTGCTTTGGGCAGGATTAGGGGTGGCGTGGGAACCTAGAGTGGGAGAGATTAGGCTGAAGGAAGATTTTGTGGTAAGGGGTGATACTGTAGGACTGTTAGAAGAAACACTTGTCATATAGAATTATTGGTGATGGCCTGGATACAGTCTTGTATGAATTGAAAAACTAAATGGAATAAGAGAAGGAGAAAAACAGGTATTAAAGGCCTAAGAATTGGGAGGACCCAGGACATCTAATTAGAGGGTGCCTAAGGAGATTCAGCATAGTCCTGCCAGCAAAGATTATTTATTTACTTTAAGAGTTAAGAGTGGCGGTTTGGGGATAGCACCAGGAGATATCAGCTGTGAAGGCTTGGAGAAACACTGTAAACCGGCAGTATACACAAGAGCAGAGCATGCACGAGTAGTTGAGAACGGTGAATAGGAGTATGACTAGACAGAAAATAGTAGGGATGACAAATTTTTTGGGGTACAGTCCAAGTTGGTCTGGTGAGACTGGGGCTTAATAAAAAGGAGCATCCATACAGGAACTCAAATGGGTTGTACCCTGTAGCATTCCAAGGACAGGCCTGAATTCTGAGAAGGGAAAATGGTAAAAAGTATTGTCCAGTCCTTTTTAAGTTGGTGGCTGAGCTTGGTGAGGTGTGTTTTTAAAAGACCATTAGTCTGTTCTACCTTTCCTGAAGACTGAGGACTGTAAGGTATATAAAGGTTTCACTGAATACCAAGAGCCTGAAAAAATGCTTGGCTGATTTGACTAATAAAGGCCGGTCTGCTATTGGACTGTGTAGAGGTGGGAAGGCTAAACTGAGGAATTATATCTGACAGAAGGGAAGAAATGACTGTGGTGGCCTTCTCAGACCCTGTAGGAAAGGCCTCTACCTATCCAGTGAAAGTGTCTACCTAGACTAAGAGGTATTTTAGTTTTCTGACTGGGGGCACAGGAGTAAAGTCAATTTGCCAGTCCTGGGTGGGGGCAAATCCTCGAGCTTGATGTGTAGGGAAGGGAGGGAGCCTGGATAATCCCTGAGGAGTAGTAGAACAGCAGATGGAACACTGAGAAGTTACTTCCTTGAGGATAGATTTCCACGATGGGAAGGAAATGAGAGGTTCTAAGAGGCGGGCTAGTGTATAGCATAGCCTGCCTTTGCTGGTGTGTGGCAATTAGGCCTGGTGGAACTGCCACCAATAAACCAAGTGTGATCAGGGTGAGGAACAGGAAAGAAGGAAATATGGGGAAATGAGGTGAATGTCAGGTGGATCAGAGAGATACAGTCATGGGAGTCAGGTGTGGTATCAGGAATAATGTGGGAGGTGGGATTGAAGTCCAGGCCAGGAACAATGGCAATTGTGGGAGACTCAACAAAGAGTGAGTACAGCTGAAGGAGCCGGGAGCAGAAAGTATGTGTGTCAGATGTGAGGAAGAAAATAGATTTTGCAAGTTATGAGAACTGTAGAGAGTGAGCTGAGCATAGTTCGTGATTTTAAGGGTCTCTAAAAGTATTAGGGCAGCGGCGGCCGCTGCACACAGACTTGAGGGCTAGGCCAAACAGTAAGGTCAAGTTTTTTGGATAAAAAGGCTACAGGGTGTGGTCCTGGCTCTTGTGTAAGACTTCTGACTGCACTAACCATGCCTAGGAAGGAAACAAATTGTTTTGTAGAAGGTGCTGGGGTTTGAGAGATCAGTCGGATATGATCGGCAGAGAGAGCACATGTGTTTTTATGAGAATTATGCTGAGATAGGTAACAGATGAGGATGAAATTTGGGCTTGACTGACGTAATGGGGGCTGTCTGTGAAGACTTGTGGCAGTACAGCCCAGGTAATTTGCTGAGCCTAATGGCTGTCAGGGTCAGTCCAAGCGAAAGCGAAGAGAGGCTGGGATGAAGGGTGCAAAGGAATAGTAAAGAAATAGTAAAGGAATAGTAAAGAATAGTAAAGAAATAGTAAAGAAATAGTAAAGAAATAGCAAAGGAATAGTAAAGAAAGCATGTTTGAGATCCAGAACAGAATAATGGGTTGTAGAGGGAGGTATTGAGGATAGGAGAATATATGGGTTTGGCAGCACAGGGTGGATAGGCATAACAATTTGGTTGATAAGGTGCAGATCCTGAACTAACCTGTAAGTCTTGTCTGGTTTTAGGACAGGTAAAATGGGGGAATTGTTAAGGAGAGTTTATAGGCTTTAAAAGGCCATGCTGTAACAGGTAAGTAATAACAGACTTTAATCCTTTTAAAGCGTGCTGTGGGATGGAATATTGGCATTGAACAGGGTGAGGGTGATTAGGTTTTAATGGGATGGTAAGGGGTGCATGATCGTTCACTGAGGAGGGAGTAGAGGTGTCCTATACTTGTGGGTTAAGGTGGGGAGATACAAGGGGAGGATGTGAAGGAGGCTTTGAACTGGGCAAAAAGATGGCAATGAGATGTAGCTGTAGCCCAGGAATAGTCAGGGGAGCAGATAATTTAGTTCAAGTGTCTCAGCCTAATAAGGGAACTGGGCAGGTGGGGATAACTAAAAGGAGTGCTTAAAATAGTATTGTCTAAGTTGGCACCAGAATTGGGGAGTTTTAAGAAGTTTAGAAGCCTGGCCGTCAATACCTGCAACAGTTATGGAGGCAAGGGAAACAGGCCCTTGAAAAGAAGGTAATGTGGAGTGGGTAGTCTCCGTATTGATTAAGAAGGGGACGGACTTACCCTCCACTGTGAGAGTTACCTGGAGCTCGGCGTCCGTGATGGTCTAGGGGGCTTCCGAGGTGATCGGGCAGCATCAGTCTTCAGCCACTAAGCTGAGAAGATCTGGAAAGGAGTCAGTTAGAGAGCCTTGGGCCAGAGTTCCAGGGGCTCTGGGAGTGGCTGCCAGGTGAGTTGAACAGTCCGATTTTCAGTGGGGTCCCACACAGATGGGACGTGGCTTAGGAGGAATCCTGGGCTGCAGGCATTCCTTGGCCTGGTGGTGGCCAGATTTCTGGCACTTGTAGCAAGCTCCTGGGGGAGGCGGGCCTGGAGGAATGCCTGGCCACTGCGGTTTCGGCGTTTGGAAGTTCTTGTGTGTTAGAGATGTGGCTGGGGTTTGTCTCACAGTGGAGGCAAGGAATTGCAACTCAGAAATATGTTGCTACTTGGCTGCCTCTATTATTGTATACCTTGAAGGTGAGGTTAATTAAGTCCTGTTGTGGGCTTTGAGGGCCGGAATTTAATTTTTGGAGTTTTACATAATGTCGGGAGCAGATTGGGTAATAAAATGTATATTGACAATAAGACGGCCTTTTGACCTTTTAGGGTCTAGGGCTGTAAAGCTTCTCAGGGTTGCTGACAAATGAGCCATGAACTGGGCTGGGTTTTTATATTTGATGAAAAAGAGCCTAAACGCTATCTGATTTGGGATAAAGAAAAAGGAGCATTAACTTTGACTGTGCCTTTAGCTCCAGCCATCTTTTTAAGAGTAAATTGCTGGGCAGGTGGGGGAGGGCTAGTCATGGAACAAAACTGTAAGCTGGACTGGGTGTGAGGAAGGGAGTTGATAAAAGGATTATAAGGTGGAGGAGCAGAGGCTGAGGAAGAATTGGGACCTAGCTCAGCCTGGCGAGGAAGGGAGAGATCAGATGGGTCTGTAGAAAAGGAAGATTAGAAAGACTCAGCGATGCTTGGGGTTGGGACTGAGGGGACAGGCAGGAGGGAAAGAAGGAAGATTTGGGACGAGTTGCATTGGGAACAGAGACTAGGGAGGGACCCATGTGTGAAAGAATGCCTGGATATCAGGCATCTCAGACCTTTTGCCCATTTTATGACAAGAATTATTTAGATCTTGTAGGATGGAAAAATTGAAAGTGCCATTTTCTGGCTATTTGGAACCACTGTCGAGTTTGTATTGGGGTCAAGTGGCATTGCAGAAGAAAATAAGGCATTTAGGTTTTAGGTCAGGCGTGAGTTAAAGAGGTTTTTAGGTTTTTAAGAACACAGGCTAAGGGAGAAGAAGGGGGAATGGAGGGTGGAAGGTTGCCCATAGTGAAGGAGGCAAGTTTAAAGAGAAGGGCAGAGACACGGAGGGAAGGGGTTCAGGGGTTCTTACCCTCCAGAAAAGAGGGAAACAGGTCGGGGTGTGGAAATAAGGGGTTGGGGCACAGAGATAAGAGGTCGGGGCACGGAAATAAGGGATTGGGGTGCAGAGATAAGAGGTCAGGGTGCGGAAATAAGGGATCGGGGCACAGAGATAAGAGGTCGGGGCACGGAAATAAGGGATCAGGGGGTTAGAAATAAAACCAGGCTCTGAATTGGCCTTTGGAAACATAAACTCTAGCTAACTATAATTCTATAGTTGTAAAAGAAATATTAATGATACATCTTTTTCTATTGCTCATGTTTGCAAAGAATTTAAAACCTCAAGAATCATATGAAGCTGAAATACAGTAGTCTAGAAAAAAGTATAAACTAGTGTACTTCCTTTTAAATTATTTAATATGTTTAATGATTATAGTAGCATATTTCTAAATCCAGGCATTCATTATTTCAAGATCAGCTAAGAGTCCTACTTAAATCTGATATTAATAATTTATTTCTTCTATAAAAATGATGTCTTTTTCTGTGCTTTCACTGTGTCTTTCATGATGCTATTTGTCACATTGGCATACTGGGTACTCCCCATGTACTGGAGTACACAGGTGTTTACTGATTTTTGTTCTACGCTAGAGATTAACCTCTTTGAGTGTACGTACTATTGCCCTCACAGGTCTGACACTTAGTAACTGTCAGCAGATGTCTCCCAATTGATGGTTTTCATTGTATATATGTGGAATAAAAATCACTTAGTCACAGATATAAAAACCAAGAGTTATAAAAAGCAACTAGTATATTAATGAATATAAAAACAAGAGGATTAATCATAATTAAATTCTTGCTTTTTCAAGGATATCATTCTTTAATGGCATTTCATATATTACCATTTGGAAGAAAAGAGCCCTAATTATTTGGGAATTATATTCAAATAATATAAAACCAAAGAGGTTAAAGTTCTTTATACGTGGATTCATTTTTAGTGATTGTTGAAAAATGGCAGAAAAATGTAGTTCTACCTCACCAGAATAAAACTATAAAATTGAAATGAATCCAAGAATGAACAAATTTTTTTAAGATTGTTGATTTCTTTATGAATTATTTTAAAAATAAAGAGTAACTGAAACTCCATAGAAATTATAAAGAACAACCGTACATACCCAATTCTGTTGCTAAATTTTTGAAATTACTAGAACTTAGTGTCTGTATATCTGAAGTTATGACCTGTGTGGTTAAAAAAAAAGTGTTGTTAAAAGTCAGATATTTTAGTTCACACTTTAACCATGATATGAAGAAATTTGGTAGAAAACAATCATCTCAGATTTTACTTTATGATATTTATATTTTAAGATCATTCTGATTTTACAAAAAAATGTGATAAAGACTCATGTTAAAATTCCAACTAAGGTTTTTTTTTTGACCTTCTTTGTCTATGTTTGTATGAGTTTTGCCATCTGCAGAATGAGTACAATAATAGCAAAAGTCATAGGATTATTTTGATAATTACGCAAACAATAGTTGAAATACGGCTAGCAAAATACTTACGAAAAGCCCAACAGCTTCCCTCTCTTTGAAACATCACTTTTAGGGGAAAAATAACAAGTAATAGCAAAAAATCTGAATATTATAAGAGCTGACTACTTCAGTTCTTATAAATATATAATGTAAATAAATATACTGAATGTTTACATTATTTTAAGATTATAGTTGCTCATAAAATAACAATGTAACTATGTGGTTACATTGCCTATTAGTATTTATCTATTTAACAGAAATCAAGTATTTGAAAATAAGTTTTGTTTGAAAAAAATGCAAATACTATCAGAGAGGTCAGAGTGTTTAGTTACAATGGAATTATTATGAACTGATGGGAAGGAGCCTAAAATAAATGGATAGAGACGAACAAGTGAAATATTTGCTAAATCCTTACTTATGACTAAGGCTGGCTCTACAATAATTCTTAACACTTCTCTCTTTTTTTTTTTTCTTCTAAGGTGCTTTCAGAGAAAATATGGCAATTCAACTGGAGGTATTAAAGTAGTATAAAACCTATTGGTTGGAAAATAAAATTTAAAAACAATGAAGAGGATTTTACATACATAAAGTAAAAAATATATGTGGATAGAGTCATTTGCACACACTCCTGGAAAGATCATTGTGCAATGATCAAATTGTAAATGTATATAACAAACCATCATTTCTTAATTTCTGAAACACAGCAAACATAAAATTATAGAGAAAATAGCTTCATAATTTCAAATATACCCTTCGATTAATTTTGACATTTATCCACTTTTGGCTGAACCCTTCCCAACAAATTTCCTTCTGCTTAATTATTCCAAATAAAAACTTCTAAAAAGTTATCTTACTCATAAATAATTCTGTATGTATCTCAAAAATATGAAGACATGACACAAATTTAGACAGATTAATTAAATGAAACACCAAAACAAAAATATCTATAATTTTTACTTTACTGGATTTTAAAAATATTAATAATTTAAAAAATTAAAAATTAAAGAAAAAATAAATTTAAAATAGCAAAAAAACCCCCTAAAAAATCTCTGTAAAGAGAATGCTAACACAACCCACAGACTGGGGGAGAAGGTATTTGCAAGTCACATATCTTACAAAAAACTTACATCAAAAATTTATAAATATCCAGCTTCCTTAGTACCATTTATTAAAGACACAGTTTCTTCCTAATTGTACGTACTTGTCATCTTTGTGGAAAATCAACTAACTGTAGATGTGTAGATTTGTTTCTGGGGTTTCTATTCTTTTCCATTGCTCCTTTCATCTGTTTTTAAATTTCTTATTATTATATTTTTGTCAGTACCATGCAGCTTGGCTTCTATAGATTTATTCCATGTTTTGAAGTAAGGTAGTCTGATGCCTCTGGCTTTCTTATTTTGTTCAAGATTGCTTTGGCTATTCAGGCTCTTTTGTGATTCCATGCAAATTTTAGATTTTTTTTTTCTATTTCCATGAAGAATGTTACCAGCATTGTGATAGACTTTGGATAGTATAGACATTTTAACAATATTCTTCCAAACTATTAATACAAGATATCTTTCTTTAAGTTTGCATCATCTTCAATTTCTTTCATGAATGGTTTATAGTTTTCATTGTAGAGATATTTTACCTCCTTGGTTGAATTTATTTCTAGACGTTTCATTTGATGTCTTTTTGTTTAATTTGTTAATATGTTGATTCTTCCAGTACATGAGCATGGAATGTTTTATTTAAAATTTGTTTGTGTCATTTATGATTTCTTTTAACAGTGTTCTTTTTGTTGTTGTTGTTCTCCTTGCAGAGATATTTTACCTCCTTGGTTAGAGGTATTCCTAGGTATTTTATCTTTCTTTTTTGTGGCTATTGTGAATGGAATTGCATTCTTGATTTGGCACTCAGCATAATCATTGTTGGTGCACAGAAATGCTACTAATAATTGATTTTGTATCCTGAAACTTTACTAAAGTTGTTTATCAGTCTCTAGGAGCCTATTGGCAAAGTGTTTAGTGCTTTCTAGATATAGAATTGTATTGTTAGCAAAGAGAGATAGTTTGACTTCTTCTTTTCCTATTTGGATGCCTTTTATTTCTTTCTCTTGCCTGATTATTTTGCTAGGACTTCCACCTTTACTCTTAAATAATTGTATTAGTTGGTTTTAGCCCTTCTAGACCTACCTGAATAACTGACACAAGGTGCTTGTCCTAGTCTCGCCTAACGTGTAATTCATTCGGGATAGATAAGCAGTGGGTATTTGTCCAAAACACTATAAGGCAAACAACCCACAGCTACCATGGAAAAAGATTAAAATTGAGATATAGAATAAAGCAAAAAATCTGTGGAGAAAAAGCTGAAAAAAGAGTTGCTTGGAGGAAATTAGAGCATTTAAACTAACCATGTATAATGAAGAATATACAGTGCCACAGTCAGGCCCAGGGCAGGATGTATGTTCTGTAACAGTCTTCAAAAACCCTAAACTTTTACCTGTTTCTAATCTCTAGGCACACTAGAAGCAGAAAATAAAAGGTAAGGCAGAGTTATAAATGACCTAAGTGTGGAAGGTATGTCAGCAGGGAGCCATCAGCAAAAAGTGGGAGAGGTTTTATTTATTTATTTTTTCATTTTCTTCTTTTTTGTTTTTTCTCTCTTTCTTTTATTTTCCTTTCTCCTTTCTTCTTTCCCCCCCACCTCTTTATCTGGCTTCTGAAATTCAAGGAAATAAAGAACACTAGCTTATAGCAAGCAATCAAACAACTCCTGAGGAGGGGAAGACCCTAATTTCCAAATTACCACACTATCATATTTAAAATGTTGATTTTACTTAATTACAAAGGATGAAACAAGAAATACGGCTCATTTATAGAAAAAATTTAAAATACTGTTTCTGAAGAAATATAGACTTTGGACTCACTAAACAATGACTTTAAATCAAGTGTCTTAAATATGTTCAAAGACCTATAGAAAAACAGAAAAATAATGTATAAACAACTAGAGAGTATCAATAAAGAAATAATTATAGTACATGATATACTAATAGATAATGAAATCAAATAGAAATTCTAAAGCTGAAATATTCAAGAGGGACATGAAAAACTTATTAGAGGATTTCAATGGCAGCTTTGAGAAGACAGAAAAAAATACTGAATATTTCTCAACAAGAATACTTTTCATCAAGAAAAATTCATAATCAAATGTTTTCATTGATGAAATTTACCAGATATTCAAGAAGGGAAGTAACACCCATTCTTCTCAAGGTCTTAGAAAACAGAAGAGAATGGAACACTTTCCAATTCATTTTGCAAGGCCATCATTACCCTAATATCAAAGCCAGACAAAGACAACGCACACAAAAATAAATCTATATACCAATATCTGCAATGCATATAGATGTCAAAATTCTCAACAGAATAAATTCAGCAGTATATTAAAAGGGTTATGCATCATGCCTAACTGGGATATATTCCAAGAATGAAAGGGTAGTGCAATATAAGATAATCAGTGCAATGCATGCCATTAACACAATGAAGAAAAAAATATGTGATAATCTCAATTGATGCAAAGAAGGTATTTGGAAAAACCTCTTTCATGATAAAAATTTCCAGGAAACTAAGAATAGAGAAAAAATTCCTCGACACAATAAAGGGTATTCCTCAAGAAACCTATAGTTAACATCATACTCGATGGTGAAAGACAGAAAGCTTTCATTTTTTTTATTATACTTTAAGTTTTAGGGTACATGTGCACAACGTGGAGGTTTGTTACATATATATACATGCGCCATGTTGGTGTGCTGCACCCATTAATTTTAAGATCAACAACAAGACAAAGATTAACAAACAAGACATTTATGGCTAAATGATAGAGAACAAGCAAGACATTTATGGCTAAATGATTTTCAGCATGAGTGCCAAGATTATTCAATGGGCAAAGAATTGTCTTTTCAACAAATTGTACTAGACAACAAGGTATCCACATGCAAAAAAAAAATAATAAATTAGGGCATCTATCTTAAACCATATCAAAAAACTCAAAATGAATTAACAATCTAAACATAATAACTAAAACCATAAGACTCTTAGAAAAAAAAACATAAGGGTAAATCTTTATGACAGTGGATTTGGCCATGTATTCTTAGATTTGACACCAAAAGGATGAATAGCAAAAAAATCAGATAAGTTGGATTCATCAAAATCAAAAATTTTGTTCATTAAAGGATATTATAAAGAAAGTAAAAAGAAACTTATATAATGGGAGAACATAGTTGCAAATTATATATATGATCAGAATTGAATGTCCAGAAAATATCTTACAACTCAACAACCAAAATGCAAAAAGTAAATTAAAAAATAAAACAAGGTCTTTAACAGATTTTTGTCATGAAGATATACAAATAAACAATAAGCACATGAAATGATGCTCAATGTTATTATTCATTAGGGGAAAATGTAGATAAAAACCCATAGTGAGTATCACTGCACACCTACCAGGTGATGATAATAAAAAAACACAAAAGCAAACCAAATGAAAAAGCCACCCAGGAAATAAGAATTGTTGACAAAGACATAGAAAATTGGAAACCTTGTACATTGGCAATGGCAATATAAAATGGTTCCACTGCTAAGAGAAACAGTTTGTCAGCTCCTCATAGAATTACCATATGGCCTAGATAGCCAAATCCTAGATATATATGTAAAATAATTGAAAACAGATACTCAAATACACTTACATGTATGTTCATACTAGCACCATTCATAATAACCAAAAGTTGAAAAAAGCCCAAATTTTAGTCAACTGATGGCCAGACAATCTCACTGTGGTATTTCCATATGATGGAATATTATTTAGTCATTAAAAGGAGTGAAGTACTGATATAGCTGCCACATGGGTGAACTTCAATATGCTAAGTGAAAGTACTCAGACATAAAAGTCATCTATCATATATTATTCTATTGCATGAATTATCCAGAATAGGCAAATCCATAGAGACAGAATACATATTGGTAGTTGCCAGTGTTTACATGGAGGGGAGAATTGAGAGCAACAGTCTAATGGATAAAGAATTTCCTTTTGATGGAGGTGATGGGTTGACAACATTGTGAATATGCTGTCATATAAATGCCACTAAACTGTTCACTTCAAAACAATTTTTTTGTGTGTTTTGTCAATTTTACCTCAATAAAATAAAGTTGAAGTATTTTAAAAAATAATTGTCTCCTTATCAATGCCAACACTGTCAGTCCAGATTAAGCCATCATTCTGTCTTGATTGTGCTATGTTAGCACAATATCCTTCAAGCTGTTCTTTTGCTTTCACTCTTGCCTAACTATAGTGTATCTACAAGCTAGAAGTTACCCCCATTAAATTATATACCTGATGTTGGCATTCTAGCAGGTCTACAATATATTCTCATCATACACACTGTAAGACCTGAAGTCCTAGCCATGACCTCTAAGATCAGATATTACCCATTATCTGTCTTTCTCACTTTCTCCCTTGATCCGTCTACTTCAGGTATACTGACCACTTTGTATTTCTTTGAACATACCAAGGCAACACCTGCCTCAGGAACTGCATCTTGATGTCCTCTTTCCCTGATAGCTTCTTCCCAGAGACACCTGTGTGGCTTACACTCTCAGTTTTTCTGGTCTTTGTTCAGTTGTCCCCCTCAGAAAGGGGTGTTAATTAGCATCCCTCATCACTGTCTAATATTTACCTTAATTTATTGTTTATGTCATTGTACTTACCTCATCTTTCTATGGTATATTCATTTATTCATTTATTTTCTATCTCCTGCTCTGTATGTTTTACATTTGTATCCTCCTTGCATAGGAGAAGGCCTAATACATAGAAGGTATTAAATAAATAAATATTTTTAAGTCAATACATGTATAATATCTATGTTTTAAATAATTACAATATGTTTACAAGCAAGAACATTAGAAGTTGTGAGAGCAATCCTAGACTAGAGATGCACTTCTTATGGTTATTCTACAAATCTTTCTGAACTTCAAATTCTTAATACTGAGGCACATATTTTCCTTTTCAATTCTAATACAGGTAGATGTTTCCTTGTAAGATTTAACACTTTTTGTAATATATTCATAGTTATTCCTTTTTAGAGTAAAAAAACAGATTATATGACTCAGCAAGGTTATTTGGATTTATGCATTATTGTTGCTGTGTTTTTATTTCCTCCTTTTACTTTTTTTTAAAAGCTTACATTTATATGAGGTACAAAAGAAGTTGATGCAAGTATAAAATAGTGATATCTTGAATTTTTATCTTATCTTTGATACCTTTAGAAAAATTTCAACTATACCTTATAAAAAGGAAAAAAAATGAACAAAAAACAAAAATAAATACAATTAATAAGAGCTACTCTTCCTCACTGTTGTTGGAAACTTTCATCTAATGGCAAATATTTAGGACCACCTACTTTGATCATGGAGATGATGACTCCACCCCCTAACAGTTCTGTTGGTGGAGTAAAATAACTAAGGAGGTTATCAGGGCCATAGAAACCTTTATGATCTACCAATTCTTGCATGCCTATGGAGACTCATTCAGTTCAGCTACTCCTCAACACTGTAAAAGAAAAAGAACTCATCTGAGGATCTTACAGATGAAGAAATCTTTTGTGGAATTTTCTGCAATTCCTCATTTCACACCAGACCATGGTGAGTGGAGCTGGATGGACTGTATAATAAGGTGCACTGCTCTCTGATAGAAACTTTCATAAAGAAGAAAAGTTACTGATGAAAGCCAGTGGATTGCGTGTGTGTGCACTAGTGAGCAGTTGAGATTTCATCTCATTTTCAGTGCCTGTAGAATGAAGGACAACAGGGGAGCAGGCCACAAACCTGAACTCCCTCTGCTCCTTCCCTGAAAGTGAGGAAAGAGCATCAAAGGGAATGAAAGTGACTGAATATCCAACAGGAAAGTATTGTATGTTCTTGCTTTGGGTCACAGTCGTGGTTTGCATCATAAAATAAGAGCTTCCTAATATAACATTTATGAACTCCTTAGTCCTTGGGTATACATTGAGAAGTTGTGAAGAATATTTATATGTGTTGAGAGTGATTATTAGCTGTGGATCATTTAATGTTATCCTTTGTAATCTGAGGGGTGAGGATTACATTTTAAACTGTAATTTTTGCATTAATTATTTTTCCCTTTAACTATATTTGAAAGTCTTTTCCCTTCATAATTAAACCTAGAAAAGGTATCTATGACTGTCTATGACTCAAAGCAGTTACTTGCATTACCTGAAGAAAGCAGTGCCAGGGAATTGTTTATTTAAAGAACACTATATTATTATTTGTAAGTTAAGAGTTCTAATCTTTCATAGTTTTTATTAAGTAAACATAATCAAATAATGTATTAATTGAAGCATGGGATTAACATAAACTAGCTCAGAATTTTAAATATCCTATTTGATAAGATATGATGAAATATTTCTTTTCAAATTGCTCACAAGATAGCTCCTTGGATTTCACTGAGGTTAGGTCTATGACACCACTAGTTTGAGTTATTACTTAAAATTATTTTTCTAGCTTAAATTCACACAGTATAAATAAAATGCCTCCAAAGTATTTTGGCTAGTTTAGCACAGTCAATGTTTCTATTTTTTATAAAAATTGAATTATTGGAAACACTTCGTATTTTGGACATCTGATTTCTCCACCTTGACCCCTCCTCTTCTCTGCTACCACTGGTTTTCACTTCTAAAATATTTTGCATTTGTCATCTAAACAGCTGTAATAGGTCAGCTCTTTGAGGCTCAGTGTTCCAAATTCAGGTTTTAATCTTTACATTTTCTTGGGCAAGTGTCAGGGAAACTCCAGCAGAACTCAAGAGGAATCTGTCTGGAATTCTCCTGTGACTTTGTTATGGGTTAAAAAAATTATTTTAATTTCTTGGCTCTGATAATTACAAAAGGGAAGACAAAATATGATAATTTGCCAAAATACCAAATCTATGCCTTTGGTTTTTTTTTAGTGTCAAAAGTGAGTTAAGATTGATAGAGATTTAACGGTTTAATTAATAAAGGTTTTAGTATAATTACTTCAATTATGTTAGCTTATGTAAATATTTCAAACAGAAAACAGTTACATAGCAACAAAATCCTGGTTTGCTAATTAGTAAGACAATTCAGAGGAAACATATTTTCAATTAGGTATAAAGCTAAATTGGATTATATTCTGAATGAATTGGACATGTTCAGATTTTATTCAGATGACCCAGTACAAGCAAAATAGAAGTATTCCATGTATTTTCAAGTATTACTTGAAACGCTGCATTCATGCTGCTTCTGGCTAGCTAGTTGAGGCTGGAATTATTTAATCTAGAAGTATCATTTTCTCTTACAGTTCAAATTGCACTATATACACAGATGTTTACTCCAGTTTTCTAGCTAAACCAGAGAATAGGAAGGGAGTGCAAATGAGCTTGTATTTGTAATTGCATTCTCTCCTGTGATCATTAAATGTGCTTTATCTTTAACATGCTAAAATGCTAAGGTATCACAAGGGAGTACTAACTCCAGATTTAACCTGCTAAATTTGAGAAAGCCTACAGATTTGCACTTTAAGTCTTCCTGCAAGAGTCTGTATTCAATGTTATTTTCCAACAGTTATTGGAAAGTTTTATCAGCAGAAATCCAGATACATTATTTCACCTTTTACATAAGCTATGGCCCATGTTCTGTATTTAGAAATTTTGACTGTCATTATCAAATAAAATATACAGTATAAACATGTTTTCTTTACATCTAATTTTAAGTTCCAAAACTCAACTGAGACATGGAAAATATTGATGGTTCATTAAAAAGAAAGAAAATAAAAAATGAGAATAGAAAATATGTCTGGTGATGAATAGTTTTGAGAGAAATTTAAACCCTCTCCCGTATTTCATGAACATGGTCTGGGTAGTAATGATCAGCTGTTTGACTTTTATACAGAGTGTAAGAATTAAATAAACTTAACTATGAGGAATACAAGTCAGAATTTAGGTCCATGAAAGACACAATCAATTTATAGGATGCTTAAACTAATCTAGATGCCTAAATTAACCAACAATACATTTCTTGAAGAGGGGAGCTATATTTAAATTTTTAGTGTGTAGCAAAATGACTATAGTGTCATCAATTTTTAAATATCTGTTAACTACAGGAATAAGAAAAATAAATACTTGTTAATACTCCAATTACTTCCCAGATTAAGAGATTTGTTTCTCTACAACAAATATTTGTACCTACCTTGCTCTGAGAAACAGCCTGCACTGTGAACTCATTTTATCAACAACAAGACTGCTTAAAAGCAGGAAGAAAAAGCCATAAAAAATGATGAGTTCACGTCCTTTGTAGGGACATGGATGATACTGGAAATCATCATTCTCAGTAAACTATCGCAAGAACAAAAAACCAAACACTGCATATTCTCACTCATAGGTGGGAACTGAACAATGAGAACACATGGACACAGGAAGGGGAACATCACACTCTGGGGACTGCTGTGGGGTGGAGGGAGGGGGGAGGGATAGCACTGGGAGATATACCTAATGCTAGATGACGAGTTAGTGGGTGCAGCGCACCAGCATGGCACATGTATACATATGTAACTAACCTGCACATTGTGCACATGTACCCTAAAACTTAAAGTATAATAATAATTTTAAAAAAAAAAGAAAAAGCAATCATTCTAGCCGGGCTGATTACAGAAAGCACTTAATTTCTTGGGATCCTGAAAAGCTGTGTCTGGTTGTCTAGTTTTCTACTCTGTGTTTCGTTTCCTACTACTGCCTTTTTAGTTTGTTTATTTGGACGGTTGGTTGGTTTTGTGCTTAGCTTCCTCTAAATAAGAAAGTCTATCTGAGCTTGTGTAAGAGTGCTGCACTTCTGCCTGTGTTCTCCGGCTTAGATATCTACAACCTGACATTGGTCCATTTACCCTGAGCACATAACTTTTAACATATATTTAGCATCCAATTGGCTTCAGCCTTCTCCTGCACAAATTGTACCTTTGAAGCGAATGATGACAGTGTCCATTCAACTGGGTCCTGAATCCTCTCCATATGTTGCAGGTTGGTTTCATGGCCTATGTTCTAAGCTAACCCATCTCAGTATAAAATAGCTATACAGGCCCGGCGTGATGGTTCACGCCTGTAACCCCAGCACTTTGGGAGGCCCAGGCGGGCGGATTACCTGAGGTAGGGAGTTTGAGACCAGCCTGGCCAACATGGAGAAACCCCATCTCTACTAAAAATACAAAATTAGCTGGGTGTGGTGGCGCAGGCCTGTAATCCCAACTACTTGGGAGGCTGAGGCAGAAGAATCGCTTGAACTTGGGAGCCGAAATCACGCGGTGAGCTTCCAGTGAGCCGATCACGCCATTACACTCCAGCCTGGGCAATAAGAGGAAACTCCGTCTCAAAAAAAAAAAAAAAAAAATCTGTACATTTCCTAATCTATAGGAACCAAATTGGACCCTTAACTTGATCCTATCTCCAAATTATTCAGCTGCCTCAGCTGAGTTTTCTCTACAATTGTTCCTTGCTTATCACACTGTACTCTTTCCATAATTGATTCTGATAATGATTTTGAGAGTAGCCCTTATTTTCTTAATGAAAAGTTATTCAGAAGCAGTTTTATAAAATACATATGTATGAATCATTCCACATAAATTGTTTTAAAGTATTGCTTTTAAAAAATAAATCCATTTTATTAAGGATTTTTGCATCAGTGTTCATCAAGGATACTGGTCTAAAATTCTATTTTTTGGTTGTGTCGGGCTTCATCCCTGGGATGCAAGGCTGGTTCAATATATGCAAATCAATAAATGTAATCCAGCGTATAAACAGAACCAAAGACAAAAACCACAAGATTATCTCAATAGATGCAGAAAAGGCCTTTGACAAAATTCAACAGCCCTTCATGCTAAAAACTCTCAATAAATTAGGTATTGATGGGACGTATCTCAAAATAATAAGAGCTATCTATGACAAACCCACAGCCAATATCATACTGAATGGGCAAAAACTGGAAGCATTCCCTTTGAAAACTGGCACAAGACAGGGATGCCCTCTCTCACCACTCCTATTCAACATAGTGTTGGAAGTTCTGGCCAGGGCAATCAGGCAGGAGAAGGAAATAAAGGGTATTCAATTAGGAAAACAGGAAGTCAAACTGTTCCTGTTTGCAGATGACATGATTGTATTTCTAGAAAACCCCATTGTCTCAGCCCAAAATCTCCTTAAGCTGATAGACAACTTCAGCAAAGTCTCAGGATACAAAATCAATGTACAAAAATCACAAGCATTCTTATACACCAATAACAGACAGAGAGCCAAATCATGAGTGAACTCCCATTCACAACTGCTTCAAAGAGAATAAAATACCTAGGAATCCAACTTATAAGGGATGTGAAGGACCTCTTCAAGGAGAACTACAAACCACTGCTCAATGAAATAAAAGAGGAGACAAACAAATGGAAGAACATTCCATGCTCATGGGTAGGAAGAATCAATATCATGAAAATGGCCATACTGCCCAAGGTAATTTATAGATTCAATGCCATCCCCATCAAGCTACCAATTACTTTCTTCACAGAATTGGAAAAACTACTTTAAAGTTCATATGGAACCAAAAAAGAGCTCCCATCTCCAAGTCAGTCCTAAGCCAAAAGTACAAAGCTGGAGGCATCACAGTACCTGACTTCAAACTATACTACAACACTACAGTAACCAAAACAGCATGGTACTGGTACCAAAACAATGGAACAGAACAGAGCCCTCAGAAATAACGCCGCATATCTACAACTATCTGATCTTTGACAAACCTGAGAAAAACAAGCAATGGGGAAAGGATTCCCTATTTAATAAATGGTGCTGGGAAAACAGGCTCGCCATATGTAGAAAGCTGAAACTGGATCCCTTCCTTACACCTTATACAAAAATTAATTCAAGATGGATTAAAGACTTAAACGTTAGACCTAAAATCATAAAAACCCTAGAAGAAAACCTAGGCAATACCATTCAGGACATAGGCATGGGCAAGGACTTTATGTCTAAAACACCAAAAGCAATGGCAACAAAAGCCAAAGTTGACAAATGGGATCTAATTAAACTAAAGAGCTTCTGCACAGCAAAAGAAACTACCATCAGAGTGAACAGGCAACCTACAGAATGGGAGAAAATTTTTGCAACCTACTCATCTGACAAAGGGCTAATATCCAGAATCTACAATGAACTCAAACAAATTTACAAGAAAAAAAACCCCATCAAAAAGTGGGTGAAGGATATGAACAGACACTTCTCAAAAAAAGACATTTATGCAGCCAAAAAACACATGAAAAAATGCTCATCATCACTGGCCATCAGAGAAATGCAAATCAAAACCACAATGAGATACCATCTCACACCAGTTAGAATGGCAATCATTAAAAAGTCAGGAAACGACAGGTGCTGGAGAGGATGTGGAGAAATAGGAACACTTTTACACTGTTGGTGGGACTGTAAACTAGTTCAACCATTGTGGACGTCAGTGTGGTGATTCCTCAGGGATCTAGAACTAGAAATACCATTTGACCCAGCCATCCCATTACTGGGTATATACCCAAAGGACTATAAATCGTGCTGCTATAAAGACACATGCACATGTATGTTTATTGTGGCACTATTCACAATAGCAAAGACTTGGAACCAACCCAAATGTCCAACAATGATAGACTGGATTAAGAAAATGTGGAACATATACACCATGGAATACTATGCAGCCATAAAAAAGGATGAGTTCATGTCCTTTGTAGGGACATGGATGATATTGGAAATCATCATTCTCAGTAAACTATCTCAAGAACAAAAAACCAAACACCACATATTCTCACTCATAGGTGGAAATTGAACAATGAGAACACATGGACACAGGAAGGGGAACATCACACTCTGGGGACTGTTGTGGGGTCGGGGGAGGAGGGAGGGATAGCTTTAGGTGATATACCTAATGCTAAATGACGAGTTAATGGGTGCAGCACACCAGTATGGCACATGTATACATACGTAACTAACCTGCACATTGTGCACATGTACCCTAGAACTTAAAGTATAATAATAATAATTAAAATCAGATTTATTAATAAAGTTTTACAGTGATATAATTGAGTGGATTAAAAGGGGGTTGGTCCCAGTAGGGTTTATGCATAGCCTACTGTTCATACACAGAAAGACACTTCTTTCACAGTGCACAGATATTGTGAGTTGATACTCTAAGAATTAAAAGTATTAGATGTGTGGGTTATTTGCCTGTCGGTTCTCATATACTATACCTTTACTTGCTCTTTGCATTAGTTTTCTATTGTCACTATAACAGATTACCACAAATTTAGTGGCTTAAAATACAAATAAATTTGTTATCTTGCAATTTTGGAGTTTACTGTTCTAAAATAGTCATCACACTGGGCTAAAATCAATGTGTTTGTAGGGCTACGCTCCCTCTGGAGACTCTAGGAGAGATTATGTTTCCTTGACTTTTCCAGCTTCTAGAGGCTGTCTGTATCCCTAGCCCTGGTGGGCCTCCTTCCATCTTCAAAGCCAGCAACAGTGAGTTGAACCTCTACTTGCTCAATTCAAACTTGTTTCTTTCCTTGTATCTTCTCTGTCTCTAAGTCTTCTGCATGACTCTTCCACATCTGAAGAAATCTGGTGATTATATTGAGCCCTACATATGATCCAAGATACTTTTCTTATTTTAAAGACAGCTGATTACAAATGTTAATTTCATCTGCAATCTTAATTCTCCTTTGCTATTAAACATAACATATTCACAAGTTCTGGAGTTTAGTATGTGAACCTCTTTGGGGTATGGTAGGAATACTATTCTATCTGCCACATTCCACTTTGCATTGCAATCAAGCATATTTCTGTTCCCTTGCAAAGTATTTCAAGCTAGTTTCAGCCACTAGCTGGCACTAAGAGGAGGTTGGAGATCGAGAAGAAGGAAGCTACTGATTATTCCTTTGCTCGGCCAATGTATCAAGCTACAGTTACATCTCCTCTCATTCCACATTAGTGTTCTCAGCAATTGTATTAACTTTGTTAAAAATATCCCTTGCATTGACTTGCATCTATTTAAAATTTGACCTACAAGTCAATTAACAATGAAGACAAGATTAATGGGATGTTGTACCATCTTACTGGGAAAAGTTTACCAAAAGTATATTATGAGCACAGGGGCATAAACTTCTCTTTCGAGGAAAGAATAGAGAACCACAGTGCCTATATCTTTTAAAAAATCTCTAATTTTTTTCTTTTTAAAAATATCTGATCATGCATTGCTGAAGAACAAAACAAAAATTAAGCTAATGGGTAGTGTGAGCAACTTGCAAGTCAAATTCACAGTCTGACCAAATGTTAAGATTAGGGCATTAATTGGAAAGGAGAGGGAACCTAAGATTTGAGCTGGCAAACTTAGGCCAGATTTAGAGAAATCTGAGAACGTTGAATCCTCAAACCTTCAATGCAGGAATTGCCTAGCAAGGAGATGCATCGTCTCAGGATCCATTCCCAGTATTCCTTGTTGCTTCTAGATTCATTGAGTGAGATAGTCTCATGTCTAGCAGATCTTTAAGATGTCTTAGATGTCAAAAATGTTGCAAAATCTTGCTAACGTTCATAAGCAGGAATACAAGAAGTGTAAAGGCTGATTTAAGAATTGTCAGGCTTAATATGTTCATAAAAACGCACTTACCAGAGTTTTGCTTTTAATGTGCTTGCTCAGATAATGGAAAGTGGCTCTAACCATCTGAATAAAAATGTAGATTCAATGGTAGCCTATAGTCAATTAGATCAAAATGCCAGAACTTCTCTGCCATTATGAAAAAAAAAAATCCAAAGACTAAGACAATAAGAATGCTATTTATTTATTTATTTATTTATTTATTTTTTTTTTCTTTTTTTTTTTTTTTTTATTATACTCTAAGTTTTAGGGTACATGTGCACATTGTGCAGGTTAGTTACATATGTATACATGTGCCATGCTGGTGCACTGCACCCACTAATGTGTCATCTAGCATTAGGTATATCTCCCAATGCTATCCCTCCCCCCTCCCCCGACCCCACCACAGTCCCCAGAGTGTGTGCTATTTAGAGTTATTAAGTTGTACCCATTCATTCTCTCCCACTACCACTTTCCACTAACTTTGCTAACCAGAGGGCCCAGAGGACTCTTCCTTACAAATACATTGAGAAACACACTAATCTGGGAGTACCATCAGCTTAAAAAATTACTTATCTATATTACGGGAAAATTTTTTAGTCTGGTTAGCAAAAATCCCACTGGGGTAACTACAATTGGAAGTAATTATCTGTCACTCATTTTCCAGGTCTAAACCAATTCATACATTGGTTCAATACAATACAATTCAACACATACTGTGTTGAAATACAGTTCTCCATGGGGTCCCTCATTTTTTGGCAAGTCTTTTGAGCAGAGACATAGACAACTTTTGTTTTGGATCTTTATTAAGATGTTTATAAGACAAGCAACACTGAAAGATAAGTAAAGTCTCCTCTAGGACAGACGGAGATATTTTTCCCCATAATAAAGATAATGTCTTTTTCTGGGGCAAAGGTTGGGCAGGTTTGCTTGCAACCCATTGTGAAAGATTGGGGTATTTTAAGTTTGGTGTTTTTTAGTTGAGATGCAAACCCACTGCAGGCAAAGCATCTATGTTGGTGGCTCTGCAATGCTCTGTGGGAACTGTGGGCAAGGGAAACCAATGCAGATATTAAACTTATGTTTTCTGCCTGTCTTTGAGTAATAAAATTATTTTTCCCTGATTCAGGAGTCTCTTGTCTTTTGCCAACATCCATGAAACTTTAGCAATTTAAATTATGAGCTTGCAAACAGGATACAAACTTTGATTCCTCACATTGCTTGGCAACCTGAGATTTCTGTGATTGAAATGAGCGCTCAGTTCTCTTGATAAAAGGGTATATAGGTTATATGCTGCAAGTCTTCCTTTGATTATTTATAGGTTACCAGAGGGCTTATGGTGATGAGGTGCTAAGTAGAATTTTGGCCCAGGTGAATCTTGGAGTAGGCCCAGTAAATTCTCAAACCACCATATATATATATATATATATATATATATATATATATATATATATATATATATATATATATATGTTTTCAGTTCATTAATGCCTCATTGACATTGTTATTTGGAAACCTGCAGAATCCTCATATTGGTCCCCCGACCTGACAGGGCTGTAGATGGCAAGAAAAACTAAGGGTAAATTCTTATCACAGCATCTTATTATCAAATAGCAAACCGTATGTGTCACATTCTTGAGATAATTGCACCAATTTGTACCATTAAAAAAGACTTGAAAGATGCAGGAATATGGATTCAAATAATATTATAATGTAAGCTGTTGTTCAGAGGTGCAAAACCAAATAGATCTTTAACAATGAAAATCAACGTAAACTGAAATCTGGAGGTCATTGATATATTGGAGCAAATTCATTTCTCTATTAAGCAAATTTTTAAAAACCAATTGTTAAGTAGGGCCATTAATATACCTTCAATGACATACATTCATGCTTTATCAGAATTCGTGCTTTCTGACAATATTAACTAAATATATCTGAATATACATCTATTATGGGTTGAATTATGTCTTGGAAAAATATATGTTGAAGTCCCAGTTCTCAGTTCAACAGAATGTGATATTATTTGGAAATAAGATCATTGCAGGTTAATTAGTTATATTAATTAGTTAATTAGTTATATTAATATAGTTAATTAGTTAATGAGGTTATACCGAAGTCAAGTGGTCCTCGGCCAATATGACTGGTGTCCCTGTAAGAAGACAGCCATGTGAAGACAGAGTCACAGGCAGAACTTGATGTGAAGATGGAGGCAGAGATGTGATGCATTTATAAGCCCAGAAATCCCAAGGAGTGCCAGCTAATACCAGAAGCTAGAAAAAAAAGGCATGGTCTAGATTTTCCCTTGGTGCCCTTGTAAGGAACCAATCCTACCCTCTACCAACATCGTGACTTCTAGCTTTGAAACGTGTGAGGCAATAAATTTCCATTGTTTTAAGCCACTATTTTGTGGTACTTTGTTATCTCAGCTCGAGGATACTAATGCACAACCTCACAGAATTTCAAGCTGATTTACTCTTTTAAGGAGCTCATGCTACTCAGACTTGTTGAGCAGGAAGCAGCACATACTCTAAGATGCTTTAATAAGACGCTTATATGACAATAAAATCCAAAAACATCAAGAGATAGGCACATTGATGTAGTTTTTGGTGAAACAGTTTGATTAAGGTGAAGCATGGAAGCTGACAAGTATTGGAAATATTGTAATTTATATTATAAATTTATATAAGAATTTATACAAGAATTTTATGAGAATTTATATTCTTACATAAAAAAAGAAAATTGATCTTATTTTTTACAACAGTGTATTCTTTTTAGAATACAGTTTTTTCATACATTAGTTCTATTTCTTATGTTTCTATTACTTTTTTAATACTTACTATTTTACTTTATTTTTGAGACGTACATATACATATTTTTAAAGGCACTGACCTAATTGACACGGCAACGAGACTGTCAAAGAATATTTAAAAAAAACACTGGCCAGGTGCTGTGGGTCACACCTGCAATCCCACCACCCTGGGAGGCAGAGGCGGGTGGATCACCTGAGGTCAGGAGTTCAACCAGCCTGGCCAACAGAGCAAAACACTGCCTCTACTAAAAATACAAAAATTAGCCAGGTGTGGTGCATACCTATAGTCCCACCTACTTGGGAGGCTGAAGCAGGAGAATCACCTGAGCCTATTTCTATACTAGACTAAGAGATTGTAATATTCTAAAATATTAACCATACTTTCCTATTAAGTAATAAACAATACTTACTATATGCTTGGTGTTTAACTTTTTAGATTAAACAAGTATTTTAATGTTTCAAGGATTTCTATTATGTATACAAGTAATTAATACTTGTTGATGAGTTGTTTCTACTTTCAAGTTTTAAAGGTATTAAGGTTGAAATATTATAAAAGGATTGCAAAATTTATGCAATAAAGCAGACATTTTTATAAAAGAAAGGATGGAAGATTTAAGTAAGATATTGAAAGGCACATTTACAAATGTAAACAGTTGTATCTGAGAAGAGTTTGTAGGTATGTGACTGTCTGAGAGTGTTGGGTCCAAACCTAAGCAAAGTATTTATCCTGGCAGAATCTCTTTGCCTCTTATTATGGCCTGAAAGCAGCACTTTAAAATCCTCTGTAGGTTTGTAAGAGGTCACTCTCTCCTCGACTTTCAAGTAGGACAAGAGAAAGCAAGTTCTAAAGAACAGGTTGACCCCTGACCCTGAAAACATCACTGTACTGATGATTAGGAACAGAAGTTGTTTCTTTTCAGGGAAGAAAATACTTCTTTTGGTATCCTCATTTTATTTTTCCTGGAGGCAAACCTAGATCAAATTTTGAGAAATCTATAACTCTGTAATTCTATTATTTAAATTCCAATTATAAAGGTAGAATAGATTAGGTAGAGAAATGTCATTCCTTGCTCAGGGCTACATTAGAAATCCCTGTCACAGGTAGAATTGGAACACAAGCCTCTCCCACAGTATTAACAGTCACATTTCTATCTATCACATTCTTTTACTTACCTAAAACAGCTTTTTTGCATTTTTAAATAATACATATATTTTAAAGGGTAAAACCTACCGATGTATAATCTCATTTTCCATGTCTTATAAGCCAGACCGCTCTCCACAGTCTCATAAATGATGAGAAAAATTCTTCAAATCATGATACCATGAATTTATTGTCCTCAAAAGAAGGATTCCTCATGCTAAAAGCAGGTGCACCGGTGTGAATATGTGGCTGTCCCATATTGAGGAGCCATATATTTCACAGTTAGGCTCTACACAGAGAAATAAACAGCCATATGGCAAACAAACTTACTTTTTACTGCTTCATTTTATTTGTTTCAAAATAGTGCAGTGCCACAAATCCAGAATATTAACAACGCTCCATCTGGAGAAATGTAAGTTTTGGAGCCCTGAACCAGCACGTTAGCATTCCCACAAAACTTCCGATCTTCAATCCACTGCAAACTTGGAACCAGCTTTATGTCAACCCAGCATGTCTTTCTAATGCAATGCTAGTGGCTCAATTAAAATGTTTATAAAATGAAAAAAAAAAAAAACCTTAATTCTGGAAAGATTTTAAAAGTCGGCCTGCTTGCATACACGTCTAATAGACTGTGTTACAATGTTTATTAATAAATATCTTTGTAAATGTAGTTAGCTTTATCTCTATTTTGCAAATGAGAAAAAGGAACATAGAACTGCCTGGATACAAATGTCTGATCTGCATTTAGAAACCTAGCTTTTTAGATTAGAAATAAATGACTGATGCTTGCTTCACTAGTTCAACAAAAATTTATTTATGTTTTCTAGGCAGAGTACAGGATAACAAAATGAACAAAAGGTGGCTTACCATCTCAGGAAATTTTACTTAACATAAATATTTATAATAGATTGCAGAGGATCCAATTTCTGTCCGATACATGCTTTATTCAATGATAAGTTAAAGGCACTAATTGGTGGCTATGTAGTTCTTTTATTTTTTTTTTATTTTCTTTTTTTTTATTTCTTTTTTTTTTTTTTTTTTTTTGAGACGGAGTCTCACTCTGCCGCCCAGGCTGGAGTGCAGTGGTGCCATCTCGGCTCACTGCAAGCTCCACCTCCCGGGTTCACGCCATTCTCCTGCCTCAGCCTCCCGAGTAGCTGGGACTACAGGCTTCGGCCACCAAGCCTGGAGAATTTTTTTGTATTTTTACTAGAGACGAGGTTTCACCGTGTTAGCCAGGATGGTCTCGATCTCCTGACCTCGTGATCCACCCGCCTCGGCCTCCCAAAGTGCTGGGATTACAGGCGTGAGCCACGGCTATGTATCTCTTTACTTGCCTATTGGAAAGAAGAATGTGGAAGTTACAGAATTAGGGCAGGAAAATAAGTAACTATCAAATGAAATTCAGGGTTATTATTTAGGAAAAGCCCTAGCGCATATTGTCATATTGTTAAATATGCTAACATATATAGTAGTATATATGTGTATATATATACACACACACACATATATATGCTAGTATATATATATGTTAGTATGTATGCTAGCTAGTATATATATATATATATATATATATATATATAGCCTAGGTATGTTTTATATATGTATATATATATATAATATATATATATGTTTTTGTTTTGGTTTGAAATATTTTAAAGATATTAATTGTAAAGAATTACCAACAATGCATAAAATATACACATAATTTGATAGATGTTTGAAAATGAATGTGCATGTAACAATCTGTTCATGTGCTTGTACCTGTAACATAGGTTCAGAAATAGAACATTGGCAGCAATGCAGAGCCGCTGTGTGTCCCCTTTTTTTTTTTTTTTTTTTGAGACAGAGTCTCACTCTGTCTTCCAGGCTGGAGTGAAGTGGCGCAATCTTGGCTCACTGCAACATCCGCCTCCCTGGTGCAAGCGATTCTCATGCTTCAGCCACCATGTAGCTGGGATTACGGGTGTACGCCACCACGTCCTGCTAATTTTTGTATTTTTAGTAGAGACGGGGTTTCGCCATGTTGGCCAGGCTAGTGTGGAACTTCTGGCCTAAAGTGATCTGCCCACCTCAGACTCCCAAAATGCTGTGACTACAGGCGTGAGCCACTGAGCCCAGCCTGTCTATGTGTCCTTTTGTGATCCCAAACTTTTTTTTACAAAATGCCAGAAGGAAAAATTAAACTTATCATTATTTCCATGTTGTTTTATCTTATGTATCAGTACTTACATTTTCATTCCTAAATGATAGTTTAGTTCCCAGAATGACATTTTCCATAAATGTCAGATAGTAAATATTTTAGTCATTGCAGGTCATAGGTCTCTGTAACAGCTACTAGGCACTGCCATTGCAGTACAAAAATAGCCATAGAATGATAGGCAAAAGTATGAATGTATCTGTACACCGTACAACAACTTACAGAAACAGATGTAAGGCCAGATTTGATTCAGGGCCCATAGTTTCTGACTCCTACTTTGGTTTTCTCTGCTTTTCAGTTTTATATAAACATAATTAAATCTTACTATTTTTGGTTTTTAGCTTTTGTTTGTCTCACTTTTGTTTGTAAAATATGATCATTTAACTTGCAGTTTGTTCATTTTAATTGTCTTAATATTTCATTGTATGAATATTCCATAATTTGTTTTTCTCATTGTACTGTTGATGAATGTTTGAGTTGTTTAAAGTTTCTGGTTATTTTATTGCTGCTGTAAATTTTCTCATATAGGCATCCAAATCCACATGTGAGTGAATTTTAAAAGCATATATACTTATTAATATTATGAATATAATTATTGGGCCATAGGGTATGTGCAACTTCAAATATACTTGATAATGCCAGTCTATTTTCCAAAGTGGCAAAATTGACTGGCACTATTCACCAAAATGGTATATGGGTTCCATTTATTCCCTATCCTTATATATGTATTCAATTTGGGGTAGATTTTCTGTGAGCGCTTGAAAATACAGTTTGCATAATATATCATTTTTAATCCCATTACTTTTACTCATTTTGTATTTTGTATTTTATATTTGTCTCTTGTAAGTAACATGTTGTTGGTATTTTTTTTTCCAATATAAGCATGAGTATCACTAAATGGAACATTTAGTACATTCATCTGTAGTGCCATAGGTTCTTTGTTTATTTTATTTCACCTGTTTTGCTCAGCTTCTAGTAATTTTAAGTTTGGGAGAATAAGAGTATCTAATTCTTGCTCATGTTTAAAAAAGAGTGGTCACTTTATTTCTAGGTTATTGTCAAGAGGGCTTCCTAAGATGTTGAATTTTTGTCTCACTTTGAACCTTGATGTAAACTATGGGTAAATGCCCTCAAGACAAAAGATACTTTATTTCTTTGATTTAATACTTATCTCTCTAGGTAAGTTTATCCTCTTGTTTTGGCCTAGACTCTTTCTATCATCAGTTTAACTATGCAATGCTGTTTAGAACTGTTTTTAATATTTTATCTAGAATTTTTCTTTTTTTTTTTTTTTGGCAGTTTGATTCAAATAATCCTGTCAATTATCACTGGAAAAAAAAACAAAGTCCAGAGAAAAACCTTATATGTAAATTTTAGTAGGTATATGGTAACCATGGGAAAAATTAGAAAAAAAATTATACAATTTATGATATAAACTATAAAAGGAGTTCAATATATTCTTCATTTATCAAAATGAAATAATGAGAAAATTTTCCATAGGTTACTAATAAGCCCAAGGAGATTACAAAATTAAAAACTCAAGAAAAACAAAATAAGTGTTGGAAAGTTGTGGAGTACAATAAAATTGCTACTTGTTTACTTACAAGAAAAAAATTATTAAAAATAAGGCCAGCTTTGAGTTCCCCTGAACGTGCCTAAACATGTTAGAAAGAAGTACCCAGATCTAGTCTCAACTTTCCTCAGAATTTCTTTTCGTTGGAAAAAACTAAGAGAAAATTTCCCAGTGAGAACTTTGTATTGATCTTTGGCAAGTACACTAGGTAAAATCCATATGGAGCAAGAAATAGGTGAGCTTTGTAAAAATATGTAAGGCAAAATATGGAATATTATCCATACTAATACCAAACATATAAATAATTAAAATATTTACTAATCAAGATACTAACACCAAGCATATAAATAATTGAAATATATTTATCACATAAATATTAACATTATTTTCAACAAATAGGGAAAGGGAACCTGACAAATCCATGGTCCTCAAGGCAATTTAATTTGGATGTTCCATGATGTGTGAGGAAGGGAGTGGTAGTAAAAGAGCCTGGGCAATTAGGTGAAGGCAGATACAATTAGAAGGTCATTTAGAAAGTTTAGTTTTGGTAGTTAGAGGTCTGTCTGAGACTGAAGGAATGAAAGCTAGTTAAATGTCATTGTTCCAGAGAGTTAAGGAGAGCTGCACAGGAATGAAGCTGAAAGAACGTGTTTCTTCACAAAGCAGATAAAATCAAGTTTAGTTTCCTCAAAAACCTACAGAGGAGAAAGAGAAAATAGACAATCAACTCCCATGGCTGAAATTATCTAGAGATACCACTCTGTTCTTAAAGCACCTGTGAATCTTCCTCTTTTGGCTTAAGCAGAGTTACTTGGAGAAGAGGCTATATCGATCATTGGTCCCCAAGACGAATGAAGACAAATTCAACAGCAGTGTAAAACTAGAAGAGAATACTATGATTACTTAAGAACAACAGAAAAAAAATGGACCACTTTTGTTAGTTAAGATAAACCTAAGTTGAAGAGTTAAGGAATAGTTTACGGAATCACCAAGCTGAAAAAAGGACAGGATTGTGCTAAACCTCAGGAACACATGGACTAGAGGTGCAAACTCTATTAAGACCCACATTCTCTAGACTTTGCTTTTTCTCTGCATGATGGTTACCTTTTCCATTCTAGACATGGCTAAAAAACCAGGCCTTTAAAGTCCTCCAATCTTTACATCTTACAACTTTGATATCTGGGAAAAGGATTGTCTCACCTCATTCGGCCCCACTCTTAAAATCCAGGGAAAGGAACTGGCATGTGGGAGCATAGAAAAACATTTTCTATATGGATAAAGAAATTGTATTTAAGAACAATGTGGGAGAAGTGGGTGCAGTGACAGACATACAGGCCTGTAAATATTTACCACACAAAAATCCCTCATAATTAGCGTGCTAACTCATGAGGTTGGGTTTGTAATACTCTAACTAAAGGTCAAACAATAAACAACTGATATTATTTAACAGCTTACTATGTGCCACATTTTCTGAGAGTTTCAGATTTTTCATCTCATTTACTCTTAATAGAAATCCTAGGCAATAGAAACGATTCGTATCACACTTTGAAAATGAAAACAAACAAAGACACTGAGAGGTTAAATAACTTGTCAAAGGTCACATAACTGTGAGGCTAACATTTTAACTCAGGTAGTAAAATGTGTGAATTAAAAGGAAAGATACAAGCATTTTGTCAGTCTAAGAAGGATATTTTTGTCAGATGATTCTCTGCAATGTTTGACCATAGGTACAAAACTATTGGATAATCTTATGCAGGTATTAAACAATTGAAATGAGGAAATTTTCGAAACCTTTCTGCTATTTAGCTCTGGGTTTTTGAAACACTGAAACATAAGACTAGAATTAGAGTAAAACTAACACATTTTTAAAGTAACAGATATAAGTTTAATAGATGTAATTTACTAAGTAAAAGAGTCAAAATTCCATTATCACAAAAATGAACAATGATTTCCTGAAGTAAAAGCTGATGAGAGGCACTCATTTGATGTCCAGCACTTTGCCCGTTGTTCCTCCCATTGTAAACGCAGGCATACACAATTATGAAGGAAATAAGCTGAGACATTTACAAGTACAGGAAATTTGCATCCACCATATATATTAAGGAAATAAACTATTAAAAACCTATAATCTAAAGGAATTTCAGACAAATGCACTACATTTGTCTGGATTAAAGAGGAACATCCATGATAGGTACACAAATCATCTCCCTCTTTTCAAAAATTCAAATATACTTAAGCCTCACTAATTCCTTGGGTGTGAAAAGTTGGTGAACTATGGAGAGGTGTGTCAGAAATAGATAGTATATGCCAATACCTTCTTGGTAAGAATGAAGGCAGAAAAAATTAAAGGTAAACTATTATAAATAATCAAATAAATGAAGATATCTACTAAAGCATTCAAAGTACACAATTACAAAATCAGTCTTGTGGTGTGAATGATGAAGAAAAAATTCATGACAGAAGAAATCTGAATGGAAGGATGAATTAGCATTTGGATATGTATACTTTATCATTTTAATAAGCTAAATAAATAATCCGTATCTGATTATTTTTATATATACCAAAAGTTGTTTCATAAAATGTATTCTTCCCGTAATGTGGAGAGGGGAATAGAGAGGGGTTAGTTAATGAGTACAAAATTATGGTTAGAAGAAATAAGATATAGTGTTAAATAGCACAACAGGGCAACTAGAGTTAACAATATTGTGTATTTCAAAATAATTAAAAGAGTTAAACTGAAATGCTGCTAATACAAAGATATGACAAATGTTTAAGATGATCAGTATCCCAATTACCTTATCATTACGCATTGTATGCTTGTATCAAAATGTCACATATGACCCATAAATATGAAAAATGTTATTTATTAAATATAAAATAAATTATTCCCAAGAAAAATGTTTATAAGGTAAGGTAGATACAAAAAGTTATTAATTATACACATACACACAAACACATGCACACAGGTACTGAATATGTACACTGGGCAGTTTCAAGGCAAGATGTGGGATCTTATTTTCTGTTAATTAGCTCTTAGTAGAAGTTTATACATTACAAAATAAGCAATAAATAAGCAAAAACGTAGTATGTATGGAAAAATTATAAATTGAATTAAAATGTCATCAATATTGAAGATTTAGAAATTAAGAAATTAAGAAAGCCTTGGAAAATTGTCTACTAAATACTTTAGACAGAAACATTGGAAAAGTTTACACTTATCATTAGAAGAAAGCAAAATAACCTGGCCTCTATCAAATAGGATTGGGAACACAGTAAAATATAACAGAATGAGCTGAAAACAAACACAAAATTTAGGTCAGGAATATTAAAAACATTTATTGGGTTTTTAAATTTTTTATATATAAAGGTGCATAATAGTTGTTTATACTTATGGGATCCATGTGGTATTTAGAGACAAGCATAAAAGGTATAATGGTCAAGTCAGAGTAATTGAGATAGCCATCACCTTACATTTTTGGAATTTATTTGTGTGAGAAACATTCTAAATTAACTCCTCTAGCTATTTTGAAATGTACAATTGATTAGTTTCAATTTTTCATCTACCTACTCATCTACCTCGCTATACACTAATTGTGTATTTTTGTACCCATTAATCAAACCCTCTTTATCCCTTCCTCCCCATTATCCTTCTGTGCTTCTGTTAACCACCATTCTACCATGTACTATCATGAGATCAATTCTTTATCTACCACACATGAATGAGAACATATGATACTTGTTTTTCTATGCTTGGCTTACTTTATTTAAGGTAATGTCTCCCAGTTCCATTCATGTTGTTGCAAATGATATAATTTCATTCTAATAAAATCATGAATATTCTATTGTTTATATGTACCATATTTTCTTTATTCAGTCATCATTGATGGACACATACTTTTATTTCATATCTTAGCTATTATGAATATTGCTGTAATAAACATGGGAATACAGATGTCTCATCAATATACTGATTTAGTACCTTTCGGAAATATACCCAGCAGTGAGATTGCTGAATCATATGTTACTTCTATTTTTAGTTTTTTGCACAACATCTATTCTGTTCTTCATAGTAGCTGTACTAATATACGTTCCTACCAAGAGTGTACAAGGCTTCCCTTTTCTCTGCATCCTCACCAGCATCAGTTTTTTTGTGTGTCTTTATAATAAAAGCCACTTTAGCTATGGGGAAATGATTTATCATTGTGATTTTAATTTGCATTTCTCTGATTATTAGTGATGAGCAATTTTTTAAAAATATACCTGTTGGTCATTTGTATGTCTTCTTTTGAGAATTGCCTATTAAAATGTTTTATCCATTTTTTAAATCAGAATATTTTTTGCTATTGAGTTGTATGAGTTTTCCATGCAGAAGCTTTTTAGCTTTATGTGATCCCATTCATCTATTTTTGCTTTGATTGACTATGCTTAGTCAAGGAATCTTTGTCCATGCTAAGATCCTGAAGCCTTTTCCCAATGTTTGCTTCTAGGAATTTTATAGTTTCTTGTGTCACATTTCAGTTTTAAATTCATTTTGATTTGATTTTTTAATATGGTGAGAAATGGTGGTCTACTTTCATTCTTCTGAATATAAACATCTTGTTTTACCAAAACCATTTGTTGAATAGAGTGTCCTTACCCTCGTTGTATGTTCTTGGCACCTTTGTTGAAAATGATGTAACTGTGAATATATGGATTTATTTCGGATTCTCTCTTCAATTCTATTGTTCTGTGTGTCTGTTTCTGGGCCAGTAACAACAGCTTTAGTTACTATAGCTTTGCATTATAATATAAAGTCATGTAATATCAAGATTCCAGGTTCATTATTTTGCTCAGGATGGCTTTGGTTATTCTGGATCTTTTCGGTTTCATATAAATTTTAGGAATTTTGTTATATTTCTGTGTAGAACACCTTTGGTACATCAGCAGCAATTACATTGAACATGTATATTGTTTTGGGTAGTATAGACATTTTTAAAATATTGATTCTTCCACTTCATGAACATGAGATATATTTTCATTTTTTATGTCCTCTTCAATTTATATCATCTATGTTTTATGAGTTTTTTTTGTAGAGATCTTTAACTTCTGTAGTTAAGGTTATTCCTACATATTCTTAGTAGGTATTGTAAATGGAATTACATAAAAGCTAAAAGATTTCTTTTTCAGATTGTTTGCTCTTGGCATATAGAAATGCTACTGATTTTTCCTCTCTTCCTATTTGAATACCCTTTATTTCTTTCTCTTGCCTGATTTCTCCAGCCAGAACTTCCAATAGTATGTTGAATAGGAGTGGGGAGAGAGGGCACCCTTGTCTTGTGCCAGTTTTCAAAGGGAATGCTTCCAGCTTTTGCCCTTTCAGTATGATATTGCCTATGGGTTTGTCATAAACAGCTCCTACTATTTTGAGATATGTTCCATCAATACAAGTTTATTGAGAGTTTTTAGCATGAAGAGGTGTTTAATTTTATCATAGGGTTTTTCTGCATCTATTGAGATAATCATGTGGTTTTTGTCGTTGGTTCTGTTTATATGACGGATTATGTTTATTGATTTGCATATGTTGAACCAGCCTTGCATCCCAGAGATGAAGCCGACTTGATCATGTTGGATAAGCTTTTTGATGTGCTCCTGGATTCGGTTTGCTAGTATTTTATTGAGGATTTTTGCATCGATGTTCATCAGCAACATTAGCCAGAAATTTTCTTTTTTTGATGTGTCTCTGCCAGGTTTTGGAATCAGGATGATGCTGGCCTCATAAAACAAGTTAGAGAGGAGTTACTCTTTTTCTGTTGTTTGGAATAGTTTCAGAAGGAATGGTACCAGCTCTTCTTTGTACGGATTCAGTTGTGAATTTGTCTGGTCCTGGGCTTTTTGGTTCATAGGCTATTAATTACTGCCTCAATTTCAGAACTTGTTATTGGTCTATTCAGGGATTTGACTTCTTCTTCTTCCTGATTTAGTCTTGGGGGGTGTATGTGTCCAGAAATGTATCCATTTCTTCTAGATTTTCTAGTTTATTTGCGTAGAGGTGTTTATAGTATTCTCTGATGGTGGTTTGTATTTCTGTGGGATCGGTGGTGATATACCCTTTATCTTTTTTTTTATTGTATCTATTTGATTCTTCTTTCTTTTCTTCTTTATTAGTCTGGCTAGCAGTGTATCTATTTTGTTAATCTTTTAAAAAACCGAGCTCCTGGATTCACTGATTTTTTTTGAAGGGTTATTCGTGTCTCCATCTCTTTCAGTTCTGCTCTGATCTTAGCAGAACTGTCTAAATAAGAACTTATTTCTTGTCTTCTGCTAGCTTTTGAATTTCTTTGCTTTTGCTTCTCTAGTTCTTTTAATTGTAATGTTAGGGTGTTGATTTTAGAACTTTCCTGCTTTCTGATGTGGGCATTTGGTGCTATAAATTTCCCTCTAGACGATGCTTAACTGTGTACCAGAGATTCTGGTACGTTGTCACTTCATTCTCATTGGTTTCGAAGAATTTTGTTATTTCTGCCTTAATTTTGCTGTTTACCAAGTAGTCACTCAGGAGCAGACTGCTCAGTTTCCATGTAGATGTGAGGTTTTGAGTGAGTTTCTTAATCCTGAGTTCTGATTTGATTGCAATGTGGTCTGAGAGGCTGTTTGTTACGATCTCTGTTCTTTTGCATTTGCTGAGGAGTGTTTTACTTCCAATTATGTGGTCGATTTTAGGATAAATGCAATGTGGTGCTGAGAAGAATGTATATTCTGTTGATTTGAGGTGGAAAGTTCTATAGATAGCTATTAGATACACCTGGTCCACAGCTGAGTTTAAGTCCTGTTTGCAGACAACATGATTGTGTATTTAGAAAACCTCATCATCTCAGCACAAAAACTCCTTAAGCTGATAAACAACTTCAGCAAAGTCTCAGGATACACAATCAATGTGCAAAAATCACAAGCATTTCTATACAACAATAATAGACAATCATTCTACTATAAAGACACATGCACACGTATGTTTGTTGCAGCACTATTTACAATAGCAAAGACTTGGAACCAAACCAAATGCTCCTTAATGACAGACAGACAGAAAGAAAATGTGGCACATATACACCATGGAATACTGTGCAGTCATTAAAAAGAATGAGTTCATGTAGTTTACAGGAACATGGATGAAGCTGGAAGCCATCATCCTCAGCAAACTAACACAGGAGCAGAAAACCAAACGCTGCCTGTTCACACTCATAAGCGGGAGCTGAACAATGAGAACACAGGGAGGGGAACATTACACACTGGGGCCTGTCAAGGGGTTGGGAAAAGGTTAGGGAGAGCATTAGAACAAACACCTAATGCATGTGGAGCTTAAAACCTAGATAATGGGTTGATAGGTGAAGCAAACCACCACGGCACATGTATACCTATGTAACAAACCTGCACATTCAGCACATGTATCCCAGAACTTCAAGTAAAATTTAAAAAAAGAAAGAAATGCTACTGATTTTTATATGTTTATTTTCTATCCCCGACCTTACTGAATTTGTTTATCAGTTCTAATAATTTTTGAAATAATCGTTTTTTCTAGTTATAACATCATATCATCCACAAACAAGGATAATTTGACTCCTCTCCTTCCAATTCTGATATTGTTTATTTCTTTCTCTTGTCTAATTGCTCTGGCTAGTACTTCTAGCACTATGTTGAATAAAGTGGTGAAAGTGAGCATCCTTGTCCTCTTCCTGATCTAAGAGAAAAGGCTTTCAGTTTTTCCTTGTTCAGAATAATACTAGCTTGGGTTTCTTTCGTATGACCTCTATTGTGTTAAGGTATGTTCCTTTTATTCCCAGTTTGTTGATAGTTTTTATAATGAAGAAACCAAATTTTACTAATTTTTTATGTTTATTAAAATTATCATATGGTTTTTGTCCATTGTGCTGAAGTGATGTATCACACTTATTGATTTGTGTATTTTGAACCATCCTTGCATCCCAGGGATAAATCTTACTTGGTTATGATAAATGATCTTTTAAATATTTCATTGAATTTAGTTTGCCAGTCTGCTAGGCTTTTTAAAATAATTTTTGAAACAATATTCATCAGAGATTTTACCCTGTTGTTTTTGTTATTGTTGTTGTTGTCTTTGTCTGGTTTTGGTATTAGGGTAATGCTGGCATCCTAGAATGAGGTGTTTTGTTTTGTTCTGTTTTTGAGAGACAGTCTTGCTCTGTCACCCAGGCTGGAGGGCAGTGTCGTAATCTTCGCTCACTGCAACCTCCGCCTCCCAGGTTCAAGCCGTTCTTCTGCCTCAGCCTCTCGAATAGCTGGGACTACAGGTGCACACCAGAACTCCGGGCTAATTTTTGTATTTTTAGTAGAGATGGGGTTTCACCATATTGGTCAGGCTTGTCTTGATCTTCTGACCTCATGATCTGCACACTGTGGCCTCCCAAAGTGTTTGGATTACAGGCGTGAGCCACCATGCTCGGCCCCTAGAATGAGTTTTTAATTCTCTCCTCTTCAATTTATTGCAATAATTTGATTAAGATTGGTATTAATTTTTCCTTAAATGTTTGGTAGAATTCAGTGATGAAGCCATCAGTGCTTGCCTGGGTTTTTCTTTGATGAGAAGCTTTCTTTTATTGTTTCTATCTGTTTTTTTTTTTTGGAGATGGAGTCTCGCTCTGTCACCCAGGCTGGAGTGCAGTGGTGTCATCTCGGCTCACTGCCAGCTCCACCTCCCAGGTTCACGCCATTCTCCTGCCTCAGCCTCCCGAGTAGCTGGGACTACAGGCGCCTGCCGCAACGCCCGGCTAATTTTTTGTATTTTTAGTAGAGACGGGGTTTCACCATGTTAGCCAGGATGGTCTTGATCTCCTGACCTCATGATCCACCTGCTTCGGCCTCCCAAAGTGCTGGGATTACAGGCGTGAGCCATCGCGACCGTCCTGTTGTATTACTTATAAATGTTTCTCTTACTTCCTCTGATTTTATTTGCATTTTTTCTCTTTTTTTCTTAGTCTGGCTAAAATTTATCAATTGTATCTTTTCACTATTGATTTTGTTTATCTTCCCTATGTTTTTGTCTCAGTTTTGCTTAGTTCCCTTTTGTGTTTATTATTTATTTCCTTCTACTAACTATGGGTATAGTTTTCTCTTGCTTTTCTGGTTCTTTAAAATGAATCATAAAGTTGTTTATTTGAAATTTTTCTACTATTTTGATCTAGGCATTTATTGCTATGAATTTCCCTTTTAGTATTACTTCTGATGTATCCTAGAAGTCTTGGTATGTTGTATTTCTCTTTTTGTTTGTTTCAAATAAACCTTAAAAATTTCTCAATTTCTTTATTGATCCAATGGTTATTTAGGAGCATGTTTTTTAATAGCCATGTATTTTTACAGTTTCTAAAGTAGATTTTCTTGTTGATTAATAGTTTCATCTCATTTTGGTTGGAAAAGATGCTTGATATAATTTCCATTAAAAAATTTGACCTGTTTGTAGCATAGCATATAGTTTATCCATATATATATATGTCTGTGTGTGTGTGTGTGTGTGTGTGTGATGTCTTCTGGTAGTAGGCTTTAATTTTTTGCTTTTTATTTTCCGTGTATCTCTTATAGGTTTTTCCTTGTGGTTACCATGAGGCTTCCAAAAAACATTTTATAACCAATTATTTAAACTAATTACAACTTTTAAATTCCCTTCTTTGTCCTTGACCTTTGAGAGTTTGATTATTATATGCCTTGAGGTAGGCTTATTTGGGTAAAATCTGTTTGGTATTCTTTGACCGTATTGTACCTGGATATTCATATGTTTCTCTGGGTTTGGAAAGTTATCTGTCATTATTTCTTTGAATAAACTTTCTACAAATCACAAATAAGAATAAAAAACCAAAACTAAAACTACAAAACTTGACACTTTTACTCCAACCCCTCCATCCCCTAATTACTTGCTGTTTTCTGTATATCTTTCACTACAGGCCCACAGTCTCTGAGACCAGTGCTGTGTCAATGCTTGCCAAAGGACAGAAGTAATTATGGCCTGACTGGCACTCAAATTTATTTGGGGCCCCAGGCCACCATAGTCCGCTGGTGATGAAGTGTGCTGGGACTAGGCTTCTTCATACTGGACAGAGGATTCCCCTCTAGACTAGTGCTAGTCTAAATGCTCCTTCTATGAGCACTGACAGAATTCTGACCAGTGTCTTATTTCATTTTGACAGGGCAGTAGTGAATTCTATTGCAAAGTTCCACACACTTTTCTCTCCCTTCCTGTATTAGTTCGTTTTCATGCAACAGATAAAGACATACCCAAGACTGGGAAGAAAAAGAGGTTTAATTGGACTTACAGTTCCACGTGGCTGGGAAGGCCTTAAATCATGGTGGGAGGCAAAAGGCATTTCTTACATGGCAGTGGCAAGAGAAAATGAGGAAGAAGCAAAAGTGGAAACTCTTGACCAACCCATCAGATCTTGTGAGACTTATTCACTATCATGACAATGGCACAGGAAAGATTCAATTACCTCCCCTTGGGTCCCTCCCACAAAACGTGGGGATCCTGGGAGATAGATAGAATTCAAGTTGAGATTTGGGTGGGGACACAGCCAAACCATATCATTCCAACTCTGGCCCCTCTAAATCTCATGTCCTCACATTTCAAAACAATTGTGCCTTCCCAACAGTCCCCCAAAGTCTTAATTCATTTCAGCATTAGCCCAAAAGTCCATAGTCTAAAGACTCATCTGAGACAAGGCAAATCCCTTCCACCAATCAGCCTGTAAAATCAAAAGCAAGCTAGTTACTTCCTAGATACAATGGAGGTACAGGCATTGGGTAAATACACCTGTTTTAAATGGGAGAAATTGGCCAAAACAAAGAGTTACAGCACCCATGCAAGTCTGAAATACAGCAGGGCAGTCAAATTTTAAAGCTCCAAAATTATGTCCTTTGACTCCAGATCTCACGTCCAGGTCACACTGATGCAAAAGGTAGATTCCCATAGTCTTGGGCAGTAACACCCCTGTGGCTTTGCAAGGTACAGCCTCCTTCTCTACTGCTTTCACAGTCTGGCGTTGAGTGTCTGTGGCTTTTCCAGACACACGGTGCAAGCTGTCAGTGGGCCTACCATTCTGGAGTCTGGAGGACAGCTCCACTAGGCAGTGCCCCAGTAGGGAATCTGTGTTGGGACTCCAACCCCACATTTTCCTTCCACACTGCCTTAGCAGAAATTCTCCATGAGGGACCCACCCCTGCTGCAAACTTCTACCTGGGCATCCAGGCATTTCCATGTGTCTTCTGAAATCTAGGCAGAGGCTCCCAAACCTCAATTCTTGACTTCTGTGCACCCGCAGACTCAAGACCACATGGTAGCTGCCAAAGTTTGGGGCTTGCACCCTCTGAAGCCACAGACTGAGCTGTACATTAGCCCCTTTCAGCCACAGATGGAGCAGCTGGGACACAGGACACCAAGTCCCTATGGTGCACGCAGGATGGGGACCCTGGACCCGGCCCATGAAACAACTTTTTTCTCCCGGGCCTCCAGGCCTGTAATGGGAGGGGCTGTCGTGAAGGTCTCTGACATGGCCTGGAGACGTTTTCCTCATGGTCGTGGGTATTAACGTTAGGCTTCTTGCTATTTATGCTAATTTCTGCAGCCAGCTTGAATTTCTCCCCCGAAAATTGGTTTTCTCAAATCTCTACTAAAAATTTTGCATAGTCAGGCTGCAAATTTTCCAAACCTTTTTGCTCTGCTTCTTTTATAAAACTGAATGCCTTTAACAGCACCCAAGTCATCTCAAGTCATCTCTTGAATGCTTTGCTGCTTGGAAATTTTTTCCAACAAATACCGTAAATCATCTCTCTCAAGATCAAATTCCACAAATATCTAGGGCAGGGGCAAAATGCTGCCATTCTCTTTGCTAAAACATAACAAGAGTCACCTTTGCTCCAGTTCCCAACAAGTTCCCCATCTCTATCTGAGACCACTTCAGCCTGGACCTTATTGTCCATATCACTATCAGCATTTTGGGAAAAGACTCTAGGAAGTTCCAAACTTTCCCACATTTTCCTGTCTTCTTCTGAGCCCTTCAAACTCTTCCAATCTCTGCCCGTTACCAGTTCCAAAGTCACTTTGACATTTTCAAGGATCGTTTCAGCAATGCCCCAATCTACTGGTACCAATTTACTGTATTAGTCCGTTTTCACACAGCTGATAAAGACGTACCCGAGACTGAGAAGAAAAAGAGGTTTAATGGGATTTACAATTCCATATGGCTGGGGAGGCCTCAGAATCATGAAGGGAGGCAAAAAGCACTTCCCACATGGTGGTGGCAAGAGAAAATGAGGAAAAAATATAAGCAGAAATCCCTGATAAACCCATCAGATCTCATGACACTTACTCACTATCAGGAAAATAGCACGGGAAAGACTGGCCCCCATGACTCAATTACCTCACCCTGGGTCCCTCTCACAACATGTGGGAATTCTGGGAGATACAATTCAAGTAGAGATTTGGGTGAGGACACAGTTAAACCGTATCACTTCCCCAAGTGCACAGACGATCTCTTTGAGCTGCACTGCCTTGGGATGGGGGAGAGGTGGCGTAGAGAATACAAGATTTTTCTTTGTACCTTCTTCGATGTGTCTTTTGTTATTATGTTTAAAAAACAGATATTTTCATTGCTCACTTGATACTGGGGTGCGGTGGGGAGGATTTCAAAGGTGCCTTCCTGCACAGATAGTTGTTCAATTTGGTATTCTTTTGTGGGGATCATCACTGGATGATTCTATTCAGCCCTCTTGCCATGATTCTTTCTAGTATTTTAAATGAAGAGACACTTAAATATTGCTGCTGTTATATTTGTTCTGGCCTCTTAGGGACATCAATTATCACATATAGTCACCATATTCTCTTTTGTTATGAATAATACTTTTCCTCTCGTTTCTTTTTATTCTTTCAGTCATTTTCATATGCAACTCCTAATGTAGTAGCAAAATTTTAATTTTAATTTTGCTATTGTGTCTTTATTTTTTTAAATATCTTTATCTATGCAAATTCCATTTCATCTCATCCATTCTCTATTTGATCTTCATAAACTTTGTTGCCATAAAAAAATCTATAGTTATATTTTATGCACTACACACTTTAAGGATTTCAAACATTCTTATACAATTATCTTCTAGATAATGCATTAGACATTTTTCAAAAGAATTTTCTTCCTCTCATTACTCTGGATGTTTATAACTGTGACAAAGCTTCACTGAGCCTGTATTTTTGTTTGTTGCTGGGCAAGTTTCTTTATTGGCCAGCATCACTCAACATTCATGATATATGATTTTCCTTGTTGGCTGTTATTTTTTTGTGCAGATCCAATTCCCTTCTCAAGTCATCCTGTGGAGAGAAGGTTGATGACACAGATCTCAGATCACTTCTGGTCTGGTAGAAGACTTTCACATAGAACACCTCTGGTACAATGTGAGTCATCTTTTTGCTGTCCCCTGTGTCTGTTTCTGTTCTAATCTGATATGACAGAAAACTTAAAAAGCTAAAACTCCCTCTAGAAATATTTATTTTTCACTCTGCTTCACTTGACCTACAACTTCCAGAATCTATTATGGTACAATAATATTTCTTTCAAATAATGTTTTTATAATTTGCAATCTCTGCCAGAATACAGAATTTTGTGACATATATCAGCATTCTGACTACCCTTTACTTTCTTTTTTGAAGTAAGAAGTACAAATCCTAAACAAAATGTGAAAGTTTTTTTATTTCCTGCTGTTTTAAACAGATAAAGCAGATTTAAACTAGATATAGATAGAATAATTCCTATTGATGTTGATTTGTTTTTATTTTCACTTCAAATTATATGCATAAGCCAATTCCAGATATATTAATTGAAACTTTCAAGGGAAGAGCGGAAAAGTGTATTTTTAATTACTACTCTCAAAGATATTGATTCCAACTTTTGGTAAAGAACTATATAATAGAGAGGTATCTCATTTTTTAGTTGGTATAAGAACCCCATCCTCTAAATCATTAGTGAGGAAATGAGAACTGTACATACACACTTTTTTTCATATGATTTTGTTTTATGAGAAGAATCCAGAAAATAACGACCTGTCAAAGTCAAAGTTAAATTTTCTTTATCTGGCTGCACTTTTCTTAGTTAGAGGTTCCTAACTACATTTTGGTGCTATATTGTCTTAGTATTAGATATAACTGTGAGGTTCTGTTCTTCTCCCTTTTGCATCATAATAGTTTTAGCCAAAGTTTAGAATACTATATCAGTGGATTCCAGCTGTATGACATTTTACCCTAGGATTTCTAAAAATTATTTTAATGGCACGTAAAAGTATGGCACAGTTGTTTGGAAAATTTGCTTGGAATAACATAAACCTTGATTTAAATAAGAAAATTAATGTATGTCCTTTTAGATATTATTTCACATTCTCCCCAATTCTACATTTATATGAGCCTAATTATTTTTTGAATTATTCTGATAATCATCTGTACACATAATTTTCACACAAGGGCATACCTCTGGCTTTAGTGTTAAAGACATTACAAGGAATAATTTCAGATTCATTCTTTTCTTATTTTTAATTAAAGAATTTAAGATTATTGGCTATATTGCAAAGTATTTGATCCTCCAACCTACACCTGTGGGTGTCCTACTTCATATTTTGAGGTAAGAAGCATAAATGCTAACCAAAATGCAAAATTTCTTTAATTTCCTGCCAAAGTTTAGATTCTATTTTTGCCAAAGCAGAAGAAAAGCACATTATACAGAATATGCCTCTCTGGTTGTCAGTTCTCCTGCCAGCTTTACTTTAGCACCATCGAGCTGCGACAGCAGATGGACTCCCCAAGTTAGCACTTGGAATGGAAAGGTGTTTAGAGGACCGTGGTGGTAAGTGCAATTCCTTAATGAGAAATTATGAAGAAGGCAGAAAGGAAAGTAACCTATTAAATTATGCAACTAAACAGTAAATTTCAACCATTCAGCAGGTATTTTAAATGCATTTTTCAGATCCCGGGTTTGGGATAAAAAGATTTCTATTAGTTCGCTTCTCAAATCCAACAGTCAATTCTCAGATCTCATCCTACTTGTCAGCATTTGCACATTTGATTATTCTTTTTGAAAAAAAATTTATTCACATTCACATGGACTACACGCAAAGATTATTTTCTTCCAACCTCACTGGTGGATACTCTGCCCTATCCTTTCTAGAACTATCTCTTCCTCATCAGTGGTAAATTTTGGAATTCCTCAAAGCTCAATCTTCATATTTCTTTGCTTTCCAAAAATGATCTCATTTAGACCCATAGCTTTAAAGGCCACTGACCCATTTATGCCAGAGGTTGCAATTTTTTGAATGTTTGCATGAGTGAAAAATCAGACCTTAGTGATGACCTTGAGCAGTAGGATATAAATAATTCCCACATGCTTAGTGTTCCAATAATGGAACACTAGGCATAAGGGATAGTATGTTGATGGGTCCAAAATTTTCATATTTACTTCAAACTTCTTATATGAACTATAGATCTGAAATTTTAAAAACAGTTTAAAGTGCTCACTTGAGAGTCTGTACAGTATTTCAAAAGTATGAGTCCAAACGTTCTACTTTCTATAACCTGATCTACTCTTACTGTTCTTTATGGTAATACATGGCACCATCGTTTCACTTCCACCCATCCTGTGGGATTTATCCTCCTATAATATACAACTAGAAAACTTGACAAATTATATGAGGCAGCTGTTTTTAGACATTGAACTGAGACAGAGTAGTGGTATGTGGAAGCTATCATCAAAACTGGCTCCCAATGATCCCTTCCTTCTTGTACTCATACCCTGATGTGTTTACCTCTCACATTGAATAGGACTGACCTATGCAGCCATTGTAGTATGGTTAAAATTATTATGTGTGACTTCCAAGGCTATTTCCTTAAAAAATTGTGATTTCTACCTTTCGCTCTTTTGAAAATCTTTAACGGGAGAAGCCAGATAAAAGAAATGAAGATAGCCTGTGGAGAGATCCATGTGAAGAGGATACAAAACCTCTTGCTAATAGCCATACGAGTGATCCAAGTTTGAATCGGATACTCCAAGCTCAGTTGAGCTACCAGATAAGCTCAACTTAAATCAATATATTTACTACAATCTATGAGAAACCTTGAGCTAAAACCACCCAGAAAAGTTATTACAAGATTCCTGATCCACCCAGAAATATGTAAAATAATAAATTTATATTGTTATAGGCTGTTACATTTTAAGATAATAAAGTACTCAGCAATACATAACTAATACAGATCTAGGAAATCTGAAAGTGGAGAGCTACTACTAAACTAAAATATGGGAGAGGATTTTAGAATTAGACAATGATCAGAAGCTACAAGGACTCTTATGAGAGAGCTAGTGAAATACTAATGTTTTGAATAGAAAGCTGATGGACTTTGAAGAGGCTGTCAGTGAGGGCTTAAAGGAAAGTGAGGAAATTGTTATTAGGAACTAGAAGAATGGGAATACTGATTATTTAGTGGCAGAAACTTCAGCAACACAGTTGACTGCAGTAATGTGGAAAATAGAAAATGTATCCAGTGAACTGGATGATGAAGCTAAGAACATTTCCAGGAAGTATTAATGGTGCCACCAAGTTTATTTTTGCTGCTTATGGTAAAATGTGAAGTTTGATTTACATAGTTCCAAAACCACTTATATGAACTTGATCTATTGTAGTTCTGCAGATCTGTGTTCTTGCAACTCATTGTTTAGTTCTCTGCTATTTTTCAAATATTTAACATACTAAACACCAAAATCTCCACACTCCACTATATGTACTGTATATATTGCCACTGTGTCTCAACTAGTCTTCTGATTATTTTATAAGTTATTTGTGAACATTTGAGAACACTGTGCAGCTCAATCAGCCTTTACTTGTGCAATTAGAATTTGTCTTCAGAATTTGGTAGTTTATGACTCTCTGAGCAAGAGAGATTGACAAGAAAATAAGTAAATTTTAGTCTTGTTGCCTGAAAAACTAGTAAAAGTAGAGTAAAATTTGATCTTTTTTATATTCAAGAGCTTAAATTTCTGAAACTATGAGTGAAGAAAAGGGGGCAGAGCATGAAAAATCTAAGGGTTTATATTTTCCATCTTTTTGAACTGGACTTGGATTTAGCATCTCCAGAAAATAAGCTACAGGAAATTCAAATAGTTATGTTGTATGTGGAAATGCTGAAGAAACCACAAGTGTTTAGCCTACAGATAAGAAGACTTAGGGCAGAGAGGGGAAATTATGACAATTATCTCCAAACGTCTTAAAAGAGATCATTTGCTAGTAAAGCACATTTTTTGCCTGTTTTACTATAAAACACAAAACAAGCATCCGTCTTGAATAGTGTAAAGGAGCTATCCTCTACTTAAATATAGAATCGTATGATAGAGTGTGTCACTTATGGAATGATCAGCCTACTAAAGTCATGAGCTCTTCATCACTGTTGTAGAACAGATTCACGGACTTAAAAGGGATTTTGACCAAATTCTCTATAATTCCTCTCTAATCCTTAGATTCTGTGTTGTGTTCTTTTTAATATTTTGCTGTTTATTGGGACAAATGGCAAATTTTCAAAACACACTCTATTATTCTTAACACAGTTCGCATTAAAGGCAATGGAATACTTGGATTCTTTTTTCTGTGTAAACTGAATCAAGGCAAATAATGTTGAATATTCTACTTATTTAATATCATTTTTATTTTATATTCTGGAAAAGGTAAAACTATAAGACTCTTAGTAGTCTAGCTCCTAAGAATTTACATTCACCATTTACATAAAAATACACTTACTAGTGGTTAACACGGGTACCAAAATATCAGAAACGGAACAGTAAGTCATTGATTCAGTTGCACCAGTACCTACCTCAAAATTAGATGTGTGTATATTCATTTATGTATTTATCCGCTGGAAAATGATGTTAGATATTGAAGTTACAAATTATAAATGTAATCTTATCTTTATAATCTCATAGTCTAGAAGATACACACTTCTAAAATAGTAAATTCAAAAACATTATTTAGTAAAACAAAATCAAGAGAAAGAATAATATGGTGTTTTTAGGGATGAACACTTATTTCACACCACTTGCCAGAGGGAAGTCTATAATTTACTTTTTTTTGCAGTCTCATTTAGTCTACCCTTGGACAAAAGAAAAATCTTACTTGATTGGTGAGATTAGCATGAAGCACTGGGGATGTGTAGCTCTGCCCTTTCTTCTGGAATCCAAGCTCTCTATAGATAATATGGGTTCTTCTCCACTATCTTACAGAGATCTATGGGGATCCTACATAAGCTGTGAAAGGTTTCAGTATCAAGAAGTCCACTTACTGGCAGAAAAATGCATAGTGCCCAATAATGCCTTTATCTGTTGAAAAAATTGTTTTCTACTTAAATTAGAATAAAGTTTCACTTGATCACAGTAAAATGGTAATTATGATCTCAGTTATTCCACAATCAAAAGAAAAGTAAGTTTCTCACTTTTTTTTGTTTTCAAGTAAGGTAACATTTGGAACAATAAAATTGACCATTTTTGGTTTACAGTTCTTAAAGTTTTGACAAATGCATTCTGGTCTTGCAACTACCAACTTATATAATTAAGATAGAAAAGAGTTATATCAATCACCTGTCAAAATTCATCCATGCCCTTTTGAATATCTAAGTGATATTTTTCACCAATTTGGAAGAAAATTATCCATTATCTCTTAAATATTTTTTGTGTCGTATTCTCTCTTTTCTGTCTTTCTGGTAATTAAATTACATGAATGTTAGATGTTTGATATTGCCCTACAGGTTTCAAGACAGTCTTTCTCTTTTTTCATTCTTTTTCTCATTAGTGCTGATTTCCATTGATCAGGCCTCAAATTTACTAAAACTTTCTTCTGCTGTGTTTGGTCTATTACTAAGAACACTGAATAAAATTTTTCAGTGTGCCTACTATTATTATTATCTGGAATTCAGATTTTTTCCTTTTATCAGTATTCATTTTCCTGTTGAAATTTTATATTTCTTTATCCATTTTGTTCATATCATGTAATTTAACATAGCTTTCTATATAAAATAATTATTTTAAAGTCCTAATTCTAACATTAGAATCATGTGACAGTATGCTTTTATCATATTTTCTGTTTCCATGACCACTCCTTTGCATGTCTTGTAATTTGTTTAATGTCTTGTAATTTGTTTATATTCTTTTTTTTTAAAAGACAAAAAACATGATCATTTTAATAGATGCCAAAAAGCATCTGATAAAACTCAACATCTTCTCCAGATAAAAACTCTTAGACAAACGAGGGACATTACGTCAACCTAAAGGCCATATATGACAAACTCACAGTCAATACACTGAATGGGAGAAAGCTGAAATTCTTTCCTGTAACATCTGGAACAAGACAAGGATGCCCACAGACACCATCCCTATTCAAATGTTGGCAAGGATGCAGAGAAAAGGGAACTCTTCCACACTGTTTGTAGAATGCAACTTAGTACATTCACATGAAATGTATGTGAAAAACAGTAGAAAGACTTCTCAGAAAACTAAAAATAGAACTATTATACGATCCAGCATTCCCATTATTGGATATTTCTTTTTTTTTTTAATTATACTTTAAGTTTTAGGGTACATGTGCACATTGTGCAGGTTAGTTACATATGTATACATGTGCCATGCTGGTGCGCTGCACCCACTAACTCGTCATCTAGCATTAGGTATATCTCCTAATGCTATCCCTCCCCCCTCCCCCCACCCCACCACAGTCCCCAGAGTGTGATATTCCCCTTCCTGTGTCCATGTGATCTCATCGTTCAATTCCCACCTATGAGTGAGAATATGTGGTGTTTGGTTTTTTGTTCTTGTGATAGTTTACTGAGAATGATGATTTCCAATTTCATCCATGTCCCTACAAAGGACATGAACTCATCATTTTTTATGGCTGCATAGTATTCCATGGTGTATATATGCCACATTTTCTTAATCCAGTCTATCATTGTTGGACATTTGGGTTGGTTCCAAGTCTTTGCTATTGCGAATAATGCCGCAATAAACATACGTGTGCATGTGTCTTTATAGCAGCATGATTTATAATCCTTTGGGTATATACCCAGTAATGGGATGGCTGGATCAAATGGTATTTCTAGTTCAAGATCCCTAAGGAATCGCCACACGGACTTCCACAATGGTTGAACTAGTTTACAGTCCCACCAACAGTGTAAAAGTGTTCCTATTTCTCCACATCCTCTCCAGCACCTGTTGTTTCCTGACTTTTTAATGATTGCCACTCTAACTGGTGTGAGATGGTATCTCATTGTGGTTTTGATTTGCATTTCTCTGATGGCCAGTGATGGTGAGCATTTTTTCATGTGTTTTTTTGGCTGCATAAATGTCTTCTTTTGAGAAGTGTCTGTTCATATCCTTCACCCACTTTTTGATGGGGTTGTTTGTTTTTTTCTTGTAAATATGTTCTTGTAAATCATTGTAGATTCTGGATATTAGCCCTTTGTCAGATGAGTAGGTTGTGAAAATTTTCTCCCATTTTGTAGGTTGCCTGTTCACTCTGATGGTAGTTTCTTTTGCTGTGCAGAAGCTCTTTAGTTTAATTAGATCCCATTTGTCAATTTTGGCTTTTGTTGCCATTGCTTTTGGTGTTTTAGACATGAAGTCCTTGCCCATGCCTATGTCCTGAATGGTAATGCCTAGGTTTTCTTCTAGGGTTTTTATGGTTTTAGGTCTAACATGTAAGTCTTTAATCCATCTTGAATTGATTTTTGTATAAGGTGTAAGGAAGGGATCCAGTTTCAGCTTCCTACATATGGCGAGCCTGTTTTCCCAGCATCATTTATTAAATAGGGACTCCTTTCCCCATTGCTTGTTTTTCTCAGGTTTGTCAAAGATCAGATAGTTGTAGGTATGCGGCGTTATTTCTGAGGGCTCTGTTCTGTTCCATTGATCTATATCTCTGTTTTGGTACCAGTACCATGCTGTTTTGGTTACTGTAGCCTTGTAGTATAGTTTGAAGTCAGGTAGTGTGATGCCTCCAGCTTTGTTCTTTTGGCTTAGGATTGCCTTGGCGATGTGGGCTCTTTTTTGGTTCTATATGAACTTTAAAGTAGTTTTTTCCAATTCTGTGAAGAAAGTCATTGGTAGCTTGATGGGGATGGCATTGAATCTGTAAATTACCTTGGGCAGTATGGCCATTTTCACTATATTGATTCTTCCTACCCATGAGCATGGAATGTTCTTCCATTTGTTTGTATCCTCTTTTATTTCATTGAGCAGTGGTTTGTAGTTCTCCTTGAAGAGGTCCTTCACATCCCTTGTAAGTTGGATTCCTAGGTATTTTATTCTCTTTGAAGCAATTGTGAATGGGAGTTCACTCATGATTTGGCTCTCTGTTTGTCTGTTGTTGCTGTATAAGAATGCTTGTGATTTTTGTACATTGATTTTGTATCCTGAGACTTTGCTGAAGTTGCTTATCAGCTTAAGGAGATTTTGGGCTGAGACAATGGGGTTTTCTAGATATACAATCATGTCGTCTGCAAACAAGGACAATTTGACTTCCTCTTTTCCTAATTGAATACCCTTTATTTCCTTCTCCTGCCTAATTGCCCTGGCCAGAACTTCCAACACTCTGTTGAATAGGAGTGGTGAGAGAGGGCATCCCTGTCTTGTGCCAGTTTTCAAAGGGAATGCTTCCAGTTTTTGCCCATTCAGTATGATATTGGCTGTGGGTTTGTCATAGATAGCTCTTATTATTTTGAAATACGTCCCATCAATACCTAATTTATTGAGAGTTTTTAGCATGAAGGGTTGTTGAATCTTGTCAAAGGCTTTTTCTGCATCTATTGAGATAATCATGTGGTTTTTGTCTTTGGCTCTGTTTATATGCTGGATTACATTTATTGATTTGCGTATATTGAACCAGCCTTGCATCCCAGGGATGAAGCCCACTTGATCATGGTGGATAAGCTTTTTGATGTGCTGCTGGATTCGGTTTGCCAGTATTTTATTGAGGATTTTTGCATCAAAGTTCATGAAGGATATTGGTCTAAAATTCTCTTTTTTCGTTGTGTCTCTGCCCGGCTTTGGTATCAGAATGATGCTGGCCTCATAAAATGAGTTAGGGAGGATTCCCTTTTTTTCTATGGATTGGAATAGTTTCAGAAGGAATGGTACCAGTTCCTCCTTGTACCTCTGTTAGAATTCGGCTGTGAATCCATCTGGTCCTGGACTCTTTTTGGTTGGTAAACTATTGATTATTGCCACAATTTCAGCTCCTGTTATTGGTCTATTCAGGAATTCAACTTCTTCCTGGTTTAGTCTTGGGAGAGTATATGTGTCCAGGAATTCATCCATTTCTTCTAGATTTTCTAGTTTATTTGTGTAGAGGTGTTAGTAGTATTCTCTGATGATAGTTTGTATTTCTGTGGGATCGGTGGTGATATCCCCTTTATCATTTTTTATTGTGTCTATTTGATTCTTCTCTCTTTTTTTCTTTACTAGTCTTGCTAGCGGTCTATCAATTTTGTTGTTCCTTTCAAAAAACCAGCTCCTGGATTCATTAAATTTTTGAAGGGTTTTTTGTGTCTCTATTTCCTTCAGTTCTGCTCTGATTTTAGTTATTTCTTGCCTTCTGCTAGCTTTTGAATGTGTTTGCTCTTGCTTTTCTAGTTCTTTTAATTGTGATGTTAGGGTGTCAATTTTGGATCTTTCCTGCTTTCTCTTGTGGGCATTTAGTGCTATAAATTTCCCTCTACACACTGCTTTGAATGTGTCCCAGAGATTCTGGTATGTTGTGTCTTTGTTCTCGTTGGTTTCAAAGAACATCTTTATTTCTGCCTTCATTTCGTTAAGAATCCAGTAGTCATTCAGGAGCAGGTTGTTCAGCTTCCATGTAGTTGAGCAGTTTTGAGTGAGATTCTTAATCCTGAGTTCTAGTTTGATTGCACTGTGGTCTGAGAGATAGTTTGTTATAATTTCTGTTCTTTTACATTTGCTGAGGAGTGCTTTACTTCCAAGTATGTGGTCAATTTTGGAATAGGTGTGGTGTGGTGCTGAAAAAAATGTATATTCTGTTGATTTGGGGTGGAGACTTCTGTAGATGTCTATTAGGTCCGCTTGGTGCAGAGCTGAGTTCAATTCCTGGGTATCCTTGTTGACTTTCTGTCTCATTGATCTGTCTAATATTGACAGTGGGGTGTTAAAGTCTCCCATTATTAATGTGTGGGAGTCTAAGTCTCTTTGTAGGTCACTCAGGACTTGCTTTATGAATCTGGGTGCTCCTGTATTGGTTGCATATATATTTAGGATACTTAGCTCTTCTTGTTGAATTGATCCCTTTACCATTATGTAATGGCCTTCTTTGTCTCTTTTGATCTTTGTTGGTTTAAAGTCTGTTTTATCAGAGACTAGGATTGCAACCCATGCCTCTTTTTGTTTTCCATTTGCTTGGTAGGTCTTCCTCCATCCTTTTATTTTGAGGCTATGTGTGTCTCTGCACGTGAGATGGGTTTCCTGAATTCAGGATACTGATGGGTCTTGACTCTTTATCCAATTTGCCAGTCTGTGTCTTTTAATTGGAGCATTTAGTCCATTTACATTTAAAGTTAATATTGTTATGTGTGATTTGATCCTGTCATTATGATGTTAGCTGGTGATTTTGCTCGTTAGTTGATGCAGTTTCTTCCTAGTCTCGATGGTCTTTACATTTTGGCATGATTTTGCAGCAGCTGGTACCGGTTGTTCCTTTCCATGTTTAGTGCTTCCTTCAGGAGCTCTTTTAGGGCAGGCCTGGTGGTGACAAAATCTCTCAGCATTTGCTTGTCTGTAAAGTATTTTATTTCTCCTTCACTTATGAAGCTTAGTTTGGCTGGATATGAAATTCTGGGTTGAAAATTCTTTTCTTTAAGAATGTTGAATATTGGCCCCCACTCTCTTCTGGCTTGTAGGGTTTCTGCTGAGAGATCTGCTGTTAGTCTGATGGGCTTCCCTTTGTGGGTAACCTAACCTTTCTCTCTGGCTGCCCTTAACATTTTTTCCTTCATTTCAACTTTGGTGAATCTGACAATTATGTGTCTTGGAGTTGCTCTTCTCGAGGAGTATCTTTGTGGCGTTCTCTGTATTTCCTGAATCTGAATGTTGGCCTGCCTTGCTAGATTGGGGAAGTTCTCCTGGATAATATCCTGCAGAGTGTTTTCCAACTTGGTTCCATTCTCCCCATCACTTTCAGGTACACCAATCAGACGTAGATTTGGTCTTTTCACATAGTCCCATATTTCTTGGAGGCTTTGCTCATTTCTTTTTATTCTTTTTTCTCTAAACTTCCCTTCTCGCTTCATTTCATTCATTTCATCTTCCATTGCTGATACCCTTTCTTCCAGTTGATCGCATCGGCTCCTGAGGCTTCTGCATTCTTCACGTAGTTCTCGAGCCTTAGTTTTCAGCTCCTTCAGCTCCTTTAAGCACTTCTCTGTATTGGTTATTCTAGTTATACATTCTTCTAAATGTTTTTCAAAGTTTTCAACTTCTTTGCCTTTGGTTTGTATGTCCTCCCGTAGCTCAGAGGAATTTGATTATCTGAAGCCTTCTTCTCTCAGCTCGTCAAAGTCATTCTCCATCCAGCTTTGTTCCATTGCTGGTGAGGAACTGCGTTCCTTTGGAGGAGGAGAGGCGCTCTGCTTTTTAGAGTTTCCAGTTTTTCTGTTCTGTTTTTTCCCCATCTTTGTGGTTTTATCTACTTTTGGTCTTTGATGATGGTGATGTACAGATGGGTTTTTGGTGTGGATGTCCTTTCTGTTTGTTAGTTTTCCTTCTAACAGACAGGACCCTCAGCTGCAGGTCTGTTGGAATACCCTGCCGTGTGAGGTGTCAGTGTGCCCCTGCTGGGGGGTGCCTCCCAGTTAGGCTGCTCGGGGGTCAGGGGTCAGGGACCCACTTGAGGAGGCAGTCTGCCCGTTCTCAGATCTCCAGCTGCGTGCTGGGAGAACCACTGCTCTCTTCAAAGCTGTCAGACAGGGACATTTAAGTCTGCAGAGGTTACTGCTGTCTTTTTGTTTGTCTGTGCCCTGACCCCAGAGGTGGAGCCTACAGAGGCAGGCAGGCCTCCTTGAGCTGTGGTGGGCTCCACCCAGTTCGAGCTTCCCGGCTGCTTTGTTTACCTAAGGAAGCCTGGGCAATGGCGGCCGCCCCTTCCCCAGCCTCCCTGCCGCCTTGCAGTTTGATCTCAGACTGCGGTGCTAACAATCAGCGAGACTCCGTGGGCGTAGGACCTTCGGATCCAGGTGCGGGATATAATCTCGTGGTGCGCCGTTTTTTAAGCCGGTCTGAAAAGCGCAGTATTTGGGTGGGAGTGACCCGATTTTCCAGGTGCATCCGTCACCCCTTTCTTTGACTCGGAAAAGGAACTCCCTGACCCTTGCGCTTCCCAAGTGAGGCAATGCCTCGCCCTGCTTCGGCTCGCGCACGGTGTGCGCACCCACTGACCTGCGCCCACTGTCTGGCACTCCCTAGTGAGATGAACCCGGTACCTCAGATGGAAATGCAGAAATCACCCGTCTTCTGCGTCACTCACTCTGGGAGCTGTATACCGGAGCTGTTCCTATTCGGCCATCTTGGCTCCTCGAGAGCAGCGTTTTTTCCAATATAATTAAATGACATCTCCATCTCTCTCCCCAAAAATCAATTTTTCTCTATTTTCAAAATGCCTAGTTAATAAAACCAATTCTCATCGCTATCATTGTAACACTCACTTGGACCAGTCTCTCATGACTTGATTATGGCTATAGCCTCCTAACCTGTTCTATTCCTGCCTAAGTCTTTTTCTGTCTATCCTTAACACAACAATGAGAATCATCATGTTAACATTTGGATCAGATCATGTTGATTTTCTTTACTCAAAATCTTCCAGTGGCTTCCTGCCTTACTCTGAGTAGAGGATGAACTTGAAGGTCTCCTTTGATCTGTTCTCTTGTTAGCTTCCTGACTAACCTTGGCTCCCATGATTCTTCTCCTTGCTCACTCACTCGCACTATGCTTGTCTTTCTTGATGTCCTGGAAGATACCAAGAATGCTTCCTTTGTAGATCCTTTGCACATCATCTTCTTATGGCCAGGATCACTTTTTTTCTGCGTATCTGCCCAGCTTCACGACTTATTGCTTTGCCTCTTGAGACCTTTATTCACATCACTCAATGTGGTCTTTATTGACTGCTTTAACAAAATCCCAAACACTCTCCATTTACTGCATTTATTCCTGTTTCATTTTTATTTTTCATCCTTTTTATAACTTTTATTTTAGAATCATGGGGTACATGTGCAGAATTATTTAAAAAGATATATTGCATAATGCTGAGGTTTAAAGTATGACTAAATCCATCTTCCAATAGGTAGTTTTTCTAACTTTGTCCTCCTTACTCTCTCCTCTCTCTTATATTCCTCAGTGTCTACTGTTCCCATCTTTATCTCCACTTTTACCTAATATTTATCTCCCACTTATAAGTGAGAACATGGAGCATTTGGTTTTCTGTTTCTGCATTAGTGAGTAGGATAATGGTTTCCAGTTGCATCCATATTGCTGCAAAGAACACAGTTTCATTCTTTTTATGGCTGCATAGAATCCCATGGTGTATGTTGTACCGCATTTTCTTTATTCAACACAGTATTGATGGGCATCTGGGTTGATTCCACATCTTTGCTATTGTGAATAGTGCAACATTCACTGTATGCAATGTGCATTTGTCTTTTTGGTAGAATGATACAGGTACACGTATCTTTTTGGTAGACTGATTCATTCATTGATATGTACCTAGTTATGAGATTTCTGGGTTGAATGGTAGTTCAACTCTTAGTTTTTTGAGAAATCACCAAACTGTTCTCCGCAGTTGCTGAATTAATTTACGTTCCCACCAGCAGCGTATAGGTGTTCTCTTTTCTCCATAGCCTTGCCAACATTGTTTTTTTTTTTTTTACTTTTTAACAAAAGCCACACTGACTGGCATGAGATGATATCTCATTGTCATTTTGATTGGCATTTCTCTGATAATTAATAATGAGAAGCATGTTTTCATATGTTTGTTGCCACTTGTATGTCTTCTTTTGAGAAGTGTCTGTTCATGTCTTTGTCTCCTTTTTAATAGGGTTGAGGTTTTTTGCTTGTTATTTTGTTAAGTTCCTTATAGATTCCGAATATTAGACCTTTGTTGGATACATGGTTTGTGAATATTTTCTCCAATTATCCAACTCAACAAATGGTGCCGGGATAACTGGCTATCCATATGCAGAAGAATGAATCTGTACTCCTACCTATCACCATATATAAAAATTAACTCAAGATGGATTGAAGACTTAAATGTAAAACTTCAACTATAAAAATCCTAGAAGACAACCTAGGAAATATGCTTCTCAATATCAGCCTTGGCAAAGAATTCATGGCTAAGTCCTCAGAATCAGTTGCAACAAAAACAGAACTTGACAAGTGGAACCTAATTAAACTAAAGAGCTTCTACGCAGCAAGAGAAATTATCAACAGAATAAACAGCTATTTTTTATAGTCTTTATCATATCACATTCCATACTATGTATTTTGCTAATATGTACTTAAAAATATATTAAATATAAAATATATCTGTTTCTACCTGTCTGACCCTTTCAGTCTATAAGACCCATGGGTGACAAAGATTATTGTTTTTATTACTATCATATCCCCAATATCTAGAAGGATGCTAGGCACATATCAGAAACTTAATACATAATTGTTGAATGAATAAATGAATCTAGAACATCAGTCAAAAAATCTTAATAATAATCTCGGCACTCTATGCTTAATTCTAAGCCATTTTATTTCTACTACTCAGTTTACTTTCTGTAACCTAACTCTTAATTCCATCGTGTGAATGTTCCTTGAAGCTTTTGGTAACAATCATTTTATTTTTAGACTAAAAAGATTATTGCAAAGTTCCAAGATCATTAACCTTATAATTCTTATCACTAGTTAGTAGTTCAAGGCTCGACTCACCTATTGCGATAAGTTAGATCTACCACTAATTCTGACAATAAATTATTCATATTGGGTTTCTATGTTCATACGTAAGGATATTTCATCTGTCTATAAGTATAAGGATGTGTCTGTCCTTGGTGGTATTTACTACTTCAGATGTGCAATCAGATAACTTGGAATAGCAGAGCAAAATTTATTTAGAAAATGGGTTTTCTAGCTCTTTAATCAAGACTGAAATTACAAAAATACTCTAAGATGTTTTAGGTTTCATAAATGTTCAGAAAATTATCTAATTCAACTTTTATATAGTGTTATGAATCATATACTTTAGTGTTTTTTTCACAAGTCAATACCTTTTTGAGAAAATATAGAGAATAATAATAAAATAATAAATATGGCCATTACCAGCTGTTGATATGTTGAATTATTTACAGAATTAACTTACTCACCATCATTATTATATTTCATTAACTTTAACAGTTTCTTTCTGGAATCTAATACTCCTATAATTTTAAAGATTTGTCTTAGAAATGTACACCAAGCCAGTTCAAGTAGATATAAATGTATAAGGTATTTCATATGAGAAATTACCATCTGGGTTCATACTATTACCACGTAGTGGACATCACCAGCTCAAGTTCATTGGATATGCACTTTCTCTATAGTACAAATATCAAAATGATGCAGAAATAGCTTTCTGCTTATCTGGATAAAAAAGAAAATAAATGAGAACTAAAAAAGTTTTTATAAATCACCTAGGTCAATCTTCTTCCTTTATATAGTAGGGAAAACGAGGCCCAGATAGAAGATATTTAATTTATGGAAAGCAAGGCTACATCACGTTAATATTACTAAACCACATTTACACATGAAATAACTCAGAAAATACTAGTGTCATTGAGTATTCAAAATCACAAATTGGCAATCGGATAAAACTCTGGAATGACCTTTTCAAGGCCCAGCTAGGACACTGTCTTAAGGATTACATCCTGCTATTCATCAATATGCAGTACATATATTTTTAAAAAGCCTATGACATGATTCTGTGTCCCTTATAGCTAGATTAAAATGGTCCAGACGCCAAATGCAGGAGGCAGGGATGACCACTCTCACAACTCTTCACATATTACATATTACAGAATATGTGTTTCCCACCCCTATATCTTCAGAAGTGATGCGATTAAATATTTTGGTTCTTGAGGTGATAGGAAAAACTTCTGTAACAACAGAAGGCAAACTAATGCTGTGGTGGCTGTTTGAGGTTCTCTTGGGCTATTAGGGAAAGAAGGGAAGTAGGTACACCAGCAGGGTAATTGATCTTTATTATCATTAGAGTCTAAAAGATTGTTGCTGCTTACTGGTGCAAGGAAGAGGTTGTATGAATTCAGTGATTTTGCTGGGATGACTCTTGGTGTTTTTGCTTTGGTGATAGCCTTGAAAGGTTGATTGAAGCATCTGAAGCCAGATAGGACATGGCAATAGGAGCCCAGTCCCTCCCAGAATGCTCTAGCTTACCCCACTTGTCAAGCAACCAGTTGCAATAGTGGGGATCTGTAGCTTTTCCCTGTAACACTTTTGCTTTATTTTTAGCATTTGATTCATTTTTTAGATATATGACTCACCATCATCTTAAAGAATCAGTAGCAGTTAAATTAAATGAACTTAATGTGGGCAATGAGTAGCTCTTAGTCATGCAAAGGGTGCTCTGTAGCAGATAAGGTTAGTAGCCAGTGCTTTTCCTGTGTGTCCAAATCTGATGGTTTCTTATTGAAAACACCATTAATAAATTGACAGTTAAATACTACAGTTTTCTCAGGGCTTGTATGGGACAACTCAGGTATTTTCTCTCAGGTTCCCCAGATGTTTTCATGACATTTGAGCCCCAGTTGGCCACAGCAGTAACCTGCTCTTTAATGCATCCTGTATTAATGTCCTTTCTTTCTCTGTTTCACTTCTCTTTTCCTCTACTAGTGATTTCTGGGATCACTTTTCTCATAAATTATTTGCACTCAAACTTCTGTCTCCATGTCTGCTATTGGCAAAATCTCATCTAAGACCTATCATATGTCAGATAAGCCTTAATAAATAAACAGCAGGATTGGATAACAAGTGTTGGAGACATTGTGGGGTATTGCAATTTTAAATTGTTTTCTTAGGGAAAGCCTGATTAAGAAGTTGATCTTTAAGCAATGATCTGAAAAAGGTGACAGAATCTGACAGTGTCTGCAGGAAGAATACACTAGGCAGAAGAGGTAGCAAAAATCATGAGATTGGAACATTACTGGCATGTTTTGGAAATAATAAGGAAGTGACAGACTCTGAAAGCAGAAAGCATAAGAGAAAGTGAGAGTAATAAGAGATAAAATAGAAGGTGAGACATTGAAGGGTTGAGAGAGATTTTATTGGGTCTTTTATGTCACTACAGGATTCTTACTTGCTCTTAAAAAGAAGAGATGCCATTGGGAAATTTTGAACAATTAATCTATCTTAAATTTTTAAAGATTTGATTCTAAGATATTGATTTCTGGCTCCTGAGTCTCTGGAAGCAGGTGAGAGATCCTAAATAGGGGCTGAGGGTATCTGGGCAGGATTATTCAGATACTGTTTTGTTCTTTTTCCGCTTATACCTTATCCATGGAGAAAACTGTAGAATCAGGAATACAAGATTCCTGGGATTAAGTCATCTGAACATTAAGGCTCCTGGGCTTTAGGTACATTCTCAAAGTTAGCTTCTAGTTCCATTTCTTCTCTGTTTGCCCATTAGAATAACACCACAGTGGCTATATTCTCTACTTGCCACTAATAACAGGGTAGAGATAAGGGTGGATTTTCTACTAAATATTTCTATGTTTCACTATCTAGCAAGACAAGATTGTTCTAATGTATAAGTTATAAGGGAACAATTCTTCTTGTAAGGTAAATCATTTTTCTCAATCTCATGGACTCTAAAATATCTCATTAAGGAGTGATTCTCTTATTTTCAGTAGTTAAGGAAGGTCACCCTTGACCTGCCACCAACCCTAGGGTATAAGAAATAAATAAATGAGTATATCACCACAAACGTTACTCTTTCCAAGTAAACAGCATATACCTTAATAAGGAAGTGTCAAAAAGTATATTTGCATTTCATAGGAATTTAGTGTGTAATGCCAGAGCTGAACAAATTATCACAAAATTACTTTTCATATTATTTAGAGAGCTTAACTGAGGCTCTAAAACTCACTGAGAAAAAGTGTGCCAACTCATCATTATCATTGATTTTTCCTGACATTTAGGTAAAAGGTCTTACTATTTTAATATGAGGAGGTAAGTGATCTATAATGTAGATTTATAGACATAAACGCTAAGAATCCATCAGAAAAGCCAACTCATCAGAATGTTAACCTTTGATATGCTGGATGGGCATGTTTCAAGATAATTGACATGTTCTGATAATCTCCAAAATCTGAAAAAAAAAGTTGTTATTCACTTCACTATACAGGATAGACTACGTGGAATCTCCTGCTACTGGTACTGTAATAATCTGGATTTGACTAATGAAGTCCAAAAACTGAGTCATCATAATCATGTTATGGAGAAAGGTAATTTTTAAGGATGCTAATTTAGTCTATGTAAATTTGAATGGTAAGTCTGAATTATGTGTCACCCCATTTTATTTTAATTTCCCACCTCCAAAGAAGTTTATACCTGTATTAGCTGGGAAATAATTGCACATGTATTATTTTTCTACATTTGTCAAATAGTGGAGATGAGGGGTTTGTGTTTCTGTTAAATTTATGTCATATGTCATATGTCATGTATTTCTGCCTACCTTCCTACCCAGCTGCATCATTATTCTGTTGGACAAAAAGTGGTTTGGCATAGAAGTACCTAAAAATGCTCACACGCCACTAAGCAACTCCTATCTTAGTACCCATCTTTATGTTGCCATATCTATGATGCATTGATATTTTTATATTATCTTGCATTTGTTTTAAGTATTTGTGAGATATTATATGGTACAACTAAAAAGAATAGTACAAAATATATGTGCATTGTAGAAAACATAGAAAATAGCCAATTAGGGAGGGTTCTTATTCATTTTGTTGGTTTTGTCTTTATTTTTTTAAGAGACACGCCCACCTCTAATAAAAGTCACGTGAAATTTTTGGTATATTCTTTTTCAGTTCTTTTCCTTATTTATGTTCTTTCCTCATGTTAATTTTTTTCTAGAAGGCACATGCTGAGGTTGTATCTGTGATACAATGATTCCCTCAATGAGCATGTGTCTGCTTCCTTCTACTTTGCGAAGGCAAGGGGTTAGCATTGTTCCACTGTACATATACTCACTAAAATGACATGACATAAATTGAGCCAGTAAGAAACTTTTCTAAGGAGAGCCTTTTCCTTTGTGGATGCAGATGTTTTCATAAACTAACACCAATGTGATAGGGGTCATGCTTCCTTCTGTGTATAGCACCATGCTTATAAAAGACAAAAATGAAGCCAACATTCAAAATAAAAGAGAGAGAGACAAGCCAAGAAATAGAAAGACTGGAGGCTCTGGGGTCCTTGGTTATTAGCTTTGTATTGCTTCAGGCTGACTTGATTTCACCCTCCTTAAGAGGTTTGAATTTTCTGAAGTTGCTTATCAGCTTAAGGAGATTTAGGGCTGAGACAATGGAGTTTTCTAAATACACAATCATGTCATCAGCAAACAGGGACAATTTTACTTCCTCTTTTCCTAATTGAATACCCTTTATTTCTCTCTCCTGCCTGATTGCCCTGGCCAGAACTTCCAACACTATGTTGAATAGGAGTGCTGACAGAGGGCATCCCTGTCTTGTGCCCGTTTTCAAAGGGAATGTTTCCAGTTTTTGCCCATTCAGTATGATATTGGCTGTGGGTTAGTCATAAATAGCTCTTATTATTTTGAGATCCGTCCCATCAATACCTAGTTTATTGAGAGTTTTTAGCATGAAGGGCTGTTGAATTTTGTTGAAGGCCTTTTCTGCACCTATTGAGATCATCATGTGGTTTTTGTCTTCGGTTCTGTTTATATGATGGATTGTGTTTATTGATTTGCATATGTTGAACCAATCTTGCATCCGAGGGATGAAGCCAACTTGATCTTGATGGATAAGCTTTTTGATGTGCTGCTGGATTCAGTTTGCCAGTATTTCACTGAGGATTTTCACATCGATATTCATTAGGGATATTGTTCTAAAATTCAATTTTTTTGTTGTGTGTCTGCCAGGCTTTGGTATCAGGATGATGCTGGCCTCATAAAATGATTTAGGGAGGATTCCCTCTTTTTCTATTGACTGGAATAGTTTCAGAAGGAATGGTACCAGCTCCTCTTTGTACCTACGGTGGAATTCAGCTGTGAATCCTTCTGGTCCTGGACTTTTTTTGGTTGGTAGGCTATTAATTATTGCCTCAATTTCAGAGCCTGTTATTGGTCTATTCAGGGATTCAACTTCTTCCTGGTTTAGTCTTGGGAGGGTGTATGTGTCCAGAAATTTATCCATTTCTTCTAGATTTTCTAGTTTATTTGTGTAGAGGTGTTTATAGTATTCTTTGATGGTAGTTTGTATTTCTGTGGGATCAGTGGTGATATCCCCTTTGTCATTTTTTATTGCGTCTATTTGATTCTTCTCTCTTTTCTTTATTAGTCTTGCTAGTGGACCATGAATTTTGTTGATCTTTTCAAAAAACCAGCTCCTGGATTCATTGATTTTTTGAAGAGTTTTTTGTTTCACTATCTCCTTCAGTTCTGCTCTGATCTTACTTATTTCTTGCCTTCTGCTAGCTTTTGAATGTGTTTGCTTTTGCTTCTCTAGTTCTTTTAATGTGATGTTAGGGTGTCCATTTTAGATCTTTCCTGCTTTCTCTTGTGGGCATTTAGTGCTGTAAATTTCCCTCTACACACTGCTTTAAATGTGTCCCAGAGATTCTGGTATGTTGTGTCTTTGTTCTCATTGGTTTCAAAGAACATCTTTATTTCTGCTTTCATTTCGTTATGTACCCAGTAGTCATTCAGGAGCAGGTTGTTCAGTTTCCATGTAGTTGAGCGGTTTTGAATGAGTTTCTTAATCCTGAGTTCTAGTTTGATTGCACTGTGGTCTGAGAGACTGTTTGTTATAATTTCTGTTCTTTTACATTTGCTGAGGAGTGCTTTACTTCCAACTAAGTGGTCAATTTTGGAATAAGTGTGGTGTGGTGCTGAGAAGAATGTATATTCTGTTGATTTGGGGTGGAGAGTTCTGTAGATGTCTATTAGGTCTACTTGGTGCAGAGCTGAATTCAATTCCTGGATATCCTTGTTAACTTTCTGTCTCGTTGATCTGTCTAATGTTGACGGTGGGATGTTAAAGTCTCCCATTATTATTGTGTGGGAGTCTAAGTCTCTTTGTAGGTCTCTCAGGACTTACTTTGTGAATCTGGATGCTTCTGTATTGGGTCCATATATATTTAGGATAGTTAGCTCTTCTTGTTGAATTGATCCTTTTACCATTATGTAATGGCCTTCTTTGTTTTGATCTTTGTTGGTTTAAAGTCTGTTTTATCAGAGACTAGGATTGCAACCCCTGCTTTTGTTTTGTTTTCCATTTGCTTGGTAGATCTTCCTCCATCCCTTTATTTTGAGCCTATGTGTGTCTCTGCAGGTGAGATGTGTCTCCTGAATACAGCACACTGATGGGTCTTGACTCTTTATCCAATTTGGCAGTCTGTGTCTTTTAATTGGAGCATTTAGCCCATTTACATTTAAGGTTAATATTGTTATGTGTGAATTTGATCCTGTCATTATGACGTTAGAGAATAAAATACCTAAGAATCCAACTTACAAAGCATGTGAAAGACCTTTTCAAGGGGAACTACAAACCACTGCTCAACAAAATAAAAGAGGACACAAACAAATGGAAGGACATTCCATGCTCATGGATAGGAAGAATCAATATCATCAAAATGGCCATACTGCCCAAGGTAATTTATAGATTCAATGCCAACTGCATCAAGCTACCAATAACTTTCTTTGCAGAATTGGAAAAAAACTACCTTAAATTTCATATGGAACCAAAAAAGAGCCCGCATTGCCAAGACAATCCTAAGCCAAAAGAACAAAGCTGGAGGTATCATGCTACCTGACTTCAAACTATACTACAAGGCTACAGTAACCAAAACAGCATTGTACTCATACCAAAACAGAGATATAGTCCAACGGAACAGAATAGAGCCCTCAGAAATAATACCACACATCTACAATCATCTGATCTTTGACAAACCTGAGAAAAGCAAGCAATGGGGAAAGGATTCCCTATTTAATAAATGGTGCTGGGAAAACTGGCTAGCCATATGTAGAAAGCTGAAACTGGATCCCTTCCTTACACCTTATACAAAAGTTAATTCAAAGTGGATTAAAGACTTAAATGTTAGACCTAAAACCATAAAAACCCTAAAAGAAAACCTAAGCAATACCATTCAGGCCACAGGCATGGGCAAGGACTTCACGACTAAAACACCAAAAGCAATGGCAACAAAAACCAAAATTGACAAATGGGATCTAAATAAACTAAAGAGCTTCTGCACAGCAAAAGAAATTACCATCAGAGTGAAGAAGCAACCTACAGAATGGGAGAAAAAGTTTACAATCTACCCATCTGACAAAGGGCTAGTATCCAGAATCTACAAAGAACTTAAACAAATTTAAAAGAAAAAATCAAACAACCCCATCAAAAAGTGGGCGAAGGATATGAACAGACACTTCTCAAAAGAAGACATTTATGCAGCCAACAGACACATGAAAAAATGCTTATCATCACTGGCCATCAGAAAAATGCAAATCAAAACCACAATGAGATACCATCTCACACCAGTTAGAATGGTGATCATTAGAAAGTCAGGAAACAACAGATGCTGGAGAGAATGTGGAAAATAGGAACACTTTTACACTGTTGGTGGGACTGTAAACTAGTTCAACATTGTGGAAGACAGTGTGGCGATCCCTCAGGGATCTAGAACTAGAAATACCATTTGACCCAGTCATCCCAATACTGGACATATACCCAAAGGATTATAAAATCATGCTGCTATAAAGACACATGCACACGTATGTTTATTGCAGCACTATTCACAATAGGAAAGACTTGGAACCAACCCAATTGTCCATCAGTGATAGACTGGATTTAGAAAATATGACACATATACACCATGGAATACTATGCAGCCATAAAAAAGGATGAGTTCATGTCCTTTGTAGGGACATGGATGAAGCTGGAAACCATCATTCTCAGCAGACTATCGCAAGGACAGAAAACCAAACACTGCATGTTCTCACTCATAGGTGGGAACTGAACAATGAAAACACTTGGACACAGGGTGGGGAACATCACACACTGGGGTCTGTCGTGGGGTGTAGTGGGGGGAGCAATAGCATTAGTAGATATACCTAATGTAAATGATGAGTTAATGGGTGCAGCACACCAACATGGCACATGTATACATATGTAGCAAACCTGCACATTGTGCACATGTACCCTAGAACTTAAACTATAATTTAAAAAAAGAGTTTGAATTTTAGTGTTTTCTTTACTTCTGTGAACAACTCTACTGTCTACCAGTCCTATAATAAGTGAGTTAATTTTAGTCTATCACTTGCATCCAAAAGAGTCCAGATCAATAAAAATACCATATATGTAAATATGCATTCTGCTTTTTTTTTCTCAAATGTCAAACATGTTCAATCTTTCTTAGCTTGTAAGTTTGGTATCAATTATGTTCAGGATAAGATTTTTGGTATAAGCCTTATAAGAGAAGTATTTTATTTCTTATTAAAATAAATGAATGACTGTAATGTTGTATCATAGTTTAATTAATCTTCTCCATATTGTGGGACAACTTGTACAAATTACAAGTCATGTTGAATTAGACACTTGCTTATATTGCTATTTTCAGGTTAATATCATAAGATAGATTCTCAAATGTTGGATTAATGTGTCAAGGGGATAAACATATTAATGGTTTTAAATTCCTATTGACAGATTGCTTTCTAAAATGAAAGAACTGATTTATTTTCAGCAAGAACTATTTTCAACATCAAGTAGTATTACTTTATCAATATTTCTAATTTAGAAAGTGAAAAATAACTCACTGATGTTTCAATTTGTGTTTACTTGATTACCAGTGAGGTTAAGCATCTTTATATATGTTATGCTGTTTAATACATTTGACCTATTTGTATAAAAATCAAATACATCCTTAATGAGAAAAACCGCTCATATATTCACTTTGTGTAAATACAAGTTAATAGTTAACATAGAACTTTAAGACATGGACACCAAATATATCAAGCTTATTTCTTTTGTTAATAACAAGATTTTTTTCCATTTAGACATTGATGACAGGGAACTAACATGCAAAATTTTAAGCATACTACCCATGCTGGAGGTCCCTAAGTGAAAATTCATTGTTAAAATATTCTCTGACATACATAGATGAACTGTGGTGGTTATTCATTCAAGAGTGAACAGAATAAATGTATTTCAGCGCTCTCTCCATTATCATGGGCTTCTTAGGACTGAAAATCATCACTCCCAGCAGCAGGGTTTTTTTTTCTTTTAAAAAAAAATAACTCTCCCTCCTAACAGCAGTGTGGCTTTTGACACTTTCAGGCAGATTAAGAACTGAAGTCACAGTGGGCAGCCATAAGAGTCCAAACACATTGAGCAATGGGTCTCCCCATTGGTGGGAGGAAATTAGTGACTAAAGTCCTTAAAGCCATGAATCAGTGGTGTTGATGTGCTACAGGGAATCTATGAACAAGCTTCTTTCTTTTCTATCTCACAGGGGGCATCAGTACAGAGTGTGATCCATTGAAGTCAATAGAAACCATTGTGAAAGTAGTATGTATGTTTAGATTTAAACCAACCTGAGGAATAAGTAAAGCAAAATAAAATATATGTCTAAATATATGGTAATTTCTTTCTGCATTGGTAAAAAAAAAAAAAGCTTCTAGACATCCAACAAAATGAGAATAACAACAAAATCCACAAATGTGCAAAATCATGTTTTGTTTCTGAAACGAGCTGGTTGTAAAATAATTTCATTTCAGGAATAATAGGGAAGGCATATGCTCTTTCTTCTGACTTAATGGAAAATGACAGACTCTGGTGCGTCATAATTGACATAGTATTCACAACGATATGCTAGAATGCCAAAAGTGTAGAAGCAAATATGCAGCTGAATTCAAGTCCAGATTAGCCAAATTAAAATTTATTACAGGTGGGAAGCTACCTTTCTGTTGATACACTGGGGAGTTTTGGAATTTTCCTGTCTATCTTTTTCTTAACCTGAGTTCTCCTCCTTGTACCACTACTTTTCTGGACATGAATAAGAATAGCAAAAGAAGAATGGCTGTTGAGTTGCAGGTAATGGAGGAGGTAAGGCTGAAAACCAGTTGAGATGAGAGAAGAAAGCTTTAGTGAGTCGTTCCTGACTATTACGTCCCACTCCTTCAAAAATCATAATTTCAGCTCCTTTATCAGATACTTCTAAGAGTTACTATCAGAAATTAAAATGGCACCCCCCCCACACGTCAACCCACCCACCCACACACAAACACATATATATACTTTTGTTCTGTTCTTATTCTTGTCCAGAAAACTATATATATGTATATGTACTCACTAAATCTTGATCTGTCAATTTTGGGTATTATTTTTGACTTCTAGTAATAAGAGACAATTGTATTCCCTTACATAACCCCCTTTTTTCCCTCATCTTTCATAAACTTTGATACACATATTTGATATTAGTTAAATCTCTAATCAGTGACCATTTAAATAGTGTCACTTAGAGAGAAGGTGTAAAATAATTATGATTCTCCTTAAGACCAGGATTGTCTTTCTGTTCTTCCTAATGGTCTAATTCCTCATCATAAACCTTTCCTAAATGTCCACTTATACTATCTATTTCATTTTCGTAATCCCAAATTCACCATCTAAAGCTCCAATGTTCATTTAGTCTACATTGTATTTACTTTTCTCCAGGCCTGATCAATCACTGCTTTTATCTCAGACCATATTTTTGTTGATATTTTAGGTTTATTGGCTTTTTCTATATCTATATCTGTATTTAATACTTTTTGCTATCTTTTTACTTTACAAAAGCACATTCTCAGATGGCTCATTAAGAAAAAAATGAGTATGAGTTCAATGTTCTGAGTTCTTACATGACTAGTGATGTCTATATCCTGTCTTATATAATTGATTGCCAGTTTGCCTGAGCATGGAATTTGATACTGACAATCTACATTCAGAAGCTCAAAGTTAGTATGATTTTTACTGCTCTTTAGATGACATATATAAAAATTTTAAATATTTTTCTTGTCTTTGTTCTGAAATTTCACAATGATATTCTGTGTTTGAGGTTTTTTTGGTTTGTTTTTGTTTTTGTTTTTGTTTTTTTTTAATTTATTTTCCTGAACACATTTTGATATCTTTTCCTCTGAAGATATGTGTACTTCAGATATGGGGCCTCAGTTTGTATTATTTCTTTGATAATTTTCTTTCTTTAATCTTGTCTGTTTTCACTTCCTGGAGTTCCCAATGTTTTGAGATTGATGTTCTATTCCTGTGTCTTGTCTTTGATACTTTCAGTACCTTCTCTTTTTTAGTCTAATTTCTAAGGGATTTAATTGGCTTCCTATTTCATTAAAATAATTCCAATTGTTTTATTTTAAAAATATTTTATTTTCAATTTTCATGAGTACATAGTAGGTGGTATGGTTTGGCTCTGTGTCTCCATGCAAGTCTCACCTTAAATTGTACTTTCATACCTCCTACATGTTGTGGGAGGGACTCAGTGGAAGATAATTTGAATCATGGGGGCTGCTTCCCCTATACTGTTCTCGTGGTAGTAAATAAGCCTCACGAGATCTGATGGTTTTATCAGGGGCTTCCACTTTTGTATCTTCCTCTTGTTCTCTTGCCGCCGCCATCTATGAAGTGTCTTTTGCCTACTTCCATGACTTGGAGGCCTCCCCAGCTATGTGGAACTGTAAGTCCAATTAAACCTCTTTTTCTTCCCAGTCTCAGATATGTCTTTATCAGCAGCATGAAAATGGAATAATACAGTGGGTATATATATTTATGAGGTATATGTTATGTTTTGATACAGGCATGCAATGTGAAATAATCACATTATAGAGGATGGGGTATCCATCCCCTCAAACATTTATCCTTTGAGTTACAAACAATCCAATTACACTCTTTAGTTATTTAAAAATGTACAATTAAGTTATTATTGACTATAGTCACCCTGTTGTGCTATCAAATTACTTTTTTTTTCATTTCAGCAATCCCATATTACATTTTTAAAAGCTAGTTTGTGTTCTATGATTGTTGTATTCTGGATGAAATATTTTCTCCTATCACATCCAAAGATAACATTTTTTCAGTTTAGCGCTCTTCATAGTTTCTTCCTTCTATATAATTATATTTTCTGTGGCATCTCTACCTTAAATTGAAGTCTTTTCTTACATGTCAGATATTCTTCAGTTATGTTTTAATGTATGAACCAAAGATTGTTTGGGTATACTCTGTATATGGGTGTGCCATGTTAGCTAGAGGTATCTGCTTTAATATCTGTGGGTAGGGTCTTGGATATTTCTTTGGAGGATTTCTGAATATAGTGAAGTATTTTCTTTTACTCTTTTATCTGGAACGGAAACTTCAGAACTTCTACCTGAGGAGGTATAACCTTGCAGTGGGTGAAAAAATATTGTAGTATCTTCAATATACAGACTTGATTTCAATTCTACTGTTTTCAGTTTTTTTTTTCTGGCCTTTCTCATACCAAGTATCTAACATCTTTGAAGTTTTTCTCTTTTAAGGGTGCAGGGGCAACTTGGTTACCTTCTTCTTTCTTTTTAGTAATCTCTTCTAGGCTGTATAGTTTTTTTACCCAGGCATTTCAACTATCATTTATCTCTCCACTTTTCATCCTCCATAGGTATATGGAAATCTCTGAGACACTTACCTACACTGTCATTGTTATGTTTTTCATTGATTTTGATTAATGAGCTTCTTGTATATTTTACTTTTATTACAATAGTTTTCCTGGAAGGATAGGAGATGTGCATATGTTGTCACTCTATATTAGAAATTCTTCATTATACTTTTGTTTTCCCAAAAGTAGGTGGAGTTAAATTTTTTTTAACAAAAATAAATGTAATACAAGAAACACCTTAACCTAGAACCTTGGAGAATTTATGATCTAAATATTGTCTTTTATTTTAGTTAGCTTAATGTCCTAGTACATATCTTCATACATATCTTCATAAGGCCTTCAGTTTTCCAAAGAATCATCATGTTATTTCACATGTTTGTGTTTTCTGTTCCAATTATCTCCTATTCATTCTTCAGGATGTACCATATATAGCAACTCCCAGGAACCTTTTATGATTCTTAGTAAAACAAATTAATATAAATATATAAAACAGTATGCAATTGGATCACAGAAGATTATTTTATACATACTAACTATATTGATATTCCTATTTTTCAAAATCTGTATCTTCCAACCACCTAACACAGTTTTAACCACAAGTAGTAGTAGTATTAGTAGTAGCATGCACTTTTAAATATTTATCAAATGAATAAAATAACAGTGTCTTTAATAATTATGTGTTCAACATGAGCCAGCAGTATAGTTAGCAAAAATATTTCAGTCTTAAAGTAAATGTGATATTTGAAAAATGTTTAAATGATAAATTTTAGTATAAGTCTAATCATGTTAAGAAAACTGTACATACATCTAGAAATGACAATTTAATAGAGATATTAAGAAAAATAAATCTGGTAAGTTAGGAAAGGAGAGAGAATGATATATGAGGGCCTGAAATCCATGTCACTGGAAGAGCAGTTAAAGGAAATATAATTATTTTATCTAATATATTGAATGTTCTGCAACATGACAAATATTAATAAATATGTGAGGAGTTTTGATATAGTTGTAACAGTACATTTTCTGAGTTGATCTCTAAAAGAAAAACCTCTAAAAAGAAATATAGATGGTAAAATTTTGATTTAATATGAGTAAGAACTTCCCAACTGGAAGACATTGCTTAGGAGAAAGTTGTGTTTTTCTCTGTGAGCGTTTCCACACTGGCCACATCTCTGGGTTGTTGTTGGGAGTTTTCAGCACATGGTCAGAGGTTGGACTATAGGACCTTTAAAGAGCCCTCCAACATCAAGTGTTTTGGGAAAAAAAAAAAAGGATTTAGCTAAACTAAGACATCAACCAAGTAGTACAATTAGAAAATCGTAAATTGGAGGCAATCTACACACATAGTACATAGAGTAAAACTAAAATGTTAAGGTTCAGAAAAACATGTTGGTCAAAATAACAATAAAATATCATTAAAATTATAAGAAACATTTTTGAGCTATTACTTTATTTCTTGTAATCCATCATAAATGTTTTGCTCACAATAGAGATAATTTAATATATCGCTTTAAAATTTAGGTATTATTTTTAGCTTTATCAGATGATTTTACAGAACTTTAAAGACCAAAGAATCTAAATAAATGAATGGCCAAATTAAATAACTTTTCCTAAGTCTGCTCAAATGATGAATGAATTATAATACTTAGACATTATGTGTTTGCTTTAAAGTCTAGCATTTATATGAGTGACATAATGTATAATAGAAAAAAGATTACATTTTAATCTATAATTTAATTATTACATTTAGAATTGCATAGTAAAGGGATAAAGATTCTGAGTGATTTCCTTTACAACCTTCTAAGTCTGTGTAAGACAAGCATCCCTGTCTTACACAGGGATGTGTAAGACACATCCCTTTCCTTTCATGAGCTCAGAGAAAACTATGATACTATGCATTCATTATTGAACCTTAATATGTTAAGAATGTTTTCCCACTTTTTTGCACTAGAAGAGGTAGCTGAGTTTACACCTCTCCCAAGTTACTGACAAAATGGAGCCACTCTTTGTTCAATTAGCTGAGTTTACACCTCTCCCAAGTTACTGACAAAATGGAGCCACTCTTTGTTCAATTTTTCCTAAAAACAATTCTCCAAAATGTGTTTTGATCTATTAAATTGTATGTTTTGCTTCAAGTTATAAAGACAAAAGTTTCTATATTCAACTTAAATTATGTATTATACATAGGAGATGCTGGGTATTTATGTTTTTTCTTGTAATTATATAATACAGGTAATCTATGTATATTTGACACTTGAATTTTCTTTTGATGATCCACATACTGAGTTCTGCATGTAAAGAATATTTGGCATAAAAAGCTTCTGTCTGAATTTTGATTTTTGTAGATTAGAGTCTGCACAAATCCCACAAGGTTGCTATACAGAGGCAGATGTTTGTTATAAACTACAGTTAAATTCTATACCCTGATACTGTCTACTTTCCCTTCCATATATCATCACCAAAAATAACAAGATAATAGAAAACAAGTTTTGATTCCAGAATGATTTTAGTTGATGATGATGAATGAAGCAGAATAGACAGCCTGATTTTCATAAGTTAAATTGAACTTGCAGTGCCAAATGCAGCAACAACAGCAAAAAGATTAGCAGACGTGACAAGGGAAAAGAGAAGAATTTATGTGCAAACACATAATGCCATTTGAAAAAAGAAGGGACTTATGAAAATGTACAAATGCATAGATACTGAATGCTGGCAGGAAAGAAAAAACTAAAAATACATTATCTAATGTTGGAAGCAATTGTTAGAGAGAATCAAGGCCAAGTAAATAGAGCAAGATAGTTTCAGGAAATAATTTTATTTTATTTGGGCTCTACAAGAAATCATACCTTGGTTCTTTTGGCATCCAGTACAAGTAATTATAAGAGACTACAATCTAGCTAGTATCCAAAGGAGAAAATAGCATTAGGTGGCATCCATGAATATTTTAACATATATAACAAACATTCCCCATTATTCACACACCACTCTTTGTGAAGCAAAAACAAGATGAAGAATAAAATAATAAGGTATTTTTCCACTGGTAGTTTGAAGTTCTGATATTAATTGCTTCCTCCACTTTGTGGCTTCTCAAGGGGTAAACTGAAAAATTGTTATCAAAGTGACTTTAAAATGCAGATTATTTTATATCTAAGGATTCTTTATATTTTTCTCTAGTAATAGAATTGTTTAGTTTTGTAATAGAATTGTTTAGTTTTTAATCAAATAATTTGCATCAAAATAAATCCATGGGACTGCCTTTGTCTCTATATAAAACTGACAACCGCTTTTGTCTTAATTATTTTAGGCTAAATTGATACTGTTGTTACATGTGTTTCTTCCACACCAACCCCCAGGTTAATAGAATACTTAAAAGTCTTTTATTATAGGTATTAAAGTGACTTTAAGAATATTACAGCTTGCTCCCTGTAGTATTAATTTCAATTGGTAAGCCATCAAATTTGATTTGTAACTGCAGAAATAATGAATTAATCTCAAGAAAATGGCCTAATACCTGAAAATCATCATCCCAGAAAAACCCATTATACATAATGCACAAAAGAAAACAGAAAAACCCATTATACATAATGCACAAAAGAAAAAAAAACAAAGTAAAACCAGATATAAGTGATAAAGAATACTTAAATCAGTATCCTATTATTATATTTTGTACATTTCTAAATGCATAAAGAAAAAAGGTTAAAAAATGAATTTAGATGTTATAATTTGGGAAGGGGAAGATAATAGAGAGAAGTTAAATGTAAAAAAATGCCTATATGAAGTTTAGGAAAGTCATCTTTGTGAAAAACATTTGTTTGATTTTTTGTGTGTATGTTTAAAGATCTTAATTGACTTCATTTGTGACTCTAGAATTGGGAAACACTTCGTTTTATAAAATAGAATGTGTTCCGATGAGCTGAGATGAGGTGGCTGATTTATAAACCATAATATATTTATTTTCAAAAATATATATATCTCATAATAATAAAACATAGTTTGACTTCTGTTCTTGGTCATAAGACAGTAATGGGAATTGTAATCTTTATCCGACTTTTAACAATTACACAACTAGACAAAACATATGCAACTATTGTCAGAGTTTAGATAACAAGAAGCATAGGATTGTGATTCTTGAGACAAGGGAAACAAATGAGGTTAGCACAACAATTGGCCAGGATCTCTGCTTAGTGGCACTCTTTAGATCACAGCACACTGAGTTACAACTCAAGAACACAGTATAATTGACCCTTGAACAGTGTAGGGGTTAGAGGCACTGACTCCCTGAACAGTTGAAAATCTGTCTATAACTTTTGACTCACCGAAAACTTAACTGTAAATAGCCTACTGTTGACAGGAAGCCTTACTCATAACACGAGCAGTTGACTAACAGATGTTTTATATGTGACATCTATTTTATACTGTATTGTTACAATAAAGGAAGCTGGAGAAAAGAAACTATTGAGAAAAATTATGAGGAAGAGAAAATATATTGACTATTCATTATGAAGTGAATCATCATAAGTGTCTTCATCCTCACTGTCTTCACATTAAGTTGGCTGCTGAGAAGGAAGAAAAGGGGTTAGTCTTGCTGTCTCAGAGGTGGCAGAGGCAGAAGAAAATCTGCATCTAAGTGGATGTGCATAACTCAAACTCATGTTGTTCTAAAGTCAACTGTAGTCTTAGGAGGCAGAGATTATATTTTGTGAATGCAGAGGCAGCTGGAGTTTAAGGGGTAGGGTACTGGAAATAACTGAATACATAAGAAAAATTATAGGACTTGGCATAAGACCTTTTGGTTTTTAGTAGAATACTGAGCAAAGCACTCACAGGGAAGGACTTTGTAAGACATGCAGAAAAGTGTTCTTTGGGACAATACACTGAAAGACATAGGTTGAACCAGCCAGAAAAGAGATATTCTGTTGTATACGCCAGGCACTGAGTTGCTGTCCCTGAAAACCTGTATCTTAGGATATTTGTCTAACAGAAATTAGAAATAAAGTTCACAAAAAGCATAATAATCCACCTGGAAATTGACGATTCCTTAAAAAAAAAGTATGTCTCGGCCGGGCATGGTGGCTCACGCCTGTAATCCGAGAACTTTGGGAGGCCAAGGCAGGCAGGTCACCTGAGGTCAAGAGTTCGAGACCAGCCTGGCCAACATGGTGAAACCCCGCCTCTACTAAAAAATACAAAAAATTAGCTGGGCGTGATGGCGGGCGCCTGTAGTCCCAGCTACTTGGGAGGCTGAGGCAGAGAATGGCCCGAACCCGGGAGGCGGAGGTTGCAGTGAGCCGAGATCATGCCACTGCAATCCAGCCTGGGCAACAGAGCGAGACTCCATCTCAAAAAAAAAAAAAAAAAAAACAGTGCTGAAAGAGACGAAGAAGGGCATTTTAAAACAATAAAACAGTTGATCTTTCAGGAAGATTAACCATGATAAATGTATATACATCTAGCAACAAAATACGCAAATGAAAGATGGAAAATTTGGCAAAACTGAAGAGACAAATAGAAGGTTTAAAAACAAAGGTTGGTGGCTGGATACGGTGGCTCATGCCTGTAATCCCAGCACTTTGGAAGGCTGAGGCAGGCACATCACATGAGGTCAGGAATTTAAGACCAGCCTGGCCAACATGGCAAAACCCTCTCTCTACTAAAAGTGTACCAATTAGCCAGGTGTGGTGTGGCACCTTGTAATCCCAGCTACTTGGGAGGCTGAGGCACAAGAATCACTTGAACCCAGAAGGCAGAAGTTGTAGTGAGCCGAGATAGGCACCACTGCACTCAAGCCTGGGCGACAGAGTGAGACTCTGTCTCAAAAATAAATAAATAAATAATAATACAATAAGGTTTGGAAATCTTAATTTCTCACCTTTAGTAATGGAGAGAACTAGGCAAATGAATGACAGAATAGAATATTTAACTATGCCATAAATCAACTAGACCTAACAGACACCCATAAAACACTAACATGACAAAAACAGCATAACCATTACCCTCAAGTGAACATAGAAAATTCTCCAAGATTGATCAAATACTAGGTCATAAAGTAAACCTAAATAAATATGAAAAGGTTGAAATTAAAGTTTGTTTTCTCATGCCTATGAAAGAAATCAATAACAGAAATAAATTTGAAAAATGTATAAGTTTGTGGAAAATAAACAATAGATTCCTAAATAGCCAATAGGTTAAAAAATAAATCATAAAAATGGAAAATATTGTATTATAAATAAACAAGATATAACACTCCAAAACTTGTGGAATGAAAATAAGAACAGTGCTAAGAGAAAAAAATACATAGTTGCATATGTCTGTATTAAAAAGAAGAAAGATCTTATATCAATTATTTAACTTTCTTTCTCAATACACTGAAAAGAAGAGGAACAAACTAACCTAAAGCAGAAGGAAGTAATAAAAATTGAAGTAGAATTTAGTAAAATGGAAAATAGAAAAGTCACTAGGAAAATCAATGGAAGCAAAACTTAACTCTATGAAAAGTCTAGCAAAATTAATAAATTTTCAGGTAAATTAAGCAAGAAACAAAGAACAGAGAACTTAAATTACTAAAATCATAAATGAAGCAAAGACATTATTACTAACCTTATAGAAATAATAGAGTGATTCTAATGTAGTTCATGAACAAGTATTGGTCAAAAAAATAAATAGTTTAGATTTCATTTAGATAAATGCCTAGAGAAAAAGACAGACAGAAAAAAATTCCTACCTAACCATAGTGAAGAAAAAACAGAAATTGTTCATAGAACTATAATAAGAAAAGAAAAAGAATTAGTATTTTTAAAACTTTACACAAAAAAGTCCAAGCCAAAATGGCTTTATGTAATTCTACCAAAAATGTAAACATAACATTGGGCAGAAAAATACAGTCAAAATGAAAAGGATCTAGTATTTGATAGCACAACAGGGTGACTACAGTCAACAATTTATTATACATTTAAAAATAACTATAAACATATTATTGGAATGCCTGTAACACAGAAAAATGATGAAAACTTGAAGTAATGGATTTTCACGGGTACTATGTACCCATAAAAATTAAAAATTCAAAAAATGTTTAATTAAATTCACACCAAGAGTTCACAAACTCCTCCAAAAATAGAAGAAAATGAAATACTTTGTCTCTTTCAATGAGACAGAATTTTTCTGAGACCAAAACTATCTAAAAATATTTCAAGTACAAAAAATACAGACTAATAATTCTTATAAATATAGGTATGAAATATTTAATTAAACAATAGTAAACCAAATCTGGGAACATATAAGCACATAAAAATGATTATACACCAGGACCAAGTAAGATTTATGCCAGGAATGCAAGGTTGATTTAAAACATGAACAAAGCCTTGAGAAATATTATGTAAAGTGTCCAAACCTAGGCATTACGGGAATTCCAGAAGGAAAAGAAAAAAATAAAAAGTATGAAAAACCTATTTGAGGAAATAACTCATGAAATCTTTCCTGGTCTTTCTAGAGAGCTAGACATTCAGTTAAAGAAAACTTGGAGAACTCCTGGGAGACACATTGCAAGAAGAACCTCATTAGGCATATAGTCACCAGAATATTCAAAGTCAACTTGAAGAAAAAATTCTAAAAGCAACAAGAGAGAAGTATCTAATCACCTATAAAGGAAGTCTCATCAGATTTACAGTGGACTTCTCTTCCAAAACCTTACAACCCAAAAGAAATTAGGGTCCTATTTTCAGTCTTCTTTAAGGAAAAATATACCAGCTGAAAATGTTGCATACTGCTCAACTAAGTTCAATAAATAAAGGAGATACGAAGTCTTTCATAGACAAGCAAATGCTAACAAAAGAAAAAAACACTAGACCAGTCCTGTAAGAAATGCTCAAAAGAGTTCTAAACATGGAAACAAAAGGGTGATACATATAATCACAAAAACACATGAAAGTATAAAACAAGTCTTGTAAAAGAATTATATAATTAAGACTGCAATGCAATTAGGTGATAATAAACATTATAAGAAGAACAAACCCTCATATACCAATGGTAACCTTAAACACAAATTGACTGCATGCACCACTTAAAAGATTTAGACTATTGGAATGAATAAGCAAACAAACAAAAGAAGAATCAGCGATATGCTGCATACCAGAAACTCATCTAAGTGGTAAAGATATTTGCAGGCTCAAAGCAGAGTAGTGGTAAAAGATAATCCATGAAAATTAAAACCAAAAGAGAGCAGGAGTAGCTATACTTATATCAGTTAAAACAGACTTTAAATCAACAACATTAAAAAAAGAAAATAAAGATTATTATATAATATTAAAAGGATCAATTCAACAAGTAGATAATACAATTCTAATTATATATGCACTCAACGCCAGGAACCCAGATTAATAAAACAAATACTACTAGACCTAAGAAAAGAGATAGACAGCAGTACAATAATAATACAATAATAGTGGAGGATTTCAAAATCTCACTGACAACACTAGACAGGTCATTGAGGCAGAAAATCAACAAAGAAACTCTTGATTTAAATTAGACTCTAGACCAAATGGAACTAACAGATATTTATAGAATATTCCATTCTATAACCACAAAATATACATTTTTCTTATCAGTGCATAGAACATTCTCAAGAGTTGACCTTATGCTAGGTCACAAGGCAGGTCTCAATAAATTTAAAAATATTAAATAAATACCAAATATCTTCTCATACCATGGTGTAATAAACCTAGAAATCAACACCAAAAAGAATCTTCAAAACTGTACAAATTACATGGAAATTAAATAATCTGCTTCTGAATGATTGTTGGGTCAATGATAAAATTAGGACAGAAATTTAAAAATTCTTTGAGAAAAATGAAATTGGAGACACAGCATACCAAAACCTCTAGATTACAGCAAAAGCAGTGCTAACAGACAAGTTTATAGTGTTAAATACCTATGTTAGAAAAGATAGAAAGGTCTCAAATTAAAAACCTAACATTGAATCTCAAGGAGCCAGAAAAAGAACAAATCACACCCAAAACTAGAAAAAAACAAAAAACAAAAAACGACAAAGATCAGAGCAGAACTAAAATTGAAGGTAAAAACAATACAAAGGATCAATGAAATAAAAAGTTGTTTCTTTGAGATGATAAACAAAATTGAGAGATTATCAAAAAAAAAGAATATTCAAATAAGCATAACCAGCAATGATCAAGATGTCATTTCAAATGATGAGATAGAAACAAAAAAATCATCAGACACTACTATGATGTAAGACTTTAACTCAAGATTAAGCCAGAAAGAAATAGATACACTGAACAGATGAACAACAGTAGTGAAATTGAAACAGTAATAAAAAATCTCCAAGAAAAAAAAAGCCCAGGACAGGATGGATTAACAGCTGAATTCTACCAGATGTACAGGGAAGAACTATTACCAATTCTACTGAAAACTGTTCCAAAAAATCAAGAAGGAGGGAATACTCTCTAACACATTCTACAAAGCAGTTTCACCCTGATACCAAAGCCAGGCAAGGACACAGCAGCAACAACAACAACAACAAAAAAAAACTACAGACTATTTATTATCCCTGGAGAACATAGATGCAAAACTCCTCAGCAAAATACTAGAAAATTGAATCCAACAGTACATCAGATAATACACTGTGGATCAGGTGGGATTTATTCCAGGGATGCAAGGTTTGTTCAACATATGCAAATTAATAAATGTGATTCACTGCATAAACAGAATTTAAAACAAAAATCATATCAGTAGATTCAGAAAAAGCAGTTGATAAAATCCAGCATGCCTTCATAATAAAAATCTTTACCAAACTAAGTATAGATGGAATATACCTCAAAATAATGAAATTAATAAATGACAATCCCATAGCCAACATCATACTGAATAGGGAAAAGTTGAACACATTCCTTCTAAGAACTGGAATGAGAGAAGAATGCCCACTTTCACCAGTTCTATCCACCATGATACTAGAAATGTTAGCTAGAGCACTCAGGCAAGATAAACAAATAAAAAGTATCCAAATTGGAAGAGAGGTAGTCAGATTATCTCTCTTTGCTGGTGACATGATCTTATACCTAGAAAACCCTAAAGACTTCAAAAAACTCCTAGGCTTGATGAACAACTTTAATAAAGTTTTAGGATACAAAATCAACATACAAAAATCAGTAACACCATGAAATACTATGCAGCCATAAAAAAATAAAAATTATGTCCTTTGCAGCAATATGAGTGGAACTGGAGGCCATTATCCTAGGCAAATTAGCAGAGAAAGAGAAAATGAACATCACATGTTCTCAGTTACAAGTGGAAGCGAAACATTGAGCACACATGGACACAAATAAGGGAACAATGGCCCCTGGGCCCTACTTGAGAGTGGAGGGTAGGAAGAAGATAAGGAGGGATCACAAGGAGGTGGAGGCTACAGTGAGCTGTGATTGTCCCACTGCACCCCAGCCTAGACAACAGAGTCAGAAATTGTCTTAAAGAAAAAAAGCAAACAGAAAACAGACAAACAGAAAACCCTAAAACCTACCTATCACATACTGTGCTGATTATCTGTGTGACAAAAGTTTTTGTATACCACACCACTGTGACAGGCAATTTACCCATGTCACAAACCTGCATGTGTACCCCCGAATCTAAAATAAAAGTTGGAAAAGAAAGACAACTTAAAAAATGAAATACTATAAGACAAAAATCAGCAGCATTTCTATATACAAATAATGTCCAAGCTGAGAACCAAATCTAAGATCTGAAACTACAAAAATCCTGAGGGAAAAAAAAAAAACAAAAAAATTCTTTGGGACATTGGTCAAGGCAACGACTTTATGACTGTCTTGAAAAGGAAATGCAACAAAACTAAAACAGACAAATTAGACTCAAACTAAAAAGCTCTGTACCACAAAAGAAATAAACAAATTAAACAGACAACCTAGAGAATGGGAGAAAATATTTGGAAACAATGCATACAACAGAGGGCTAACATCCAGAGTCTATAAGGAACACAAAAAATTCAATAAGAAGCAAATAACTCCATTAAAAAGTGGAAAAATGAAAAGAACAGACATTTTTCAAAGGAAGACATACAAATGATCAACAAACATCTGGAAAAATGCTCAACATTAATAATGATCAGAGAAATGTAAATTAAAACCATAATGGGATACCATCTCATAATAGTCAGAATGGCTATATTAAAAAGTCAGCATATAACAGATGTTGGTGAAGATGCAGAGAAAAGTTAATGCTTATACACTGTTGATGCTGTTGATGAGAATGTACATTAGTACGACATCTGTGGAAATAGTATGGAGGTTTGTCCAATAACTAAAAGTAGAACTACACTTTAATCCAGCAATCTCACTAATATTTTTTCTTTTCCAAAAAGAAAAAAAAAACTTATCAAAACAACTCCTCCACTTGTATGCTTATTGTGACACTATTCACAATAGCATAGTCATAGAATCAACCTAAGTGTCCATCAATAAAAGATTAAAGAAAATATAATACACCCACACACACATTCACATAGAAAACTATTCAGCCATAGAAAAGAATGAAATCAAATCTTTCCAGCAACCTGGATGAAACTGGAAGTGATTATCCTCAGTAAAATGACTCAGAAACAAAAAGTAAAAAACTATGTTTTTCACTTGTAAATGGGAGCTAAAAAATGAGTGCACATGGACATAAAGAGTGGAATGATAAACATCGGAGACTCCAAAAGATGGGATGGTGAGATGTGAGTGAGTGATGAAATACTACCTACTGGGTAGAATGTACACTATTTGGGTGATGTGTACACTAAAAGCCCAGACTTCACCACTACACAATATATCTGTGTCATACAACTGCACTTGTATCCCATAAAAATATAAACATTTAAACAAAATAAAAATGACAATAGATGTAGCATACTATTTTAGCAGAACAAAGGAGAAGCAGCACATAGTCATCTCAGTAAAGGTGAAAAAATATCTACAAATTCCAATACACTTCCATGATAAAACACTCAATAATCTACGAATAGACGGGAAGCTGGTATTCCTTTATAATTCTGATAAATATTTTCTTATATTTCTTTACAGCCTGATAAAATACATCTTTGAAAATTCCATATTCAACATCACACTTGAAGGTTTAAAAATAGGGTGAATGCTTTCTCCCCCAGATCAGGAACAAGTCAGGAATTGGGTGCTCTTGACAATTACATTCAATATTATACTAGAGACTCTATTCCAAGCATTTGTCAATAAAATTAAATAAAAAGTAGACAAACTTAAAAGGAAGAATATAACTTTATTTGCAGATTACTGATCTTAAATATAACAAAGACCTTTAAAAATCCACTGAAAGAGATGACATCAGCATGATGATGGAATAGCATTTCCCGTCCTCATTTTCTCACAGACACTTTGATATAAACAACTTTTCACACCTGAAAATACGTACATGAGGAATCTGGATTTGCGGAGACAAAAGAGACTCCATCTTGGTTGCTAATCTGCCATGTTGACTTCTAATTAGCCCCAATTCAGTGAATGCCTCTTGGTTTCTACTTTATTTAATGTGCCTAGTGTGAAAACAAGACAACCTTGATGCTATTGCACAAATTACAGGCTCTGATGCGCATAGCATTTCTGCCTGTTTTGGAGGGTTGCCTTTTATTGTCTTGCTACAACATATGTACCCTTTCCCCATGGTATATAAGCCTTGGGTCCAAGGAGTAACAGCGAGGAGATCTACCTGTCTTGCAGCTGCCTAAGACCACACTTGTTTCTTTAAGTTCCCTCAATACAACCACCATTACTGACAAACTGGACTTGTCTGCCTTTTTCTTTTTCTCAACTCCTTCGGCATCTGGGAGGCACTTTGCATACATAGGCCTTTCACGGATCAAATGGCGAGCTGGCCAGGAGAAGCCAAGAAATCAAAGTATGGACAGGGGAGAAGAAGCATTCGCAGGGGGAATTCCATGGTGACCCTCCTCATCTATGGGGGGGTGGTGGTGTCCATTTGGCAGATGCCTGTGGACTACCACTTGAGTACAGCTACACCCTGAAATGCCTGCCGGAGGGTCTAGAAAGCTTGCTAGTAAAAAGCCACATGATTCAGTGGTGAGAAAGGTCATAGAGCTGTGACAACAGCAAGTATGCTGCCGTTATGGTCTGTGTGAGTGGCCACAGAAGTGCAGGTAACAGCTGAGGTAAGTGTAGGAAAGTCGGAGGAAGAATTGCAGTTAAAAAGCGTTATGAGAACTTTCACATCTATCTTAGCGCCTGCTTTGGTTGACTAGCTGGAAACTCAGGAGGCATAGCTGCAAACCTTTGCTTGCCACTTTGTAAAGCTGGGAGGGATGAAGCTGTGCAGGCTGCAAGTGCTGGCTGTTCTCCTCAAACCAGACGGGGATGCAAATACCTGGAATACTTGCGAACCAACTACTGAATCAGATGATGACATAGAGGTTCATTCAGAGGAGGTGGAAATTTTTCTTCCCTTTTGAAAGCAAAATTGCTTATGCAGCAGAAAGCAAAAGCCCAACACGTGCAGCCCTCGGCAGGATTATGGTACATAGCAAAAACATTTAAACAGCTGCCGAAAGAAAGCTTAGCCACGTGAATGGTGTGCCCTGGGACACAGGTGAGGATGGCATCTCCCTAGCAAAGAATGGAGTTGAAAAATGACCAAGTTCCCATCCTCACCCCCACCCCCACAACCCCACCACCAAGAGTAGTGGGCCCCCTTGTGGGACAAAATGCGTATGAGATGGTGAAGCCATTTCTGATTTTGGAGAAACTAAAAAGGGAAGCGATGATGTTCAAATGGTCGCTAAAGGAAAAGAAAAAATAAAAGACATCCTACTGGACTGAAAAAGGGAGCAAAAAGGCCCAGTTAGGATTTCTGGGAAACAAATGTGCTATGATCTGATTCCGGCCAGAAGAGACATAGAGAAAATAGCCCGGCAACCAAATGTCATGTAAGCAGGCCTTTGGAAAACTGACTTTTTTTTTTTTTAATTATTATTATACTTTAAGTTTTAGGGTACATGTGCACAATGCAGGTTAGTTACATATGTATACATGTGCCATGCTGGTGTGCTGCACCCATTAACTCATCATTTAGCATTAGGTATATCTCCAAATGCTATCTCTTCCCCCTCCCCCCACCCCACAACAGTCCCCAGAGTGTGATGTTGCCCTTCCTGTGTCCATGTGTTCTCATTGTTCAGTTCCCACATAAGAGTGAGAACATGTGGTGTTTGGTTTTTTGTCCTTGCAATAGTTTACTGAGAATGATGATTTCCAATTTCATCCATGTCCCTACAAAGGACATGAACTCATCATTTTTTATGGCTGCATAGTATTCCATGGTGTACATGTGCCACATTTTCTTAATCCAGTCTATCGTTGTTGCACATTTGGGTTGGTTCCAAGTGTTTGCTATTGTAAATAGTGCCACAATAAACATACGTGTGCATGTGTCTTCATAGCAGCATGATTTATAGTCCTTTGGGTATACACCCAGTAATGGGATGGCTGGGTCAAATGGTATTTCTAGTTCTAGATCCCTGAGGAATCACCACACTGACTTTCACAATGGTTGAACTGGTTTACAGTCCCACCAACAGTGTAAAAGTGTTCTGATTTCTCCACATCCTCTCCAGCACCTGTTGTTTCCTGACTTTTTAATGATTGCCATTCTAACTGGTGTGAGATGGTATCTCATTGTGGTTTTGATTTGCATTTCTCTGATGGCCAGTGATGGTGAGCATTTTTTCATGTGTTTTTTGGCTGCATAAATGTTGTCTTTTGAGAAGTGTCTGTTCATGTCCTTTGCCCACTTTTTGATGGGGTTTTTTTTTTTTTTTTTCTTGTAGATTTGTTTGAGTTCATTGTAGATTCTGGATATTAGCCCTTTGTCAGATGAGTAGGTTGCGAAAATTTTCTCCCATTTTGTAGGTTGCCTGTTCACTCAGATGGTAGTTTCTTTCGCTGTGCAGAAGCTCTTTAGTTCAATTAGATCCCATTTGTCAATTTTGGCTTTTGTTGCCATTGCTTTTGGTGTTTTAGACATGAAGTCCTTGCCCATGCCTATGTCCTGAATGGTATTGCCTAGGTTTTCTTCTAGGGTTTTTATGGTTTTAGGTCTAACGTTTAAGTCTTTAATCCATCTTGAATTGATTTTTGTATAAGGTGTAAGGAAGGGATCCAGTTTCAGCTTTCTACATATGGCTAGCCAGTTTTCCCAGCACCATTTATTAAATAGGGAATCCTTTCCCCATTGCTTGTTTTTCTCAGGTTTGTCAGAGATCAGATAGTTGTAGATAAGCGGCATTATTTCTGAGGGCTCTGTTCTGTTCCATTGATCTATATCTCTGTTTTGGTACCAGTACCATGCTGTTTTGGTTACTGTAGCCTTGTAGTATAGTTTGAAGTCAGGTAGCATGATGCCTCCAGCTTTGTTCTTTTGGCTTAGGATTGACTTGGCGATGTGGGCTCTTTTTTGGTTCCATATGAACTTTAAAGTAGTTTTTTCCAATTCTGTGAAGAAAGTCATTGGTAGCTTGATGGGGATGGCATTGAATCTGTAATTTACCTTGGGCAGTATGGCCATTTTCATGATATTGATTCTTCCTACCCACGAGCATGGAATATTCTTCCATTTGTTTGTATCCTCTTTTATTTCATTGAGCAGTGGTTGGTAGTTCTCCTTGAAGAGGTCCTTCACATTCCTTGTAAGTTGGATTCCTAGGTATTTTATTCTCTTTGAAGCAATTGTGAATGGGAGTTGACTCATGATTTGGCTCTCTGCTTGTCTGTTATTGGTGTATAAGAATGCTTGTGATTTTTGTATATTGATTTTGTATCCTGAGACTTTGCTGAAGTTGCTTATCAGCTTAAGGAGATTTTGGGCTGAGACAATGGGGCTTTCCAGATATACGATCATGTCATCTACAAACAGGGACAATTTGACTTCCTGTTTTCCTAATTGAATACCCTTTTTTTTCCCTCTCCTGCCTAATTGCCCTGGCCAGAACTTCCAACACTATGTTGAATAGGAGAGGTGAGAGAGGGCATCCCTCTCTTATGCCAGTCTTCAAAGCAATGCTTCCAGTTTTTGCCCATGGAAGAAAGGGTATCAGTGATGGAAGACGAAATGAATGAAATGAAGTGAGAAGGGAAGTTTAAAGAGAAAAGAATAAAAAGAAACGAACAAATCCTCCAAGAAATATGGGCCTATGTGAAAAGACCAAATCAACGTCTGATAGGTGTACCTGAAAATGATGGGGAGAATGCAACCAGGTTGGAAAACACTCTGCAGGATATTATCCAGGAGAACTTCCCCAATCTAGCAAGGCAGGCCAACATTCAGATTCAGGAAATACAGAGAACGCCACAAAGATACTCCTTGAGAAGAGCAACTCCAAGACACATAATTGTCAGATTCACCAAAGTTGAAATGAAGGAAAAAATGTTAAGGGCAGCCAGAGAGAAAGGTCGGGTTACCCACAAAGGGAAGCCCATCACACTAACAGCTGATCTCTCGGCAGAAACTCTACAAGCCAGAAGCGAGTGGGGGCCAATATTCAACATTCTTAAAGAAAAGAATTTTCAACCCAGAATTTCATATCCAGCCAAACTAAGCTTCATAAGTGAAGGAGAAATAAAATACTTTACAGACAAGCAAATGCTGAGAGATTTTGCCACCACCAGGCCCGCCCTAAAAAGGTCCTGAAGGAAACACTCAACATGGAAAGGAACAACCAGTACCAGCCACTGCAAAATCATGCCAAATTGTAAAGACCATCAAGGCTAGGAAGAAACTGCATCAACTAACGAGCAAAATAACTAGCTAACATCATAATGACAGGATCAAATTCACACATAACAATGTTAACTTTAAATGTAGATGGACTAAATGCTCCAATTAAAAGACACAGACTGGCAAATTGGATAAAGAGTGAAGACCCATCAGTGTGCTGTATTCTGGAAACCCATCTCATGTGCAGAGACACACATAGGCTCAAAATAAAGGGATGGAGGAAGATCTACCAAGCAAATGGAAAACAAAAAAAGGCAGGGGTTGCAATCCTAGTCTCTGATAAAACAGACTTTAAACCAACAAAGATCAAAAGAGACAAAGAAGGCCATTACATAATGGTAAAGGGATCAATTCAACAAGAAGAGCTAAGTATCCTAAATATATATGCACCCAATACAGGAGCACCCAGATTCATAAAGCAAGTCCTGAGTGACCTACAAAGAGACTTAGACTCCCACACAATAATAATGGGAGAATTTAACACCCCACTGTCAACATTAGACAGATCAATGAGACAGAAAGTCAACAAGGATACCCAGGAATTGAACTCAGCTCTGCACCAAGCGGACCTAATAGACATCTACAGAAGTCTCCACCCCAAATCAACAGAATATACATTTTTTTCAGCACCACCCCACACCTATTCCAAAATTGACCACATAGTTGGAAGTAAAGCTCTCCTCAGTAAATGTAAAAGAACAGAAATATAACAAACTGTCTCTCAGACCACAGTGCAATCAAACTAGAACTCAGGATTAAGAAACTCACTCAAAACCGTTCAACTACATGGAAACTGAACAACCTGCTCCTGAATGACTACTGGGTACAAAACGAAATGAAGGCAGAAATAAAGATGTTCTTTAAAACCAATGAGAACAAAGACACAACATACCAGAATCTCTGGGACACATTCAAAGCAGTGTGTAGCGGGAAATTTATAGTACTAAATGCTTACAAGAGAAAGCAGGAAAGATCCAAAATTGACACCTTAACATCACAATTAAAGGAACTAGAGAAGCAAGAGCAAACACATTCAAAAGCTAGCAGAAGGCAAGAAATAACTAAAATCAGAGCAGAACTGAAGGAAATAGAGACACAAAAAAACCCTTCAAAAAATTAATGAATCCAGGAACTGGTTTTTTTTGAAAGGATCAACAAATGATAGACCACTAGCAAGACTAGTAAAGAAGAAAAGAGAGAAGAATCAAATAGATGCAATAAAAATGATGAAGGGGATATCACCACTGATCCCACAGAAATACAAACTACCATCAGAGAATATTGCAAACACCTCTATGCATATAAACTAGAAAATCTAGAAGAAATGGATAAATTCCTCAACACATACACCCTCCCAAGACTAAACCAGGAAGAAGTTGAATCTCTGAATAGACCCATAACAGGCTCTGAAATTGTGGCAATAATCAATAGCTTACCAACCAAAAAGAGTCCAGGACCAGATGGATTCACCGCCAAATTCTACCAGAGGTACAAGGAGGAACTGGTACCATTCCTTCTGAAACTATTCCAATCAATAGAAAAAGAGGGAATCCTCCCTAACTCATTTTATGAGGCCAGCATCATTCTGATACCAAAGCCGGGCAGAGACACAACCAAAAAAGAGAATTTTAGACCATTATCCTTGATGAACATTGATGCAAAAATCCTCAATAAAATACTGGCAAACCAAATCCAGCAGCACATCAAAAAGCTTATCCACCATGATCAAGTGGGCTTCATCCTTGGGATGCAAGGCTGGTTCAATACACGCAAATCAATAAATGTAATCCAGCATATAAACAGAACCAAAGACAAAAACCACAGGATTATCTCAATAGATGCAGAAAAGGCCTTTGACAAAATTCAACATTTCATGCTAAAAGCTCTCAATAAATTAGGTATTGATGGGACGTATCTCAAAATAATAAGAGCTATCTATCACAAACCCACAGCCAATATCATACTGAATGGGAAACCTGACTCTTGATCAAGAGTTTAGACCAGTTCTCAGTGCCGCAGCAGAAAAGCAAGCAGGAGCAGAAGAAACTCCATGTAAAATAACCACAATCTCTGTGTTCCAGGGGTGGACTCCTCCCCACCCTAGAGACTAGGAATAGGGCCAAGGTTTCTTCCATGTGAAAGTAATAGGAGGTTACCAGAGGCCTCGTGTGGAGCTCACTATATATTGGAATCCAAACAACAAGCAGAGAACCTTAGCTTTAGTGCGTATGGATGCAGAATGCACCTTAATTTATGGAAACCCAGAGAGACTATCCAAGTGAAACAAACTCCTCTCCTTCCTGGTATTGGGTGGAGTCCCCCTGCTTACTATACTGTCTTTAGCTCACCTATTTCAGAAAATATCTTGGGGATGGATGTCCTGTTAGAATTCATATTACAAACACGTGTGGGGGAATTTTTCCTGTGGGTTCAGGAGGGTAGAGACTATTTTAAGAGGGGAACTTGTACACCTTCCTTCCCCATGACATATCGCTCATGTGAAACAACACTATCTTTCTGGTGGGACAGAAGAAATCCCAGCCACTATACATGAACTGACCAAACTTAATATTATCCAGCCAGCGCAGAGTCTCTTCAGCAGTCCCTTATAGCCAGTAAGAAAACCAGGTGGCATCTGGCACATGACAGTAAACCACCAGGAACTAAATAATATGGTTCCTGAGATACGTGCTTGCTATGGCCAGTATCACCCAAATGATACAGCAAATAAATACAAAATATAGACACTTACCATGCTGTGCTAGATTTAGTTAATTACTTCATTGGCATTGCTTTGCACCCTGATTAATAGGACCAATTTGCTTTTACTCAGAATGGCCAACAGGGGGCATTTCAAGAGTTGTACCAGGGAATCTACACAGCCCCATTCTTTGTCCTGGAATAATTGGTAGAGATTTAATTTTATGTCCACTCCTACTTGCTGTTAAACAGTTTCATTACATTAATGATATTATGCTAACCTCTGAAGACTTGTTATTGCTATAGCAATGCCTTGATGCCTTGTGCATATGCTTCTTCAATCCAGAGGATAGGCCACCAGCCCACAAAAAATACAAGGCCCAGGACCAGCTGCAAAGATCCTAAAGGTTACTAGGCTAAGTAAAATATGTCTTATATCAGGGGTGCAATTTTCCATGTCTAGAACCATTTTAACAGTTACAAAGTTTCTTAGGTCTTTTTGGGATAGTAAGTGGCTTTTTTCCACAGTTAGTGCAATGTTTGAGTCCCCTGAATAAACTAATAAAGAAGGGATTTAGGTGATGCTGGGATAAAGAACAAGAGGAAGCATTTGAGAAGACTAAACTATTAGAGGCTCAGGTACAAGCCTTAAGTTTCACCCTGCTTAAGCACTGATGGGACCAGCTGGGCCAGCATAAGAAAGTCCAGCATGGGAAAGCAGGATTCTAGTTACAACTATGGAAGAGCATTGAAACCTGTTATTCCCCAACTGAACAACAGGTCCTAGGGGTATAGAAGGGCTTGCAGCACGTTGAATTCATAACTGCTGCTTTACAGTAACTGTGAAAACAGGTCTTCCTATCAAGGACTGGAGAGAAGGGTTGTTTGCCAGGCTTGCCTCAATTATTGCCCATGCCTCCACTTTACAAAACTGGCATGCAAACCTGCAACAATGTAGCAGCCTCTCCATCAGTCCCTTGGGAGAGGAACTGCATGCTCTCTTAGTACCAGTACACTATGAGACCAGTGTGGCCACTATTGTGCAGCCCCCAAAGGGCATGCCTCTGAGGATACATGAAGGCACAGCTCTCATTCCTGAAAATACTGGGCACTCGGATGGGTTTTGCTGAGGTAGCCCTTGTGTATAAATGGCAGTAGCGATACAACTGCAGACAGGTACCATATGGTTTGAGATTGGAAGACAGCAAAATAGCAATGGACAGAACTCCAGGATGCATGGTTAGTTTGTATCCATGAGCCATGGCCTATAGTTCTTGAATAGATAGTTGGGCAGTATTCTTGCAACTTGGCTTGCAGAGTGGGCCCCGGATGACTGGAATGTACTAACAAAACCCCCAGTGGGGAGCTGCCATTTGGAAAGACATCTGGGAAAAGCTACAAGGACCAATTGCAAGCCAATTATGTATCATGTTTCACAACACAGGTCAGATTAATCCGATGGTAACATGGAATCTGATACCCTAGCAAGAATGAGAACACTGGCTCCCTCTCAACCATCTGAGCTAGCTGATTAGACACCCAAACACAGTGAGCATCCTAGTGCGCAAGTGGGCTGGCAGATAGCAAAGGGAGTAGCATTGCCCCTGCGCTATCCAGATTTAGCAGCAGCAGTAACAAACTGCTTAGTTTGCTTCTGCCTGCACCCCTGCCTCATTCTACATGCACCAGGACACATACTTAAGACAGCTGTCCGTGTGAGAGACTGATGGATAGACTACATCAGACACCAGCCAGTAAGCTTGGGAAGACACGACCACAGGTTTATTACAGGCTTTGCCTTGTAAAAGGGCAAACCAACAGCCACCATTAAGGACTTGGAACAACTTCACGTCATGTGTGGATATCTTTGATGCATTGATAGCAATCGAGGCACACATTTCACTAGGCATGATGTCCAAGACTGGGCTCATGAAAAGGACATAAATCGGAGATTTCACTTGCCGTGTAATCCCCATGGAGTAGGGTTACTTGGAAGGAAAAATGGTATTTTGAAAGCACAACTGCAAACACTTCTACAATCCAATACCTGCACATGGAAAGGTGAAAGTTTTGCCCCAGGCCATTAGAAACCTTAATTGGGCTGAAACAAATACAGGGCTGGAACCATACCCAATGACTTGAGAACACCACAATGGAAGATCTATTGACATAGTTGTAAAAAAAGGTTCAACCAGATGCATGTTTACTGGAACTGATAAAAGACCACTGAAAAATGTTATTTGGGGATTCCCCAAGACCTTGAGCCAGGAAAGGGGGCTCTTGTATTGGGGTTGGACTAGCAGCTTTCCCAAGGTTACACAGCGTATTTTTTTTTGCCAGAGAGTGAGGAATTCTGTGGCCAACTAAAGTGGTCTCTGTTGATTGTGTTGGAGTCTGGGCCAAGAAGCTCCACATGCTAATACACTGGAACATGGCTCTTTTTAAAGGGCAATTTCGTCGGCCGTTTAACATAGTCTTTTGCTGTCATTGTGACTTGACAGATATTACTAGCACCTTGTTTGTCAGGCAGCATGCTTAGTATACATCCTTAGCCCATAATCCTTGGACTGCCAATGTCCTAACCAACAAATGAAGCTACCACAGTCATTTTGCTTGAGGGAAAAGACTGCCTTGGCAAGTATCGGCTGAAACACTTGTATTTCTGTCCATAGTTTCCTGTTCCTATTGCTGCTCTGCTTTACTCCTCTTGATTTGGATTCTGAGGAACATGACAGAAAAAGACATTATTAATTTTGTGTCTTATACTTGATATAGATACCATTGTCTTTTGTTTGTATTGTTGCTGCAGCCTTTGCTGACAAGTAGGAAACAAATTGATACAATATGTCACTCAAACCATGGAAATGACTGCAGCATCCCTCCCTCTCTAGAGTCTCAGGGACCACTGTGGAAGAGGTGGACATGTGAGATTGTAAGAGCGGGATTAGATGGATGGAGTGTGGAGAAAAAAGTGACTCCATCTCTCCATCTTGGATGCTAATCTGACATGTTGACTTCTGATTAGCCCCAATTTCATGAGTTTTTCCTGGTTTCTACTTTATTCACTGTACCTAGTGTAAGAACAAAGAAATCGTGATGTTATCACACAAATTATGGGCTATGATGCACATAGTATTCTTGACTGTTCTGGAGGGTTGCCTTTCATTGTCTTGCTAGGGCATGTCTACCCTTTCCCTATGGCATGTAAGCCTGGGGTCTGGTGAGTAATATTGTGGAAATCTACCTGTCTTGCAGCCACCTAAAACCATGCTTCTATCTGTAACTTCCCTCAATTTGTCTGGCTTCTTTTTTGTATTATTATTATTATTATTATTATTGTTATTCTGGTTTCTTGGCCCCTTTGGCATTTGGGGGTTGCTTTGCATACATCTTTTCATGGAACACTGTTTCAGATTAGAAATTACAACACATGGGCAGAGCACAGAAAAGAGAAATATATATATCAGAGAGTATAAGAATAATAGTATTACATTACTCACTCACCCCTCCCTCAAGCCCATGCAGTGCTGAGAGGGATATCCTCCGTGTATGGGAAGGAGATTTTGGTGAGCCCCGGAATTTTTCCCAGACAGCAGCACCAGTCCCACCCTAGTGAACCCCAAGGCTAGACTGTCCTAGGTAGATGCAGACTCCAAGCCAGAATCTACAGACCTACCTTTCAGGGTTGCCCCAGTAGACCCTGTTACCAAACTGGCCCTTGCAAACCTAGGTTCTGGGCCTGCCCCAGTGACAGGCTGAACCCCATGAACCAAGTCTCCAAGCCCACCATGTTAGATTCTGGCTCTAAGCCTGCTGCAGCAGCACACTTGCCACCATGGCTCCAGGATCCAGGTCCAGCTCTGTGAACACAGGCTTTAGGGTTGCCCCTATTAACATGGGCTCCAAGCTGGTCCCTGTAGATCCAGGCTCTAGGACTGCCCCAGTAGTTTCTTTTCTACCTCCCTATTGAGTTTTTCAATGCAGTCATTGTATTCTTTAGCTTTAGGATTTTTGTAAATATTTTTGTATGGTTTTAATTTCATTGTTGAATTTCTCATTTTGTCTATGTATTGTTTTCCTGATATAGTTTAGTTGTCTGTTTTCTCTTGTAGCACACTGAGCTTCTTAAAGATGATTATTTTGAATTCTTGTCAGCAACTTGTAGATCCCCATTTCTTTAGGGTTGGTTACTGGAGCTTTGATATTCTCCTTTTATCGTGTCATTTTCCCTTCTTAAAGATGATTATTTTGAATTCTTTGTCAGGCAACTTGTAGATCTCCATTTCTTTATGCATGGTTTCTGGAGCTTTGATATTTTCCTTTGATGATGTCATTTTCTCCTGATTCTTTGTGAGCCTTGTATTCTTCTACTGGTGTTCACACATTTGAGAACTCAGTCACCTCCTCTAGTTTTTATAGATTGGCTTTGGCAGGGAAAGGCTGCACCAGCCAGCCAGGCACAGAAATCTGGGAGGGCCAGTTGTATCATCTGTGATTTGGCCAGGCCTCCACACTGAGGCAAAGCCAGCTGGCAGAGACACAGAGCTCTGGGTTTAGATGGCATCTGCTGCTACTCCTCTGCGTTTGCGGAACCAGCAGGGTCACTGTAATTGAGATGGGTGGGTAGATGGTGCTCTGTGTTCCAGCTAATCTGCTAAGAGTGACTCCATGATGGAGTGAAGCTTCTGACAGGGTTCCTTAATTAGGCAGAAAAGCTCAGGGAACTCCACAGTGAAGCAAGGCTTTTGCCAGGCTCTGTAGTTAGGAAGACTAACAGAATGCTGGGCGTGATTAAGTGCTTTCCACTGAAATTCATATGTGCCAGTGGCTGAAAGAACTCTCCTATTACTGTTCCTTACTGTTCCCAGGTGATCTAGACATATCAGTTCCTTCAGTGCTTTGGATGAGTTGAGACAGAAATGGGCCTTTCAGGCTATGCTCTGAGATGTCAAGGAAATTGGACATCCACCTTGGTCTCTCTGTACCTTATGGCAGAAATTACAGGTCAAGAGGATCCTTCTTGGCACTGCACTTTGACAACTTAGAGTAGGGGTGATATGGATAAAGTGGGAGTGTTCATTTGATTCTTTTAAATGTGTTTTTATCCTTTTTTTCCTCCATAGTTGTGTACCAACCTTTCTCCTGGTTTTTAGAATTCCCACACAGGCATCCAAATTCATGGATACTTGCTCAATTATTGTTTCTCTTGGAAGAAACCAAATTTGGGTACCTCCTATTCTGCCATCTTGCTAATGTCTCCCGTTATATTTATTTTATGTTACTTTCTTTTAAATTATACTTTAAGTTCTAAGGTACATGTGCACAACATGCAGGTTTGATACATAGGTATACATGTGTCCTGTTGGTTTGCTGCACCCATCAACTTGCCATTTACATTAGGTATTTCTCCTAATGCTATCCCTCCCCCCGGCCCTCCACTCCCTGACAGGCCCCAGTGTGTGATGTTCCCCTCCCTGTGTCCGCGTGATCTCACTGTTCAATTCCCACCTATGAGTGAGAACATGCAATGTTTGGTTTTCTGTCCTTGTGATTGTTTGCTGAGATGATGGTTTCCAGATTCATCCATGTCCCTGCAAAGGACATGAACTCATCCTTTTAATGGCTGCATAGTATTCCATGGTATATATGTACCACATTTTCTTAATCCAGTCTATCATTGATGGACATTTGGGTTGGTTCCAAGTCTTTGCTATTGTGAATAGTGCCGCAATAAACATACGTGTGCATGTGTCTTTATAGTAGCATGATTTATAATCCTTTGGGTATATACCCAGTAATGGGATTGCTGGGTCAAATGGTATTTCTGTTTCTAGATCCTTGAGGAATCTCTACACTGTCTTCCACAATGGTTGAACTAATTTACACTCCTACCAACAGTGTAAAAATGTTCCTATTTCTCCATATCCTCTCCAGCATCTGTTGTTTCCTGACTTTTTAATGATCGCCATTCTAACTGGCGTGAGATGGTATCTCATTGTGGTTTTGATTTGCATTTCTCTGATGACCAGTAATAATGAGCATTTTTTCATATGTCTATTGGCTGCATAAATGTCTTCTTTTGAGAAGTGTCTGTTCATATCCTTTGCCCACTTTTTGATGGTTTTTTTCCTTGTAAATTTGTTTAAGTTCTTTGTAGATTCTGAATATTAGCCCTTTGTCAGATTGGTAGAGTGCAAAAATTTTCTCCCATCCTGCAGGTTGCCTGTTCACTCTGATGATAGTTTATTTTGCTGTGCAGAAGCTCCTTAGTCTAATTAAATCCCGTTTGTCTACTTTGGCTTTTGTTGCCATTGCTTTTGGTGTTTTAGTCATGAAATCCTTGCCCATGCCTATGTACTGAATGGTATTGACTAGGTTTTCTTCTAGGGATTTTATGGTTTTAGGTCTAACACTTATGTATTTAATGCCTCTTGAATTAATTTTTGTATAAGGTGTAAGGAAGGGATCCAGTTTCAACTTTCTACATATGGCTAGCCAGTTTTCCCAGCACCATTTATAAAATAGGGAATCCTATCCCCATTTCTTGTTTTTGTCAGGTTTGTCAAATATCAGATGGCTGTAGATGTGTGATGTTATTTCTGAGGCCTCCGTTCTGTTCCATTGGTCTATATATCTGTTTTTGTATCAGTTCCATGCTGTTTTGGTTACTGTAGCCTTGTAGTATACTTTGAAGTCAGGTAGTGTGATGCCTCCTGCTTTGTTCTATTTGCTTAGGATTGTCTTGGCAATGCAGGCCCTTTTTTGGTTCCATATGAACTTTAAAGTAGTTTTTTCCAGTTCTGTGAAGAAAATCATTGGTAGTTTGATGGAGATGGCATTGAATCTATAAATTACTTTGGGCAGTATGGCCATTTTCACGATATTGATTCTTTCCATCCATGAGCATGAAATGTTCTTCCATTTGTTTGTGTCCTCTTTGATTTTGTTGAGCAGTGATTTGTAGCTCTCCTTGAAGAGGTCCTTCACATTGCTTGGATTTGTAGGTCTTTTATTCTCTTTGAAGCAATTTGTGAATGGGAGTTCACTCATGATTTGGCTCTCTGTTTGTCTGTTATTCGTGTATAAGAATGCTTGTGATTTTTGCACATTGATTTTGCATCCTGAGACTTTGCTGAAGTTGCCTATCAGCTTAAGGAGATTTTGGACTGAGATGATGGGGTTTTCTAGATATACAATCATGTCATCTGCAAACAGGGACAATTTTACTTCCTGTTTTCCTAGTTGAATACCCTTTATTTCTTTCTCTTGCCTGATTGCCCTGGCCAGAACTTCCAACACTGTGTTGAATAGGAGTGGTGAGAGAGGGCATTCCTGTCTTGTGCCAGTTTTCAAAGGGAATGCTTCCAGTTTTTGCCCATTCAGTATGATATTGGCTGTGGGTTTGTCATAAATAGCTTCTTATTATTTTGAGATACATTCCATCAATACCTAGTTTATTGAGAGTTTTTAGCATGAAGCACTGTTGAATTTTGTTGAAGGCCTTTTCTGCATCTATTGAGATTATCATGTGGTTTCTGTTGTTGGTTCTGTTTATGTGATGGATTTTGTTTATTGATTTGAGTATGTTGAACCAGCCTTGCATCTCAGGGATAAAGCCGACTTGATTGTGGTGGATATGCTTTTTGATGTGCTGCTGGATTCGTTTTGCCAGTATTTCATTGAGGATTTTCACATCGATGTTCATTAGGGATATTGGTCTAAAATTCTCTTTTTTTTGTTGTGTCTCTGCCAGGCTTTCGTATCAGGATGATGCTGGCCTCATAAAATGAGTTAGGGAGGATTCCCTCTTTTTCTGTTGATTGGAATAGTTTCAGAAGGAATGGTACCAGCTCCTCCTTGTACCTCTGGTAGAACTGGGCTGTGAATCCTTCTGATCCTGGACTTTTTTTGGTTGGTAGGCTATTAATTATTGCCTCAATTTCAGAGCCTGTTATTGGTCTATTCAGAGATTCAACTTCTTCCTGGTTTAGTCTTGGGAGGGTGTATGTGTCCAGGAATTCATCCATTTCTTCTGGATTTTCTAGTTTGTTTGCGTAGAGGTGTTTATAGTATTCTTTGATGGTAGTTTGTATTTCTGTGGGATCGGTGGCGATATCCCCTTTATCATTTTTATTGCATCTATTTGATTCTTCTCTCTTTTCTTCTTTATTAGTCTTGCTACGGGTCTATCCATTTTGTTGATCTTTTCAAAAAACCAGTTCCTGGATTCATTGATTCTTTGAAGGGTATTTTTGTGTCTCTATCTCCTTCAGTTCTGCTCTGATCTTAGTTATTTCTTGCCTTCTGCTAGCTTTTGAGTGTGTTTGCTTTTGCTTCTCTAGTTTATTAATTGTTATGTTAGGGTGTCAATTTTAAATCCTTCCTGCTTTCTCTTGCGGGCATTTAGTGCTATCAGTTTCCCTGTACACACTGCTTTATGTGTTACATTTAATTAACTCCTTGTTACTCCATAATTCTTTCTAATTCCAATGAGATCATTTTTTATTATGATTTAAAATTATTCTTGGTTTAAAAAATTATTTAATTTTGCATACTATATTTTACCTAGTTACCCTTACTAGATTTTTATTATGATATTGTTAACATTTTAAATTATAAAATATCAATATGCCACTAATCACGATTATTAATCTTTTTTCCTCACTATTTATAGTCACATTTATCCTACATTGCAATTAGCTGTAACATTAAGAACAGTGTTGAGAATTAATTGTTTTTAAGCATACTTTAATTTTTTTATTTGAATGTAATTAAAATATTTTTACTATTTTTATTAGCTATAATGTTTTATTTGGTTTGGGGTATATTTATCCAGAAAATATTTAGAATATTTTACATAATTTTATGTAGCATTTTAGTAACAAAAAAGTGTAAAGCATATCTAAATACTTATATATTTTCTACTTTAATTTGTTGCTGAATTTCCCAATTTGACACATTATCTAGCATCTTTAAATAAATTTTACTTGTTTATATTATTATTATTATCATAGTGACATAGTTTCAAACTGTCACCCAGGCTAGAGTGAATACAGGCTCACTACATCCTCAAACTCCTGGGATCAAATGATTCTTCTGCCTCAGCCTCTCGAGTAACTAGGACTACAAGTGCAGGGCATCATATTTAGGTTTTTTTTTTTATTTTTTAGTAAAGACAAGGTGTTGCTATGTTGCCCAGGCTGGTCTTGAACTCCTGGCCCTCAAGCATTCCTCTCCCAAAAGTGGTGGGATTACATTAATGGAACATACTGCCAGAATATTTTGTAAATATTTAGTATAGGATGTAGCCAACTATATTTATACAAGGGTTTGGGTAACTTTATTGGCTTTTTATGTACAAGTTGTTCAGATTTTCTTATCATGTTTATACTAAGTTTATAAAATGAGTTGCTCAATATGTATATTTTACTATGCACTGAAGTATTTGAGTGAGATATGGAATGCATATACTTCACTGTTTAGAGTGTGTTTTTCTATAAATATATCTTGGATTTGTTCCATTAATCTGATTTTATTTAATGCTGGATAGAAGCACAAAATATTAGTATAAACAAGAAGGGTATATAGAGTAAAAAAATACAATCTTTTATGTATCCAGCTCTCAACTAGAGTAATAATATTAACAATAACCAGGAAGTCTTACTTAACTAGGATTCTCCTTTACCTTACCTTTTTTGTTGTTGTTGTTATAGAAGGTAACAAAAATGGATGAGTCCTTTGAATATTTTTTCTATGCCAACTGTCCCTTTGTCATGTTAAGCTCTGTCAGTAAAGAGCACTGGGGAGTCATCACAAGACTAACAGGTCCTTCTTACCAGCTGGCTAAGCAGGTTCCTGCAGGGCAGACAGCCTCTCCAGTGCAAAACTCCTACAGTATACACAGCCAGCAGCAACCAGAAGTCAGAGGCTTCCCCAGGCTCACTACTCAGGTGATTTTATAGCAGAGAACCTATGATGAAGCTCATCCTCATGAATAAGTTTGCCAGGCACCCTTTAGGGTAGATATCTGACAGCTCTACAACAGTGGCACCACCCCTCTCCTCTTCCATTTAGCAGGACATGGTTGTGCCCTGTCCACTAGGTTCGGAATTTCACTTTAGGATGTCGTGTGTGTGCGTTTGTGTGCACATGCACACACATATGTGTGTAGCGGTCTCCTTGCACCCTCAATCTCAGCCTGAGTGATATAAGCTGCTCTTTATAGCTGCTATTCCTATAACGTTTAGAGTTTTATTTGCTTCTTCCTACCCAATGTTTTCTTTCTTAAACCCTGTTACAGTTAATAATGTTTTATATTTACCTTCACTGTCCAAATTCTGTGTAAATTCTCTTTCCTGATTGGACCCTAACACTATGGATAACTATAATTCATTCAACTTTACAGCCATAGTAGTTCATAATATGACTATTTCATAATGTATTTATTCATTCTCCTGTTGATGAACACTTAGGTTACTATTTTTTTCTATCATAAACAATGCTGCTTGTATACATTTCTGATACAAATGTAAGCATTTTTCTGGAGTATGGAAGTATTCTGGGTTGTAACATATGCATGTTTTCAAAAAGGCAAATTGTTTATCAATATGATATGCACTTCCACTAGTACCATATGAATCTTCTATTGCTTCATATTTTACCGATAGATAGTATTGCCAAATATTTAAAAATTGTCAATTAAATTGCTGCAAAAATGGTATTTCATTGAATTTTTTTTTTTTTTTTTTTTTTTTTTGAGACGGAGTTTCACTCTTTTGCCTAGGCTGGAGTGAAGTGGTAGAATTTTGGCTCACTGCAACCTCCACCCACTGGGTTCAAGCGATTCTGCTACCTCAGCCTCCTTAGCAGCCGGGATTATAGGTGCCTGCCACCACGCCTAGCTAATTTTGTTTTTTTTTTAGTAGAGATGGGGTTTCGCCATGTTGGCCAGGCTGGTCTCAAACTCCTGACCTCAGGTGATCCGCCCACCTTGGCCTCCCAAAGTGCTAGGATTACAAGCGGGAGCCACCGCGCCCAAGCTTCATTGAAATTTTAATTTCAATTTTCATAATAAATGATGGCTATCATTACTTGTGTTTTTTTTTTCTTATAAACAATCTGTTTTTGCATTTTAGATTTTTTTCCAATTGGTCTATTTGCTTATTATTGAACAAATTATTTTTATATCCTGGAATCAATTCATTTTAAGGTATATATGTAATTAATAACTTTCAATCTGTGTTTTTTACTTTCCTTTTAGTGTATTCTAATTAAGAAAAAGCTTAATTTAAAAATCACTGTATTTATGGTTTAATAATGTTAGAAGGATTTTTATATTGTCTTCTAAATGTTTTATCTTTTGTGTTTTAAGCCACATGGACTTATTTTTTTTTCTATGTGCATTGCTTTTAGTTTTTGGCATAAAATGGGAAAAATATTTTATTTTTTTTCATCTTGACAATAATTTTGCCAGCACCAGATAGATACTGGTATTTTTTAATTTGCCAAATGGAAATATAATGAAAGCTCTTTCATAAATAAGATTTTTATGGATTTATGGATATACTCCTGGTTTCTCTTCTTTGTTCTCTGATTAAATCTTTTTGTTAACTTACATTAAAAAAATCCTACTGGAATTTTGACTCAAAGTATAATAAATCTATATAAATAAATTATTGTTTTTATAGCATACTGGATATTTTCAAGTAAATTTTATAGCTGTGTACATCTTTTGTAGGTGGAGACTAACAGTTATTCAAACATTTTTTGTTCCCTGGTTTCCCTAGTATCTTTTAAGGATTATTTGTCATGAAGTTGTCCTCTCATAATTTGACTCCACTATTAACATAGACAAGCTTTTTTTTTATCTCCCCAAGAGTCTTCTCTTAAAACATAGCTTTAACCAAAATAATATCATGTCTACTTTTTACATGCTTGTCCTTGAGGACTTAAACAACATTCTCTCCATAGGTTAAAATAATGAAAAACATATTGTACCCTATTTGCTCTGACTAACACTGCTAGTAGCAGAAGTGTAACAAAAGATCTCTTGGGGAATTTCAGAAAGTTGAAAAGCAGACATTGACGAGTTTTGTGAGGATGTGTTCTAAAATTCTTTTTACCAAAATTGGCCTGGGATTTCATTGCAGTCTCAGTGGGATAATTATTCTCTGTATAATTCTCCACTGACTGAGCTGATCTGGTCCTTTGTATACCAGGTGAAAGGTGAATCTTATATTTGGAGAAAACTCATAATTAGAGAATATTAATTAGACAATAAAAATTAGATGCTAAAAATATTAGAAAAATAATTTGGAACTACTTTTAAAAAATAAATTCAACTATTACATAAATTACTTGGAGGAAATGTAATGTCCTGAGAGACCATCTATAAGACAGACTAATATAAAATTTAAATACAGCAGACCTATAAATATAAATAAATGGCAAAAAAAACCCCACCCATTCTTGTCCTAGGAAAATAAAAATGAAGAATTACAAACCCCTACTGCACCTTTTTGTAAGGCCAATGTAATTCAATATCTGTCTCTGATATAGAGAGATATATTCAAATAAATTCAGTAGATTTATTAAAATATTACAGTAATTTTAGCAATATATTGCAATAGCTCATAAGTAAAACTATATGCATTTTCACTTAGGATATGGAGAATTTAAATAGCCTATCAAAAGGTGAATGCTATGTGGAGTGAACTGTTTTCTTTTTAATATTGTTTTCTATTGTTTTTTTAATTTTGTTTAATTAAAATTGACATCTTCATTTAATATGGTTTGGCTGTGTTCCCACCTAAATCTCATCTTGAATTATAGCTCCCATAATTGCCATGTGTCATAGGAGGGACCCGGTAGAAGGTAATTGAATCATGGGGGTGAGTCTTTCCCATGCTATTCTCATGATAGTGAATAAGTCTCACAAGATATGATGGTTTTATAAAGGGGTGTTTCTTCCCACACTGTCTTTTCCTGTAAGACGTGACTTTGCTCCTCTTTCATCTTCCACGATGATTGTGAGGCTCCTCTAGCCATGTGGAACTGTGAGTTAATTAAACCTCTTTCCTTTATAAATTAACCAGTCTTGAATGTGTCTTTATTAGCAGTGTGAGAATGGACTGACACGTCATTTATTTTAATTAGTTATAAAACATGCTCCTTTTCTGCCAAGATATGAAAGAGTTAAATAACACCTTAAAGCCAGTTATAGTAATACAAATTATTATTTTGATCAAAATCTAAATACATTATTTTTCCAATTTAAATATTGATGTACAAGAGCTCTGTTACACAGTGCATCACATTGATTAGAAAAGCAGGTACCTAAAGAGCTCCTGAAGGAAGCACTAAACATGGACATGAACAACCGGTACCAGCCACTGTAAAAACATGCCAAATTGTAAAGACCATCAAGGCTAGGAAGAAACTGCATCAACTAACGAGCAAAATAACCAGCTAACATCATAATGACAGGACCAAATTCACACATAAAAATATTAACCTTAAATGTAAATGGGCTAAATGCTCCAATTAAAAGGCACAGACTGATAAACTGGATACAGAGTCAAGACCCATCAGTGTGCTATATTCAGGAAGCACATCTCATGTGCAGAGACACACATAGGCTCAAAATAAAGGGATGGAGGAGTATCTACCAAGCAAATGGAAAACAAAACAAAGGCAGGGGTTGCAATCCTAGTCTCTAATAAAACAGACTTTAAACCAACAAAGATCAAAAGAGAAAAAGAAGACCGTTACATAATGATAAAGGGATCAATTCAACAAGAAGAGCTAAACATCCTAAATATATATGCACCCAATAAAGGGGCACCCAGATTCATAAAACAAGTCCTTAGTGACCTACAAAGAGACTTAGACACCCACACAATAATAATGGGAGACTTTAACACCCCACTGTCAGCATTAGACAGATCAACGAGACAGAAAGTTAACAAGGATATCCAGGAATTGAACTCAGCTCTGCACCAAGCATACCTAATAGACATCTACAGAACTCTCCACCCTAAATCAACAGAATATACATTCTTCTCAGCACCGCACCACACTTATTCCAAAATTGACCACTTAGTTGGAAGTAAAGCACTCCTCAGCAAATGTAAAAGAAAAGAAATTATAACAAACTGTCTCTCAGACCACAGTGCAATCAAATTAGAACTCAGGATTAAGAAACTCAGTCAAAACCGCTCAACTACATGGAAACTGAACAACCTACTCCTGAATGACTACTGCGTACATAACGAAATGAAGGCAGAAATAAAGATGTTCTTTGAAACCGATGAGAACAAAGACACAACATACCAGAATCTCTGGGACACATTCAAAGCAGTGTGTAGAGGAAAATGTATAGCACTAAATTCCCCCAAGAGAAAGCGAGAAAGGTCTAAAATTGACACCGTAACATCATAATTAAAAGAACTACAGAAGCAAGAGCAAACACATTCAAAAGCTAGCAGAAGGCAAGAAATAACTAAGATCAGAGCAGAACTGAAGGAAATAGAGACACAAAAAACCCTTCAAAAAATCCATGAATCCAGGAGCTGGTTTTTTCAAAAGATCAACAAAATTGATAGACCACTAGCAAGACTAATAAAGAAGAAAAGAGAGAAGAATCAAATAGACACAACAAAAATGATAAAGGGGATATCACCACCGATCTCACAGAAATACAAACTACCATCAGAGAATACTATAAACACCTCTATGCAAATAAACTAGAAAATCTAGAAGAAATGGATAAATTCCTCAACACATACACCCTCCCAAGACTAAAACAGGAAGAAGTTGAATCTCTGAATAGACCAATAACAGGCTCTGAAATTGAGGCAATAATTAATAGCTTACCAACCAAAAAAAGTCCAGGACCAGATGGATTCACAGCCCAATTCTACCAGAGGTACAAGGAGAAGCTGGTACCATTCCTTCTGAAACTATTCCAACCAATAAAAAAAGAGGGAATCCTCCCTAACTCATTTTACGAGGCCAGCATCATCGTGATACCAAAGCCTGGCAGAGACACAACAAAAAAAGAGAATTTTAGAACAATATCCCTGATGAACATCGATGCAATAATCCTCAATAAAATGCTGGCAAACCGAATCCAGCAGCACATCAAGAAGCTTATCCACCATGATCAAGTGGGCTTCACCCTGGGATACAGGGCTGGTTCAACATACGCAAATCAATAGACGTAATCCAGCATATAAACAGAACCAAAGACAAAAAACATATGATTGTCTCAATAGATCCAGAAAAGACCTTTGAAAAAATTCAGCAACACTTCATGCTAAAATATTATCTCAAAATTATCAAAATTATCAAAAATTATCTCAAAATAATCAGAGCTATCTATGACAAACCCACAGCCAATATCATACTGAATGGGCAAAAACTGCAAGCATTCCCTTTGAAAACTGGCACAAGACAGGAATGCCCTCTCTCACCACTCCTATTCAACATAGTGTTGGAAGTGCTGGCCAGGGCAATCAGGTAGGAGAAGGAAATAAAGGGTATTCAATTAGGAAAAGAGGAAGTCAAATTGTCCCTGTTTGCAGATGACATGATTGTGTATCTAGAAAACCCCATCATCTCAGCCCAAACCTCCTTAAGCTGATAGGCAACTTCAGCAAAGTCTCAGGATATAAAATCAATGTGCAAATATCACAAGCATTCTTATACACGAATAACAGACAAACAGAGAGCCAAATCATGAGTGAACTCCCATTCACAAATGCTTCAAAGAGAGTAAAATACCTAGGAATCCAACTTACAAGGGATGTGAAGGACCTCTTCAAGGAGAACTACAAACCACTGCTCAATGAAATAAAAGAGGATACAAACAAATGGAAGAACATTCCATGCTCGTAGGTAGGAAGAATCAATATCGTGAAAATGGCCATACTACCCAAAGTAATTTATAGATTACATGCCATCCCCATCAAGCTACCAATGATTTTCTTCACAGAATTGGAAAAAACTACTTTAAAGTTCATATGGAACCAAAAAAGAGCCCGCATTGCCAAGTCAGTCCTAAGCCAAAAGAACAAAGCTGGAGGCATCATGCTACCTGACTTCAAACTATACTTCAAGCCTGCAGTAACCAAAACAGCATGGTACTGGTACCAAAACAGAGATATAGATCAGTGGAACAGAACAGAGCCCTCAGAAATAATGCTGCATATCTATAAGTATCTGATCTTTGACAAACCTGAATAAAACAAGCAATGGGGAAAGGATTCCCTATTTAATAAATGGTGCTGGGAAAACTGGCTAGCCATATGTAGAAAGCTGAAACTGGATCCCTTCCTTACACCTTATACAAAAATTAATTCAAGACGGATTGAAGACTTAAATGTTAGACGTAAAACCATAAAAACCCTAGAAGAAAACCTAGGTAATACCATTAAGGACATAGGCATGGACAAGGACTTCATGTCTAAAACACCAAAAGCAATGGCAACAAAAGCCAAAATTGACAAATGGGATCTAATTAAACTAAAGAGCTTCTGCACAGCAAAAGAAACTGCCATCAGAGTGAACAGGCAAACTACAAAATGGGAGAAAATTTTCGCAACCTACTCATCTGACAAAGGGCTAATATCCAGAATCTACAATGAACTCAAACGAATCTACAAGAAAAAAACAAACAGCCCCATCAAAAAGTGGGCGAAGGATATGAACAGACACTTCTCAAAAGAAAACATTTATGTAGCCAAAAGACACATGAAAAAATGCTCATCATCACTGGCCATCAGAGAAATGCAAATCAAAACCACAATGAGATACCATCTCACACCAGTTAGAATGGTGATCATTAAAAAGTCAGGAAACAATAGGTGCTGGAGAGGATGTGGAGAAATAGGAACACTTTTACACTGTTGGTGGGAATGTAAACTAGTTCAACCATTGTGGAGGTCAGTGTGGCGATTCCTCAGGGATCTTGAACTAGAAATACCATTTGACCCAGCAATCCCATTACTGGATATATATCAAAAGGATTATAAATCATGCTGCTATAAAGACACATGCACACGTATGTTTACTGCAGCACTATTCACAATAGCAAAGACTTGGAACCAAGCCAAATGTCCAACAATGATAGACTGGATTAAGAAAATGTGGCATATATACACCATGGAATACTATGCAGCCATAAAAAATGATGAGTTCATGTCCTTTGTAGGGACATGGATGAAGCTGGAAACCATCATTCTCAGCAAACTATCGCAAGGACAAAAAACTAAACACCGCATGTTCTCACTCATAGGTGGGAATTGAACAATGAGAACACATGGACACAGGAAGGGGAACATCACTCACCAGGGCCTGTTGTGGGTTGGGGAGAGGGGGGAGGGACAGCATTAGGAGATATACTAGTGTTAAATGACGAGTTGATGGGTGCAGCACACCAACATGGCACATGTATATGTATGTAACTAACCTGCAAGTTGTGCACATGTACCCGAAACTTAAAGTATAATAAAAAAAAAAAAAAAAAGAAAAGCGGTACCCAACAAGTAACTTAGGGTTATCTGAAACAGTTCATTAATGAAGAATAGAGCATTTCGTTATTAGTGGAATCAAAATTATTTTATATCCTGATCCATGCATTTTGGGTGACCCCTCCCTGCCCTGCCACTCTGTAGGATTTTAATGTTCTCTATTCTATTATTTTTTTTTTCTGATAGTGGAACCTTCATTAAAACATACCCTGGAGATAGGTAATCTTAGTATGTTTTATGTGAACTATTTTAAATCAAGTTGATTTGTATGTCCAGTATAAATTATTCCAGGAATTGAATGTACTATGTCACCTTACAATAAACTTGAAAAAGTGAAGAGAGTTGAAGTGCAAAGGGAGAAAAAGCATTGTAAGTAAAAAGCTAATTTGGTTACTCTAATTGCATAGTAGCTGTAAAACATTAAAAAGTATAATTCTAATCAGTTGCAGAGGTAAGTAAAAACCATAGGAACAAAATCAGACATATGTCAGGCTAGGGACTTAGGAAGTTATTACATGATGTTTGTCTTGTGAAAGCATATATTAAATTAGGTAGATAGAAATTAACTGTAATTTTGTTAGAAAATTTCTTTAGAAACTTATTTTAAATTTAATCTACAATCTCCAAAATATACTACAAGAGTATTCAAATTAATTTGACTTACATAATACTAAAGCAGAAAATTTTTTACATAAGCTAATATGTAACTCAGCTCATTTTAATTGTTATTAGTATTATAAGGAAAGAAGTAATTTCACTTGGTATTACAGGCCAATTTCGTAATTTTTTAACTTTATCAATAACTTCGAAAGCAGTAGCTATCTTTTTTGTGTGTCAACTTTGATACAAATGAGAGTTAAAATTTTAATAAAATATTTGCAGATTTCATTGGGATGTAATTGAAAGATATAACTATAAAAATCAGAGGCAGTAGGTTCAAGTTCTAGTGTGTTTTTTATATGTGCATATTTATTTTTCTAGGTTTATGTGTTTTGATTTCATTTAGAAAAATTCTGGCATTGAAAATACCTGAAAAAAATCACTTTTTATTTTTTCAATGCTGAAAACGTGGCCATCGAAAATTTTCTCTATGAAAATACCCTGAAAACTAAATAAAGTTGATTATATTCAATGGAGGAAGTGATCAATGAATCCTTTTTTTTTTCTTTTTTTGAGACAGAGTCTCACTGTTGCCCAGGCTGGAGTGCAGTAGCACAATCTTGGCTCACTGCAACCTCCGCCTCCCAGGCCCACGCAATTCTCCTGTCTCAGCCTCCTGAGTAGCTGGGATTACAGACCCGTGCCACCACACCTGACTAATTTTTGTACTTTTATTAGAGACAGGGTTTCACCATGTTGGTCAGGCTTGTCTTGAACTCCTGACTTCATGATCTGCCCGCCTCGGCCTCCCAAAGTGCTGGGATTACAGGCGTGAACCACCACGACTGGCCAGTGATCATAATTTCTGTACACATTCCAGAAAACTATAATATCCATATCACTTCCAGGATATCTCTTCTGTGATGTATGATTTGTTATTGCCAGATCAACAATGATTTAGTTGTTTGTTTGGTAAAAATATTTTTCATGGAAAATATTACTAAATTAAAATCTTCTCTCAAATGGGTGTCTACGAAATGTACTATAAAATTTTCATATAAACTGGGCAACAGTGGAGGTTCTTTATCTTTCTGACAAGTAACTAGGAGGTTGGTGAAACTACCTTCTTATTTTTGTACATTAACTCTGCGTTTCCATTTTAGCTTTTAATTTATGTCAGTCCTACAAAAGTCATTACATATTATTCCATTCAACACACTCATCAGTCTAGTCATGAGTGAATTAAGTCACATGTAAAGATTTAATTAAAACTTTATATAAAATTTGGTAAAGTCGTATTCTCTGAGTTGGAGTAAAAAAAAGTAATTGAAATTTTAGTTTAGCACAACTTAAATATTAGTTAGCCAAAGAAGTTACTGTAACTTCACCTGTTACAGTTACCTTCAATTGAACTTTATAAGTATTTACTTAATTCCGACAAGTGTAGAGACCTGACTATTAAACCATGGTACTTGAATTAGAACTATAGTGAAATGGAGGCAAGAGACTTATAAGCAAATACTTTCGACATAATAATTCAAATGAAGATTTCTAGAGGAGATGACACCCACTCAAATCTGGAAGAGTGACGAATACTAAATTTAATACAATTAAGACTTTTTATTATTTCTTATTCATATACCTAATATAATATCGTTCAAATATATTAGGTATTTAATAGGTATTACTTTATTAAAGAAGCAATTTGGGCAGAAGGAACAACCAGAGGAAACAGAAGAATATGAAATAGTGTAATATACACAGTTTTACCAGAAACTTAACATTAATAAATGTTTTATTTGAGATCGAAAGTGATGAAAAATATCCCCTATGTGGAAAATCCTGTCCATCATCATTTTAACTGAATGCAGGGTTGAGCTCAAGCCTTGTAGGCTATGGAAGCCGAAACTACTGAAAACTTTGTGAGTAAGCTCAGTTTCCCAATCAAGAGTTATGGCATTCTTAAGAGTACCCAACAATGAAAGAGAAGACATACCCAGAAAGATTTGTACTTTATTAAAAAGAGCTAATCACATAACCAAAGGAATAATCTAAAATATTTTCAGCGATAAAAGTTTTCTGACCATGAAGAAATAATTTATTAGAGATTTTAGAAATAAAAATTTTAAATTATCAATAATAATAAAACTTCTCAAAAGATAGGCTAAGGGGGGAAACTGATGAATAAATTTTGACCAGAAATATTAGAACACATAATTCTTGGAAAATACAAGTAAAAAGAAAGATAAAAAATATATAAAATAAAAGCTTAATGCCATAGATGAGATTAAGATATTGTTTAAGGATAATTGTATGTGGTGGTGTAATTGTTGAAAATAATGTATGAAATAAATAAAAATATCATTAAATAGAATATTTTACAATTTTGTGAATTATAAAATGTTCAAATGCTGACGCAAAATCTTGACTGCAGTACACTACTATGATGGTTAATTTTGTGTGTCAACTTGGAGAGGGTTTGGGGTGAGACTAACATTTAAATTGATGGATGGACTTAGAGTAAGCAAATTGTCCTATATAGTGTGGGTAGGCTTCTTCCAGTCAAATGAAGGTCTCCCTAAAGCAAAAAGACTGACCTCTCCAGCAAGAGGGAATTCTCCAGCAGATGGCCTTTGCAGTTCATGCGCACCATTGACTCTCCTGCATCTCAAGCCTGCTGGCCCATACTACATATTCAAATTTGCTAGTCTTCATAATCACCTGAGCCAATATCTTATAATAAGCCTTGTCCTATACATGTGCATAACCTATTGCTTCTGTGTCTCTGGAGAACTCTGCCTAATATAATTGCTTAGATCTAAAGTAAATAAATGAATCTAACTTATATCTGAAGAATATAATGTGGATGGAAAGCACTTATTTTAGCTACACTAAAGAGTAAAATTATGTATTGGCTCTGACACTATAATTTTGAATTGCTACTGTTTATTTGCATTCTGAGCTCAAAATATTATTTACTTTGAAATACAATATAAAACTGTCTAAGGTCTAGAATAAATTATTGTAATTATATAATATCATTTAACTACATACTTAAAGGATGAAAAATAATGTTAAGAAAAATAAAAGTTGGATACAGATCATATATATAAAATTTAGACAAAGGTAAAAAATATGCTGCAAAATTTAATTAGAAGAATTTAATTAGAAAATTAAAATATATAACTATTCTTTCAGTCAATACTATGACTAATATTTTAAGATGTAAGCCAAATTTGCAGTGACATAAGTATCATTATTAGTACAAAATCTTCCACTTTCAAGAAAAGAAAGTTAAAGAATTGTTATTTGTGAACAAAAAGTTGTTACATATTGCTAAGGATCAACATGACAACTAGAAAAATCAAGGGGAATATACTAATTATCTTGATAATCTTAACTGTGCTAACAAGCAAAATTAAGATAAAGATAAAAATTCTATTTCTCCACCAAATTCTTTAGAAAGACACAAACATCAAAAGAATTTCATCTTCAAAACATATTTCACTTGCCAGGGAGCTTTGTCTAAGTACTGTTAGTATAATTTCTTGTGTTTTAAATATGAGAGAGAGAGAGAGAGAGAGATTTTTCTGTTTTTAACTTAATCTCAATTTTATATCATATAACCATATTTATTTTAGAAAACTCAAACATTACAGAAGGAAATATTGGCACCTTTGACAACCACCTCCATTATTATTCACCTTTTATTCTCTTGTTTCTGGCATTCATTGTTTTTGTTGAGAGACCTAACTGGATCTAATTATGTCTCTCCTGGGTGTTCTTTCTCTTCTTCCTGGCTACTTTTAACATTTTCTTGTTGCTTTTCATATTTGCAGTTTCACTAAAATGATTCAGGCATGGATTTTTTTAAATGTATTCTGCTTTATATGTTTTATAATTCATATAGTTGAGAATGCATGTCATATCAGCTTTTGTTAAAAATCAATTAATATCTTTTTTCTCATTTGTGATCTTTTATTCTTTATCTTTTCTTTCTGGAATACCAAAGACAGAGATAACTCTTTCCAGAATAAAACTAGTAACTCTTCTTAGATATGTCAGAGAATTGAGGTCATGGGACAAACCACTATCTCCAAAATTTGAGATTATTACAGATAATCACAATTTATGGAAACAAAAGCCTAGAAGCAGAAGCTACCTCTGGAGCCTGTACAGGGATGGGAAAACTTAAACTATAATTTATGAATTGCTAGAGACTCTGTGTAGATCAGTTTAGCAAAAGTTAAAAATCTCCAGAGGGACCCCCCCCCCCCGCCCCACTACTATGAAAATCAACAACTTTGGGAACTTTACCTCCAAGAATCCTACTAGACTCTCACAGTGAAGTAGCCTTTTCAATATACACTCAGAGCAATCTGTTCTCCTCATCAAGATCTTTTCTCAAGGGAAACTATTTTAGCAAAATATAAACAACTATAGTTTTACCACAGCCTCCCTAGTCCTCAGAAAGGGAAGTATTCAATGCTAGCATGTTCTAGCATGGGGTAAGGGAAGTGCCCAATGAAGATTAGAAGATTAGTCTCCTCTAATCTTCTATTTGGGCAAAGAGAAATTTTCAACTCCTGTCTTTCTTAGTCTTACCTATAGAGTGAAAAATAAGAACACTTATGAAGTTAACATGCAAGGAGCACTGGCTCATCAAAAAACTGGTAACTCAACATAAGCTACAGAAATTTTTCACTCTCCACATTTTACCACAACCTTAATGGAGCCCCTGTATAATAAGGGATTACAACTGAAAAAGATGTTTATCTCAAATCTTATTTAAGAAAGAATCTTTAGGGACATCCAAAGACAATATGGGAAAATAAATCAACTTACTAGAGAAAACTTTAATCTATGAGACCTACAGTTACAGTAAACGTTAACAGTCTATTAGATAAACATAAAACCTCATACTATACTTAGGTTTAAATATAATAAAATATCTATAAAAGCTATATGAGGAAAACTACAAGTCTGATGAAAGAAATTAAAGATCTAAGTCAATGGAAAGATATTTCATATGCATGTATATGAAGCAAGTGATTTTGTGAATATCAACAGACTTCAAAGTTAATATGAGAAGGCTAATGATGCAAAATAGCTAACACAATATTGAAGGGGAACAAATTAGAGGACTGACACAATCTGGCTCCTAAAATTAATGTAATAATTTTATAAGATTTGGTTTACAATAACCAAGAAAGTGTGGTTTTGGCAGAAGAAGAGAAAACTAGATCAATGATATATAATAGAGAGCAAAAAATATAGTGAACTGATCTTTAAAAAGGGAGGAAAGGGAATTCAGCGCTGCCCTTTCAACAGAAACAATTGCATCCAAATGAAACAAATTTAGACATAGGCCTTAACCTTTCACAAAAATTAACTCAAAATGGATCATAGAGCTAATGTAAAATACAATATTATAAGCCTCCTAGAAGATAATATAGAAGAATACCTGGTGTTATTGCAGTTAGCAACTGATATTTAGATACAACAACAAAACATGATGCCAGAAAACAACTACAAGTTAGACTCCATTAAAATATATATATTTTTTTCTCTGTGAAAGACACTGGTAAGAGAATGAAAAGACAAACCATAGATTGGATAAATCTATTCAAAGCACATATTTATTAAAGGACTGGTATCCAAAATATACACAAATTCTTAACATAAAATAAAAAACTCATTTAAAATTGTGAAAAATATCTCTAAAGAAGATATATAGATGACAAATAAGCATATGGAAAGATGTTCTGCATTATATGTCATTAAAGCCTCGCAAATTTTAAAAATGAGGTACTACTACACATCTTTTACAATGGCTAAAATCTAAAACACTGACAGTGTCAAATGCTTTTGAGAATGCAGAGCAACAGAAAATGTCACTTATTGCTAGTGGCAATGCAAATGGTACAGCCACTTTGGAAGACAATTGGTAGTTACTTAGAAACTAAAGGATTCCCTGTTTAATAAATGGTGCTGGGAAAACTGGCTAGCCACATGTAGAAAGCTGAAACTGGATCCCTTCCTTACACCTTATACAAAAATTAATTCAAGATGGATTAAAGATTTAAATGTTAGACCTAAAACCATAAAAATCCTAGAAGAAAACCTAGGCAATACCATTCAGGACATAGGCATGGGCAAGGACTTCATGTCTAAAACACCAAAAGCAATGGCAACAAAAGACAAAATTGACAAATGGGATCTAATTAAACTAAAGAGCTTCTGCACAGCAAAAGAAACTACCATCAGAGTGAACAGGCAACCTACAGAATGGGAGAAAATTTTTGCAACCTACTCATCTGACAAAGGGCTAATATCTAGAATCTGCAATGAACTCAAAGAAAAAAACAAACAACCCCATCAACAAGTGGGCGAAGGATATGAACAGACACTTCTCAAAAGAAGACATTTATGCAGCCAAAAAACACATGAAAAAATGCTCACCATCACTGGCCATCAGAGAAATGCAAATCAAAACCACAGTGAGATACCATCTCACACCAGTTAGAATGGTGCTCATTAAAAAGTCAGGAAACAACAGGTGCTGGAGAGGATGTGGAGAAATAGGAACACTATTACACGGTTGGTGGGACTGTAAACCAGTTCAACCATTGTGGAAGTTAGTGTGGCGATTCCTTAGGGGTCTTGAACTAGAAATACCATTTGACCCAGCCATCCCATTACTGGGTATATACCCAAAGGATTATAAATCATGCTGCTATAAAGACACATGCACACGTATGTTTATAGCGGCACTATTCACAATAGCAAAGACTTGGAACCAACCTAAATGTCCAACAACGATAGACTGGATTAAGAAAATGTGGCACACATGCACCATGGAATACTACGCAGCCATAAAAAATGATGAGTTCATGTCCTTTGTAGGGACATGGATGAAACTGGAAACCATCATTCTCAGCAAACTATCACAAGGACAAAAAACCAAACACCGCATGTTCTCACTCATAGGTGGGAATTGAACAATGAGAACACATGGACATAGGAAGGGGAACATCACACACCAGGGCCTGCTGGGGGGTGGGGGGACAGGGGAGGGATAGCATTAGGAGATATACCTAATGCTAAATGACGAGTTAAATGGTGCAGCACACCAACATGGCACATGTATACATATGTAACGAACCTGCACGTTGTGCACATGTACCCTAAAACATAAAGTATAATAAAAAAAAAAGAGAGAGAAAAGAAAAGGAAAGACTAAATAAACACCTCTTGGGCTGTAATTTAAATAAGAATAATATCATGTCCTCTATTTTTGTCCCTGACTAAAACAGAAAAGTTTAGTTATGTCTTAGTTTACTACATTCTATTTCCCTGGTGTTATTTTTAAAATGTGTGGAAGTCTCTACATGTGGAATATGTGGAAGAACTACAAAAAGTTTTTAAAAATAATTGGGTGAATAAAGACTGTATTAGACAACAAGGAAATTTTCAATAATCTCTTTCCATTTGGTTAGGAAACTTCTATCTTCCCCTGGAGTCTACCTAACATTCATTCTTTTTCTTAAATATCTAATGCTAATGAATTCATGGTGACTTCTCATCTATCATTTTTCCTAGCATTTAAGTCTATGATTTTTATTTGAGAAAATGATATTTTTAAAAATTTGGGTGATGGTTCATGCTTCTAATGAAGAAAAATTATATCTAACTGAAAATGTACCAATAATTGAAGCATTAGTCTGTTCAAAGACAGTGGAAGAATTAATCTGAATGCAAGTAAAATACCATGATTTGTACTTTATTGTCTAAACAATAGAGTAGAAAATATGCACTCTATTTTTCCTAAACACTCCTATTTTTAGGAAATTAAATATTTTGCTGTTTATTTACAACTATTGTTTTCTATCTTCTTTTGAAGATAAATCCCTCCTACAAGAAAGAGATAGAAAAAGGTTTTCTTACATCATCACTAACGTGTTAGTAAGATGGTAAGAACTGTGATTATCTGCCTTTTGAGATACTTTTTTTTTTTTTTTTTTTTTTTTTGCTGGGGAGATGGAGGATGAAAGATGAGGAACCAGGAGTTTTGTTTGTTTGTTTCTTTTCTTTTTTTTCTTTTCAGTGTTTCCATGGAAGGCTTTGAAGCTGAATAGGGAAAATTGTTATTTACTTCTCTCGCAACATCTGAAAGTCAGGGGTTTTGTTCTGGTCCAAGGAATATCAGTTACACATTCTATGTACTTTCTACAGCATTTTGTCCCAGTTCCCAGAAAAGCCTGAATTAATATATGTTCCTGAGATTTTACATTTTTACTTTAAAGAGTTTGTTTTGGCAACATAGTAATTACTGTGTTTTTCCACATTTTATTTATACCCTTTTTAGAATTATTATTTTTTACCTAATATTGTACATACCTAAAAATGTTCTTTTATCTAACAGGTAATTGTTTAGTCAGAAAGTTATGTGTATATAGGATTAAAAAATCATAAGGAACATAGAAGAGCTTTTAATGAAAATTATAGGCCTCTTCATCTTCATTACTACTTCTCAAAAGCAAAAACATCTCGCTATTTTTATTTTTGAGTCCTTTTGATATTGTTTTCAATTTTTATGTCCATATTTTGAGTTTAAATAATATGCTTAAACTATTTGATGACAAGTTCTGGTTTCCTGTTCTGATAGGGGAGGGTTAAAATAATCTGATAGATGAAGGTTAACATCACTCAACTCTTCCATACTCTTGTATATAACCATTTTGAAAGCCTCTATTACATCCATAAATTAAGTAGAACTTAACAGCCAGTGTGCCATGAATGGTGTGTAGGCTTTCTGCCCGGTCAGGCCTTGGGTAGCCAGGGTCCACAGAGAGAGTGCCTCCAGCAGTGAATAGCAGCCTCATCCATTAATCCAGTGTTAATGGAATAGATACATTTTTTTATTTTGTAATGTAAAGATGTTTCAAAATACTGCCCTAAATATGGTCCTTAATCAAACACATCGTCTTTTGACTTCCCACTTTATCTTCTCAACTCCTGTCACCTCTGGTTTTACTTTAATGTCGTCAAGGTTGATAATACTTACAAGCGTTTCATAAATATAAGAAAACATGCACTTTTAAAAAATTGAGTCTACAAGTCCAAAATCATTAAATAGTGTTTACATCACTCATAGTATTTCACAGATTTTTTTTCCTGTAGAGGGAAGTATTCTATCAATTTATCATACATCAGGTACAGCCCAGTCTCCTCAACTTAGGTTTTACTTACTGCCTTCCTTTTCATATTGCATTGTCTGGTATTATGTACTTAATTTTTTCCAGCATATTATATGTATTTATAGTCTCTGGGTATAAATATTTCTAGATATGTCACACCTAAAGACAAGTCCCTTCGACATACAGATTTCCTTTCTTCTGGTTATATACCCAGTAATGAGATTACTGGATCATATGGTAGCTCCATTTTTAGTTTTTTCAGGAACCTCCATATTGTTTTCCATAATGTTTATAAGAATTTCCCTTTCTCTGCATCCTTGCCAGCATTTGTTACTTTTTGTCTTTTTGATACTTATCATTCTGATTGGGGTGAGGTGCAATCTCATCATGGTTTTGATTTGCATTATCCTGATGATTAATAATTAGCATTTTTAATATACCTGTTGGTCATTTGTATGTCTTTGTTAGATAATGCCTATTCTGATGATTTGTCATTTAAAAAAAATCACGTTATTTGTTTTTTGCTGTTGAGTTGCTTGAGTTCCTTTTATATTCTGGTTTCTAATCTCTTACCAAATGGATAGTTTGCAAACAATTCCTCCCATTGTGTAGAGTGTCTCTTCACTTTGTTGATTATTTCCTCTATGGTCCAGAAGCTTTTTAGTTTAATATAATTCTCTTTGTCTATTCTTGCTTCAGTTACTTGCGCTTTTACTTGACCAGTTACCTGGCCAAAAAAAATTTTGCCCAGGCCAATGACCTGAAACACTTCTCTAATGGATTCTTTTAGTGGTTTCATAGTTTCAGGTTTTAAATGTCTTTAATCAACTTTGAGCTGATTTTTGTATATGATAAGAGACAGGAGTCTAGTTTTATTGTTCTACATATTAATATCTAGTTTTCCCAGCACCGTTTATAAAAAAAACTGTACTTTCCCCAATGTGTGCTCTTGGTACCTTTGTTAAAAATGAGTTGGCTCTCAATATGTGGAGTTATTTTTGTGTTCCCTATTCTGTTCCATTGATCTGTGTATCTGTTTTTATTCCAGAACCATGCTATTATAGTATGGCTACTATGGCTTTGTTCTGTATTTTGAAGTCAGATAGTGTAATGCCTCCAATTCTGTTCTTTTTGCTCAGGATTGCTTTGGTATTCAAGATCTTCTTTGATAACATACAAATTTGAGGATTTTTTTTATATTTCTGTGAAGAATGCTATTAGTATTTTGACAGGAATTGCAGTGCACATGTAAATTGCTTTGGACATTATGACATTTTACAGTATTAATTATTCCAATTCATAAACATGGGTTATCTTTCCTTTTTCATTCCTCTTCAGTTGTTTTTATCAGTATTTTTATAATTTTCATTGTAGCGATCTTTCACCTCCTCGGATATATTTATAGGTATTTTATTTTTTGTAGCTATTGTAAATGGGATTGCTGCCTTGATTTACATTTAAGATTGTTTGCTGTTGGCATATAGAAATGCTATTAGTTTTTTTATGTTGACTAAATTTATTTATCAGTTCTACTATTTTTTGGTTTATACAGAAAACTTTAAGTTTTCTGTATAAGATCATATTTTCTATAAGCAAGGGCAGTTTGACTTCTTATTTTACAATTTAGATGGTCTTTATTTCTGTCTTTTGCTTAATTTCTCTGGCTAGCACTTTCAGGTTTATGTTGAATAAAAATGGTAAAAGTGGTAAAATCCTTATCTTATTCCCAATCCTAGAGGGGAGGCTTTCAATATTTCCATGTTCCATATTACATTGGCTGTGGGTTTGTGATATATATGACCTTTATTTTTTAAAAAGTATATTCCTTATAAAACCATTTTGTTGATAGTTTTTATCATGAAGGGATGTTTAATTTTATCAATGACTTTTAAATTATTACTGAAAATAATTCTATGGTTTTGTCCTCGATTCCATTAATGTAATGTATCATGGTTATTAATGTGTGTATTTTGAACCATCCTTGCATCCCTGCATTCCTGGAATGAGTATCACTTGGTCATGGTGAGTGATCTCTTCTTTTGGCATGTATCTTTCTTTTGTTGTTGTTGTTGTTCTTTTGTATGATTTGGCTGTCAGAATAATACTGGTCTCATAGAGTGAGTTGGAGGCATTTTCTCCTCTTCAATTTTTTGAAATAGTTTGAGTAGAAATGGTACTAGTTCTTTAAATGTTTGGCAGAATTCAGCAATAAAGCCATCAGGTTCTCAACTTTTTTTTTTTTAATCGGAGACCATTTAATAACTGCTATGATCTTTTAACTCAATATTGTTCTGTTCAGGTTTTCTATTTATTCATGGTTGAATCTTGATAGAAATCAAATTTTGGGTTTTTTGAGGCTTGTTTTATGACCTAACATATAGTCTATCCAGGAGAATGTTCTATGTGCTGATGAAAATAATGTGCATTTTGCAGCAGTTGGGTGAAATGTTCTGTAAATGTCAGTTAGGTCTGTTTGATCCAGAATGTAGTTTAACTCTGATGTTTCTTGATGGATTTGCTACCTAAATGATCTGTCCATTGCTGAAAGTGGGACATTGAAGTTGCTTACTATGACAGTATTGTAGTTTATCTCTCTCTTTAGACTCATTAAAATGTGCTACATATATTTGGGTGTTCCAGTGTTGAGTGAATATATATTTGTAATTGGTGTATTCTTTTGCTGAACTGACCTCTTTATCATAATAACTTAATTTGTTTTTCTTAAGTTTTTGAGTTGAAATCTGTTTTATCTGATATCAGTAGAGCTATTCTTGCTCTTTTTTGTTTACATTGTGTGGAATTTCTTTCTTCATCCCTACACTGTAAGTCTATGTGTGTTATTATAGATAAAGTGAGTTTCTGTTAGATAGCCTACCATGTTCTTTAAAACAGACTTCATACGTGTAAAACATAAGGATTCAGAAGGCTGAAAGTAACAAAAGAAATAATACGTATTATGCAAACACCAATACATTGTGTCAAAGTGAAAGAAAATAAAGTTTATATTAAAAGGCTTTACTAGAATTGAGCAGGGATATTTCCTAATAATTTACTTTTAATTGACTGATAAAAACATCTAGAATTATAGTGAGAAAGTTCAACATAACTTTATCAGTAATTGATTGATCCAGCAAACAAAAAATCAGTAAGCGTATGGAAGATTTGAAAAAAAAAATTAGCAAACCTGAGATAATTTTCATATTTAGAATATTAGCAGCCAAACTATAGAGTTTATTAGTATAAACTATTTTAAAAGAACTTATCTTCATACATAAGTCAAATATCAATGAATTTCAAAACCACATATTATGCATTGTATCATTTCTGACCACAGTAAAATGCAACTAGAAATAAGTTTTAAAAAAAAACTTAAAAAAGCCCATATGTCATTGGCAATTATGAGATACTTTGCCATATAAGCCATTGATTAAAAAATACAAGTAATAATGATAGTTATTTTGAACTGAATGATTAAAAAAAAACCTTGTGGGATATGGCTAAAATAGGGCTTAAAAGGGAATATATAACGTAAAATGTAAAAATTAGAAAAAAATGTATATTAATGACAAGTCTCAAGAAGTTAGAGAATATGACGTTACTCCAGAAATATAAGGGAACGAAAAATTAAAATACAAACAAATATACAAAGTGAAGAGCAAATATGCTTCCTGGGGAAAGAATCTACTACTGAGTCATAGATATTTTCCTTAATGCTAGTAAAGCAGAGCTTTGTTCATAGATAATGCACAATGAGATCTTGCTACGTGCATGAAACAAGTGGCCTTGTTGGCATCTTTTCAACTTCTAGGCACATTATATATAATCCTTTAGAGTTAAACACTGGATTTAATTCCTGCCATGCTAATAATTATCAACTCTTTTTGGTTTTGTGAAAATTACGATTTTTATTTCTTAGTTTTCTCATTAAATAAAGAGACAATATCTACTTCATATAGTTATCTTAGGGGTATGCCATGTGCTTAGCACAATACCTACAGTCCAATGAGCTCTTAAAATACATTATTTTTATTTGTGTATTTATGTAATTTAAAACACTTTCATGGAATTTGAGAAGTCTGTGATTTGACTGTGTCTATTTTGGGGTAACACAAAGAGAAACTCTATGAAACTCTATGAAGCAACTTGTTATCTTCCAAATATGACAGTCTTTTAAATACCTAAGATTTTGCTGGTGCTGCTCTTTTTTCCTTAAATGTTTTTTAATACAATTGACTGTCATCTGCTGCTACAGTATTAAGGCTCAAAAACTATCTCTTGTATGAACTATTTCTGACTAGTTTTTCTAGTTTTATAAGTAAGTTTTCAGTGTACATCTAATGAATGTAAAATTGATGAAATTCTGATGAAGAAAATATGTAATAATAAACACAATCACTAAAACATTACCATTGGCTATTCTCTTTATATAATTGTATGTTCTTATGTGTCATATACTTTCTGCCTTTCAAAGTTCAAATAAACATCTTGTTTAGCTATTGTTAAATATTAAGTTGACATCTTTATTGAGCTGTTCACAATGACACCAGCATTTCTTTGAAATTAAAACAAATTCACAACCCATCAATGTCTGGCAGAAGTTTAATTTGTTTCTTTGGCATTCATTGACTCAATCTTTTCTAGGTTGAATTATATCTTCTGTTGGAATTCTCACTAGGAAGCAACTAAATACACAGTCATATTCAGAATATAAAACTGTTTCTTTAATTCATTCTCACATCTTGCAAATACATGTGATATTGAGGACTGTGCCTAATAACCACTTTATCATGAATGTGTTGTCATATTTAATATTTACTATATAGTCTGTTAAGCGGCGGTGGTCCCCAACCTTTTTGGCACCAGGGATCAATTTCGTGGAAGACAGTTTTTCCATATGTGGGGCAGTGGTGGTGGAGGCTGCTGGGGATGATGGTTTCAGGATGAAACTGTTCCATCTCAGATTATTAGGCATTAGTTAGATTCTCAGAGAGCACCACCTACATCCCTCACATGCAGAGTTCACAATAGGGTACTTGCTCCTATGAGATTCTGAGGCCAAGTTGATCTGACAGGAGGCAGAGCTCAGGTGGTAATGCTCACTCACCCACCACTCACCTCCTGCTGTGCGACCTGGTTGCTAACAGGCCACAGACTGATACTGGTGTGTGGCTCAAGGGTTGGGGACCCCTGCTGTAAAGGATAACCAGATTATTTAAGCAATTGAGAAACAACTCATTAAAAAGTTGATTGATGTTTTTATCTAATCAAAATAAAATGTCATAATAATCATATTATGTGACTATTATGACATTGAGAAAATATCAATGACATCTCATGAATGTACATGTTAAAATCCCTTTGCTTTATCATTGAAACAATATTTAATTCAATAAAAATGAGAGAAAAGTATTTTTAATTTTTAAGCTTTTAATAGTGAATTAAAATTTAGAGCTTTCATTAGTGCCAAAATGTTAATATGGATTTTATTTCCCTTTACTTTTCAACAGAAAATTTTTAATCATCTATTTTACTAAATAGAAGATTAAATAACTCCCACTTCATCAAATATTTGAAGGGAGTTAGGGAGAAAATGGGAGTAGCCAGCTTCTCACAGTAATGGCTATTTGACAGGGTTTCTTTCTCTTGCCTCTAATTGGGAAGATTTTCATAAATCAAATTTGCATCTTAAATGTTTTAATTGTATTGCATTTTTGCAGAAAAAATTACTTGATCAAGCAGGTTAAAGTACTGAATTTCTATAAGTGAATCTCTATTATTGTGCATACATTTCTTCTGTCTCCACAGGCTTATGTTAGCATAGTCCTTGAGGTATTTTCTTAAACAAATTACAAACTTTTTATAGACAGGAGGCATATTATAATACATTTAAAAAATATTAATAGAACAATTTTCAGAGTATTTTTAGAGTTACAGAAAAGTTGAGCAGATGATACAAATAGTTCTGATATACATCTTCCCTGCTTAAAGTTTCCCCCATTACTAACATCTCAAATTAGTGTGGTACATTTTTCACATGTGTGAGCTAACATTGGTACATTGCCAATAACAAGTCTATTGCTTACATTAGGGTTGACTTTTTGTGTTATTCAGTTCTGTGGGTTTTGCAAATGCATAATGTCCTGCACCCTTCACTACAGTATCATAGAGAATAGTTTCACCTCTGTAAAATTCCCTGTGCTTCACCTATTTATCCTTTCCTCTACTTCCCACTTCCTCAAACACCTGCCAACAACTGATCATTTCAATTTTTTTATAGTTTTGCATTTTCATATTGGCCAATTTATTTTAGAAACAAGCCGATGTATATGATCATTTCTCCTAGTATGATTTTCAGTGGAGTACGGCTTTTAAGACATCGGTCCATTTTATGTAAGTTATCCAATTTTTAAGAATACATTTTTTCATAATAGTCTCTTATCACACTTTTAATGCTCATAGAATCAGTACTGATAGCCTCACTTTATTTTACTATATTAAGAATATGTTTTTGTCTCTTGTTTTCTTGCTTAGCTAGACTAGAGGTTAATTTTCTTGATCTCTTCAAAAACCTAGCTTTGTAAATGGATTATTCACCAATCAAAAAACTTAGAGTGGCTGATGGAGTAAATACACACAGAGAAATAAACAAAACAAAATAAAGCAAAAAACAAACAAAAACCAATAAGAACTAGTAATTTGCTGCCTAGAAACGAAGTACTTAAAATTTAAGCACATATAAACTGAAAGTAAAGATACGGAGAAAGATATTTTATTTAAATGGTACCCAAAAGAAAGCAGAGTTGGGTAAACTTATATCAAACAAAATAGACTTTGAGTTAAAAAAAAATCTACATTTAGAAATGAAGTCATTATATAATAACAAAAATGTCAGTTCATGAGGAAGATATAACAAATAGAAAGACATAAACACTCTAAAATAGACACAGAAAGTGTATAGAACATCTATATAGAAAATCAGTGTGGAAACTGGGTTTTAGCAACGCGGTAGATAAAATGACCCTAACAGAAATATTTAGAAATTCTCAACCATGAGTAGAAGAATAGATTTCTTCTCAAATGTGCACATAACATTCTCTAGGGTAGATCACATGTTGGATCATGAAACAAATCTTAACAAATAATTTTAAAAGATTACAATTATTTCAAGTATCTTTTCAAATCTTAATGAATGAAATGACAAATCAATAACAGCTAGAAAATGGAACAACTCACCAGTACATGGAAACTGAATAATACTTTCCTAAATAAACACTGGGTCAAAGAGGAAATCAAGAGGAAATGTTAAAAATATTTAGAGAAAAATAAAAACTAAGATACAACATATCAATATTTAAATGACGTATTAGTAGCAACATTAAGAGGAAATTTTATAGCAATAAATACCTTCGTTTAAATTAAAAAATCTCAAACTGAATTTACACTTCAAGAAGTTAGAAAAAGAACAAACTAAGCCCAGAGGTACCAGACAGAAGAAAATAATAAATATTAGGACAGAAATAAATCAAATAGAGTATAGAGAAACAATGAAAAAAATCAACAAAACTGAGTTGAATTTTTTTTGAAAAAAAAAAAACCAGAATTGACAAATCCTAAACTAGACTAAGAAAATAGAGGACTCAAATAACAAAATAAGAAATAAATAAGAAGACATTATGACAATGCCTCAGATATAAAAAAAATCATAAGAAACTTTTATGAACAACTATACACTAACAAATTGGATAACCCAGAAGAAATGAATAAATTCTTAGAACTATATAACCTATAAATAACAAATAAGGGTATTGTATTAGTAATCAAAAAGTTCCCAAAAATTAAAGCCTAAGATCAGTTAGCTTTATCTGGTGAGTTTTACCAAACATTAAAAAGGAATTAATACCAATCATTACTCAATTCTTCCAAAACAGAAAAGAAGGGAGAGCGTTTCCAAACCCATTTGATGTGACCAGCACCACTCTGTTTCTAAAGCTGGAAAAATACATCACCAGAAAAGCAACTACAGAATAATGTCTCTGGTAAACAATGATGCAAAATTACTCAATAAAATACTAGAATACTGAATTCAACACACATAAAAAAAGAATATACACCGTGGTCAAGTGGGATTTATAAGTGAGATATAAAGTTGGTTCAACACATGTAAATCAGTAAAGGTGATATACCACATTAACAAAATGAAAAATTGAAAAACATATTTTCTTCTTAATAGATGCAAAAAAATCCTGAACAAATTTAACATTCACTAGTGATAAAAACTCTCAACAAAATAGATATAGAAGAAAATTACCTCAGGAGAGTAAAGGCCATTTATAAAAAGCTCACAGACAACATCATAATCAATAATGAAAAACTGAAAGCTTTTCCTACAAGATCCAGTCAGTACAAAGTATATATTAATTCTTCCAATTCATGAGCATGGGATATTGTATATTATATATACATATATGTAATATATTATCAATATTATATATATATATCCCAAAGTGATCTAAAGATTCAACATAATAACTAACAAAATTCTAATGATGTTTTCCACAGAAAAAGGAAAAAAAAATCCTGAAATTTATATGAAACAACAAGACTCCAAATAGCTTTGGCTATTGGAGAAGGAAGAACAAAGCTGGAGACATCACACTTTCTGATTTCAAATTATATGATTTTATTACATGTTTCTATTGATTTTCTGATTTCCCTTTCATAGATTTTTGTCATATTATTTCTAATTCCTTTCTCCTTTCTTGAGTGTAATACTGCTCTATCTCTTGTATGGTAAAATGGAAGCTTAGATAATTGATTTTAGATCTCCTTTTTTTTTCCTTAGTACATGTATTTAATGATTACATTTTCCTTTAAGCACTGCTTTTGCTGCATTCCACAAATTTTGATAAGTTATATTTTAATTTTCTTTTAGCTCAAAATATTTTAAAATTTATCTGGGGACTTCTTTGACCCATGTGTTATTTCAAAGTATGTTATTTAATCTCTATGTATTTGAGGTTTTTCCAGCTATCACTCTGTTATTGATTTCTAGTTTATTTGCACTGTAGTCTAGGACCATAGTTTGTATGACTTTTATTCTTTTAATTTTGTAAAAGTGCCTTTATGGCCCAGAATGCGGCCTATCTTGATGAATATTCCTTGTGGTATTGAGAAGAATGTGTGTTCTACTACTGTTGAATGATTTTGTAAATGTCAATGATATGCAGTTGATTGGTCCTGCTGCTCAGTTCAACTATAGTCATGTGTAACTTAACAATGAGGATACGTTCTGAGAAATGCATCATTAGGTGATTTCATTGTACTGCAAACATCATAGAGTGTACAAACCTAAATGGTATAAAGCCAAGTACATACCTAGGGTATATAATATAGCCTTTTGTGCCTAGGCTACAAACTTGTACAGCTTGTTTGTATGCTGAATACTCTAGGCAATTGTAACACAATTGTACATATGTACCTAAACACATCTAAACATTGAAAAGGTACAATAAAAATATTTTATTATAACATTTAGGGCAACCATAGTATATGCAGATCATCATTGACCGAAACATCATTATCAGCGCACGATTCTGTATCCTTACTGAGTTTTTCCTGCTGATCCTGTCCATTATTGACAGAGGTGTGTTTTATTTTCCAACTATAATAATTTGTCTATTTCTCTTTGCAGTTCTATCAATCAGCTTTGGGTTCACATATTTTGATGCTCTCTTGCTAGGTACATACACTTTAATAATTGTTATGTCTTCTTGGAGAATAAATCTCTTTATCATTACATAATGTCCTGCTTTGTTTCTGATAAGTTTCTTATTTTTATGTCTACTTTTTCTGAAATTAGCGTAGCTATTCTGGCTTTCTTTGGGTTACTGTTAACGTTATCTACCTTTCTCCATTCTTTCACACTTAATCTATCCTTGTTTTTATATTAAAGTGAGTTTCTTACAGACAACATATGGTTGGGTCTTGTTTTTTATTTATTCTCTCAGTCTATGTCTTTTAATTGGTATATTTATACCATTCTTACTTAAAGTGACTATTGATACAGTTAGATTAATATCTACTATGTTTGATATTGTTTTCTACTTGTTGACCTAGTTCTTTGTTTTTTCTTAAATCTTTCCTGTTATTTTGCCCTTTGTGGTTTTAATTGGGCATTTTATATGATTCCATTTCCTCTTCTCTTTTAGCATATCAATTTTATAAATACTTTTTAAAATTTAGTTTGTGCATAAGATTTGCAATACATATTTATAACTAATAAAATTACCTCACAACAGAATATTATTAATCCTCCCATCCCTTATGACATTGCTGTATTTAATTTCACTTATCTGTAAATTTTCATTACTGAATACAGTGTTCATATTACTTCAAACTGCTATCTATTAGATCAATTAAAAATAGAAAGATATTTTCTTTTATTATTTCTTTGTGTAGATTCAATTTCTGTCTAATATCATTTTTATTCTCTCAGAAGAACTTCTTTTAGTGTTTCTTCAAGGAAGGTCTCTTGGCAACAATTTTCCCTAGTTTTGGTTTGGAAAATCTCTATTTTATTTTCATCTATGAAGGATAATTTTATTGACTGGAGATTTCTAGGTAGGAGGGATTTTTTTCCCCAACACTTTAAATATTTCACTCTATCTTCTTGTTTGTATGATTTCGGAAGAGAAGTCTTATGTAATTATTTTCCTTGTTCTTCTGTAGGTAGGTTTTTTATTTCCCTCTTGCTTCCTTCAAAATTGTGTTTTTGTCCTTTTTTTGCAGTTTGGATATGATATGCATATGAAGTTTTTAAAAATTTATTCTGTATTGTATCACCTGAGCTTCCTGAATGTATGGTTTGGTTTCCTACATTAATTGTGAAAATTCTCAGACAATATTTCTTCTCTCTCTTTGCTCTTTCTCCTTCTGTTATTCCCATTATACATATATTACACATTTTGCAATTGGCACACAGTTCTTAAATGATCTTAGTTTTTCTTTTTTCCTTTGCATTTCAGTTTTTGAAGTTTCTATTGACATATTTTCTATGGCACTGATTCTTTGCTTTACTGTATTCAGTAAATTTATAAGCCCATGAAAAGCATTTTTCATTTTGTTACCACGTTTTTTATTTCTAGTGCTTCTATTTGATTCTTACTTTTTGTTTCCATCTCTTTGCTCTAATTACCCATCTGGTCCTGAATGTTGACTACTTCTTTTTCTACTAGTGCTTTTAATATATCAATTATAGTTTAGTTTCTCTGATAATTCCAAAATTTCTACCATATCTGAGTTTAATTTGTTTCTTCATACTGTGCTTTTTCTTGACTTTGAGCAAGTTTTGCATTTTTTAAAATTAAAGTCAGACATGTATCAGATAATATGAACTGAATTAGGCATTTGGGGTGAGATTTTATGTGTATTTATCTAGAAATTAGGCTGTTTTTAATGTTTACTATTGCTATATATGTCATAGGCTTAAAATTCCTCTAGCATCCTTGTTTTGTCTTCTCTGTTTTCTCTAAGTTTCCCTAGAAACTCCTTAAATACAGTCTATGTCTTGCAGCTGTCTCAGTTGTAACCCAGTGTTACTTTATTGATGCCCAATTTATGTGGTAGTAAATTGGGAAGGAGACATGTTCTACAATCTTATGATTTAATCTCCCTTTTTTGGTATGTTAGAGTCCCTGGGCAGTAAGCTTCCAAAAAAAGAATTCTTAGCCTTCTTATTTTCTTCCCTTATGAGAAAACAGAAGGCTAGAGGAGTAGCATTGTCTAATTGTCCTTCCTGTATGTATACTAAGGCTCTAGAAAAGTCGTTTTCTTGGAGGGCAGAACTCTGTTATGACAAACACAATATTTGGGCATATTTCAAAATAGTTGCTTTTCTCCTGGTGTATTTCAAAAGAGTTTTTTTTTCCCCTCCCTTAGCCTGAAAACCAACTTTATTGTTTTCTGTGTGTTCTTCACTTTGAAAACTTGGTAGAGCCTCTGGAGATAAAACTCATGAGAATATGAGTACTTACCTAAGTTGCAGCACTATGGAATTTTTAACTCTCCAACACTTCACACTCACCTCCACCAATTTTTCAATGACATTTAAGTATTTCGACTAGTTTTGCTAGCAGAAGCATACCACACAGATATTGTGAGTTGAGTTCCAGACCACCACAATAAATCGAATATTTCAAAAAAGTAGCCACACAAACTTTTTGGTTTCCCAATGTATATAAATGTTTATACTACTGTCTATTAAGTTTGCGATAACATAATGTCTAAAACATAATGTATATTCATTAGTTAAAAAAAAATTGCTAAAAATGCTAAGAATCATCAGAGCCTCCAGCAAATCATATATATAAATATATATACATATATAAATGTATATAGATATATATAAATGTATATAAATAGATATATAAATATATATGTATATAAATATATATAAATATGTATATAAATATATTTATAAATATATATATTTGGTAGCAGATAGTTTTATTTTGATGTTGATGGCTGCTGACTGAACAGAGTGGTGGTTGCTGAACCTTTGGGTAGCTGTGGCAATTTCTTAAAATGAGACAACAATGAAGTTTGCTGTATTGATTGTCTCTTTTTTTATTTCTCTGTAGCATGCAATGGTGTTTGGTAGTCTTTTACTCACAGTAGGACTGCTTTCCAAATGGGAGTTGATTTTCTTCAATCTTGCTGCTACTTTATCAATCAAGCTTATGTAACATTCTTAACTATGTCTTGTCATTTCAACAGTTTTCACAGCATCTTCATCAGCAGTAGCTTCTATCTCAACAACCCACTTTTCTTTGCTCATCTTTAAGTAGCAATTGCTCATCCATTAACACGTTCTTATGTGATCTCAGCAATTTAGCAAACAGCTTCAGGCTCCAATTTTTATTGTAGTTCTCTTGCTATTCTTATTGCATCTGTAGTTCCTTAATCCACTGAAGAATTGCAACCACCACATTCATTCCAGGAGGTTGGATTCAGCTTCTTCCAACCTCCTGTTAACATTGATATTTCTACCTCATTTCATGAATCACAGATCTTCTTAATGCCATCTAGGCTGATGCATCCTTTCCAGAAGACTTTATGTTTACTTTGTCTAGATCCATTAGAGGAATCACTATTTATGGCAGCTATAGCCTTACAAACATATTTCTTAAATAATAAGACTTGAAAGTCAAAATTATTTATTTTTGAGACAGAGTCTTACTCTGATGCCCAGGCTGGAGTGCAATGGCATGATCTTGGCTCACTGCAACCTCTGCCTCCCAGGTTTAAGTGACTTTCCTGCCTCAACCTCCTGAGCAGCTGGTATTACAGGCACCTGACACTACGCCCAGCTAATTTTTGTATTTTTAGTAGAGATGGGGTTTCACCATAATGGCCAGGCTGGTCTTGAACTCCTGACCTCAGGTGATCCACCCACCTCGGCCTCCCAAAGTGCTGAGTGTGAACCACTGCACCTGGTCAAGATTATTTCTTGAGCCATGGGCTACCAAATAGATGTTGTGTTAGCAGGCATAAAAATAACATAGATCTTCTGGTACAGTTCCATCAGAGCTCTTGAGTGATTATATGCTTTGTCAATGAGCAGTAATATTTTGAAAGGAATATTTTTCTGAGCAGTATGTCTCAATGATGAATTTAAAACATTCAGTTAACCATGCTAAACATATACATATGCTCATATCCATGCTTTCTTGTTCCATTCATTTATAGAGCACAAACAAAAAAATAACATAACATAATTCTTAAGGGGCCTAGGATTTTTGGAATGGCAAAGGGTCATTGGTTTCAACTTAAGTCACAGCTACATTAGTCACTAACAAGAGATTCAGCTTGATTTTTAAAGCTTTGAAGCTATCATTGATTTCTCATCCTCAGCTCTAAAAGTCCTAGATTGCATCTTTTTCCAATATTAGGCTACTTCCTTTACATTTAATATCTTTTATTTAGTATAGCCATCTTTATCAATAACCTTACCTAGATATTCTGGATAACCTGCTGTATCTTCTACATCAGCATCTGCTGCTTCACTTTGTACTTTTATGTTATAGAGATGGCTTTAAAGGAGTTAGTTAGCTTGCTTTAGGCCTACAGTAAGGGAAAGGTCCCTGAGAACCTCTGACCCACCAGACAAGTGCTTATAGCAGATATTTTGTACAGGTAAGGGAACTTGCACAGGAGCCTTGCCTAAAAATGCCCATATTGAAACATTTTGTTTCTTCACACATACAGAGTAAAGGAAATAAATCAGCGTGGAGCAGCTCAGTCTAAGGGCCCACATGCACACTGGAAGGATGGGGTGGAGCCACTAGGAATTTGTGCCTTAAACCCTAGCATTCAACTATGAAGGGGGGCAACCAGAAACCTACTTTCAAGACCCTCTCTTTGCTTGAGAGCTTCCTTTTGCTTAATAAATTATATTCCACTCACCCTCTGGTGTCCATGCACCTAATTTTTCCTGGTCATGAGACAAGAACCCAGACCTAGCTGAGCTAAGGAGAAGAAATCCTACATCAGCTTCTTTCTTTAAACCTCATGAACCAACCTCAGCTAGCTACCAACTTTCCTTCTGCTGATGGCTCACCATTCTTGGGCTTCTAGAATTAAAGAGAGTTAGGGCATTTCTCCGGATTAGGCTTTGGTTTAAAGGAATGTGGTGGTTGGTTTGATCTTCTATCCAGGCCACTCAGTTTTTTCTCCATTTCCACAATAGGACTGTTTGCTTTCTTGTCATTTGTGTGTGTTCACTGGAATCTCACTTTTAATTTCCTTCAAGAACTTTTCCTTTGCATTTGCAGCTTAGCTAACCATTTTGCACAAGAGGCCTAACTTTTGGCCTATCTTGGCTTTCAACATGTCTTCCTCACTAAGCTTAATAATTTCTAGCTTTTGAGTTAAAGTGAGATCTGTGACTCTCTTTTTTTTACTTGAACACCAAAAAATCATTGAAGAGTTATCAATTGGCCATTTTTAAATGTTAATTTTTAATTTTTGTGGGTGCATAGTAGTGTATATATTTATAGGGTACATGAGATATTTTGATACAAGCATGCAATGTGTAATAATCATATTAGGGTAAATGGGGTATCCATCATGTCAAGCTTTTATTCTTTATGTTACAAATAATCCTATTACACTCGTTTAGTTATTTTAAAATGTATAATTAAATTGTTATTGACTATAGTCACCCTGCTGTGCTATCAAATACTAGTTCTTATTCTTTCTTTCTAAGTATTTTTGTACCCATTAACTATCCCCACTTTTCTTCCACTGCTCCCCTCAACTACCCTTCTCAGCCTGTGGTAGCCTTCCTTCTACTCTCTATTTTCATGAGTTCCATTGTTTTCTTTTAGCTTCCACAAATAAGTAAGAACTTGCAAAGTTTGTCTTTCTGTGCCTGGTTTATTTCACTAAACATAATGATCTCCAACTCCATCTACATTGTTGCAAATAACAGGATCTCATACTTTTTTATGGCTAAATAGTACTTAATTGTGTATAAGTACTAAATTCTCCTGTTCATTGAGATTCATTTGTTCATGGACACTTAGGTTGCTTCCAAATCTTCACTATTGTGAATAGTGCTGCAGTAAACATGGGAGTGTAGTTATCTCTCTGATAGACTGATTTCTGTTCTTTTGGGTATATACTCAGCAGTGTGATTCCTGGGTAACATGGTAGCTCTAATTTTAGTTTTTTTGAGAAACCTCCAAACTGTTCTCCATAGTGGTTGTACTAATTTACATTTCCACCAACAATATATGAGGGTTCCCTTTCCTCCACATCCTCACTAGTATTTCTTGTTGCCTGTCTTTTGGATAAAAGTCAGTTGACTTATTTTAATATTGTTGTGTCTCACGGAATAGGGAAGCCCAATGAGAAGCAGAGAGACAAGGGAATGACCAATTGGTGGAACAATCAGAACACAAAAATATTTATCAATTAAAGTATTTGTCTTACTTGGTGATTACAGTTGAAATATTAACATCAAAAATCACTGATTACAGATCACCACAACAGATAATAATAATAGTTTGAAATAATGTGAGAATTACCAAAATATGACAAAAAGATACAGTGAGCACATGTTGGAAAAATTGCACCAATAGACTTGCTTGACTCAGGCAGAATACCTACAAACTTTTTTTTTTTTTTGAGACAGAGTCTCACTCTGCTGCCCAGGCTGGAGTGTAGTGGTGCGATCTCGGCTTACCGCAAGCTCCGCCTCCCAGGTTCACACCATTCTCCTGCCTCAGCCTCCCAAATAGCTGGAACTACAGGCATGCGCCACCTCGCCTGGCTAATTTTTTGTATTTTTAGTAGAGACGGGGTTTCACGGTGTTAGCCAGGATAGTCTCCATCTCCTGACCTTGTGATCCGCCCGCCTTGGCCTCCCAAAGTGCTGGGATAACAGGCGTGAGCCACTGCGCCCGGCCACACAAACTTTTAATTTGTAAAAAGCACAGTATCTGCAACACACAATAATGTGAAGTGCAATAAAATGAGGTGTGCCTGTAGTTACTGTCTCTAGCAGCTTCTGCTCTTGGTAATTTGTAATTGTCTTTTTTGCCTATCTGCAGTTTTTCAGAATTGGTTTGCCCAAACTTTGATGATTTAATGTATCTGAGAATTGCTGATGTTGAATTTTTTTCATTTTTTCAGCTTTTTTCTTGTTGTGGGTTGAGAGTGATGACTTCCAAACTCTCTAGCTGTCAAAGAGGAAACCGGACATTTCTATAACACATTTTGAAAGGAAATAACTGCCCTTTGAAATTCTATAATATATGGAAAGAATGATATTTCAATATCTAAAAATAGAAAAGTTAGAAGTAACATTATGCTAAAAGGCATATTCTTGTTTCAGGACACTTACATAGCATGTTAGATACATGTTCAAAAACTAGGATAAATTCAACTAGTGAACAACATATAGACTTGAACCCAGAGTTTATCAACCTTTCAAATATATGGCAGCAGGACACCAAAATAAGTACAGTGGTTTCAATTGCCTACATAGTCCTTACCAACCGATAGCATGCTCAGCTTCTAGAAATCAAAATATTGCTAAATTCTACTTTAGTCAGATAATATGTGCAACAGCCTGAATGTTTTACTTTTCTCAAAATTCACATGTTGAAATACTAACCCTCAAGGTGATGGCATTAGGAAGTGGGCCTTTTGGGAGGTGATTTGATGATAAAAGTAGAGCCATTATGAATGGGATTAGTGCCTTTATAAAGAGGTCTGAGGAAACATGCAATCCTAATTCACCATTTGAGGACATAGGAAGATGGTGCAATCTATGAGAAAGCAGGCCCTTACCAGACACCAAATCTGTCAGCACCTTAAACTGGAACTTTCCAGCCTCCAAAACTGTGAAGTATAGGTTTGTTTATAACCTGTCTACTTTACGGTATTATTCTTCTAGTAGCCCAAGTGGACTAAGATGATATAGAAAATTTCCATTTAAATTTAAGCATTTTATTCTATAGTCATATTGAAAAACAACTTTATTGATTCGATAAATTTAAAAAATTCAATTCCCTTTTCTGAAGACAGCCATTATTAATCCATATATCTTATTTCTGTCAAGATAGATATTATATATTATTTGTAGTGTAAAGAAAATGATTGTGGTGTGGGTTAAGGAGGACTTGTCTGAATCTCAATTTGGTTGTTATTTACCTATAAGGTATTAGGCAAATTGCTTAACTTTTTGGATTTTTGGTTTCTATTCTGTAACATAATGGATGTTGCAATAAAGAGGGTAGGTTAGATGACACCTAAGTTTATTTCTAATGTCAATAATTTATAATATTTATCTCCTTTTATTTACATCTTTTTAAATCAAGCAACCTGAACATTTACTTATTTTTTTGAAATAACAATCAATGAGCAAAGTGCTAAGTGAACATGAACTGGAGCAATGAAAGCCTACATTATTGTGTTGAACACTTATTTTTATTGTACATTTGAATTTTAAGATTTAAATAAAAATAAGGGTATATTATCAACAATGATTAAATATCTATTTCTTAACATAATATCTATTTTAAATTATAAAAATACATATCATTTACTAAGAAAGACATTAATTTTGGGAGAAAGATTAATTCCTTAAAAGGTCCTCTATATTTCAGAGCATAAAGTAATTTATAATTGAGTTATTTTTCATTTGGCATTTGATGAAATTATGAACATAGTGACCCAAAGATGTGGGTCAAAACCATTTGCGAGCATTTTTGAAGAAAGGGAGATACTTGTGCTCACAGTTAAAACTATTTTAAAGCTAATAGGAAATTGTACAAATTTTATGTCAAAATATACAATTAAATCAATGATGAAAGTGGGGTTTTATAGAGTAAGTATATTGCCCAGGGTGAGATCTCATTTTGTATGAGTAAATCTCTTAGACCACTTTTAAAACAGCAAAGAAGGGAAATGGAGCTCAGGGAAAAGCAGTGTCTCTGGATGGAAAAGAGAGAAAATGAAGATTGAGGCTGCTAGGATGGCTAAATCCCCATACAACTGCATAGGAGTTTACCCAGTCCTTGGCTAAATTCCAAACTGAACAAATCCAGGAAATCATTCTTTGAGAGATATCATGAGCATTTTGTGGCAATCTGAAAGTTGAACAGAGAATTCCAAGGGAAACCATGGAGTTCCACCCTATCCAAGATAGATTGAACTTCAAGAAAAATATTCAGTGAGATGCCAGAAAAGCCCAGGCTTATGCATTAGGGATAACGTGTATGCTGTACGACAAAGAGAAAAACTGAGATAGGCATCACCGTAACATTTTTAAAATAAAGTCTGGTAAGATAAATGCTAACTTTCCGTAAATGGACTGCCTGTAGGATCAAAACTCAAAGCTATTTAAAACAAAATATCATCCAGAGTCTCAAAAATGTATTACCCATGAGGCTTAGAATATAAACAAATTGAGGGAGGAGCCAAGATGGCCGAATAGGAACAGCTCCGGTCTACAGCTCCCAGCGTGAGCGACGCAGAAGACGGGTGATTTCTGCATTTCCATCTGAGGTACCGGGTTCATCTCACTAGGGAGTGCCAGGCAGTGGGTGCGCGAGCCGAAGCAGGGCGAGGCATTGCCTCACCTGGGAAGCGCAAGGGGTCAGGGAGTTCCCTTTCCGAGTCAAAGAAAGGGGTGACAGACGCACCTGGAAATCGGTTCACTCCCACCCGAATATTGCGCTTTTCAGGCCGGCTTAAAAAACGGCGCACCACTAGACTATATCCCACACCTGGCTCGGAGGGTCCTACGCCCACGGAGTCTCGCTGATTGTTAGCACAGCAGTCTGAGATCAAACTGCAAGGGGGCAGTGAGGCTGGGGGAGGGGCGCCCACCATTGCCCAGGCTTGCTGAGGTAAACAAAGCAGCCAGGAAGCTCGAACTGGGTAGAGCCCACCACAGCTCAAGGAGGCCTGCCTGCCACTGTAGGCTCCACCTCTGGGGGCAGGGCACAGACAAACAAAAAGACAGTAGTAACCTCTGCAGACTTAAATGTACCTGTCTGACAGCTTTGAAGAGAGCAGTGGTTCTCCCAGCACGCAGCTGGAAATCTGAGAACCGGCAGACTGCCTCCTCAAGTGGGTCCCTGACCCCTGACCCCCGAGCAGCCTAACTGGGAGGCACCCCCCAGCAGGGGCACACTGACACCTCACACGGCAGGGTATTCCAACAGACCTGCAGCTGAGGGTCCTGTCTGTTAGAAGGAAAACTAACAAACAGAAAGGACATCCACACCGAAAACCCATCTGTACATCACCATCATCAAAGACCAAAAGTAGATAAAACCATAAAGATGGGGAAAAAACAGAACAGAAAAACTGGAAACTCTAAAACGCAGAGCGTCTCTCCTCCTCCAAAGGAACGCAGTTCCTCACCGGCAACGGAACAAAGCTGGATGGAGAATGACTTTGACGAGCTGAGAGAAGAAGGCTTCAGACGATCAAATTACTCTGAGCTACGGGAGGACATTCAAACCAAAGGCAAAGAAGTTGAAAACTGAAAAAAATTTAGAAGAATGTATAACTAGAATAACCAATACAGAGAAGTGCTTAAAGGAGCTGATGGAGCTGAAAACCAAGGCTCGAGAACTACGTGAAGAATGCAGAAGCCTCAGGAGCCGATGTGATCAACTGGAAGAAAGGGTATCAGCAATGGAAGATGAAATGAATGAAATGAAGCAAGAAGGGAAGTTTAGAGAAAAAAGAATAAAAAGAAATGAGCAAAGCCTCCAAGAAATATGGGACTATGTGAAAAGACCAAATCTACGTCTGATTGGTGTACCTGAAAGTGATGGGGAGAATGGAACCAAGTTGGAAAACACTCTGCAGGATATTATCTAGGAGAACTTCCCCAATCTAGCAAGGCAGGCCAACGTTCAGATTCAGGAAATACAGAGAATGCCACAAAGATACTCCTCCAGAAGAGCAACTCCAAGACACATAATTGTCAGATTCACCAAAGTTGAAATGAAGGAAAAAATGTTAAGGGAAGCCAGAGAGAAAGGTCGGGTTACCCTCAAAGGGAAGCCCATCAGACTAACAGCGGATCTCTCAGCAGAAACCCTACAAGCCAGAAGAGAGTGGGGGCCAATATTCAACATTCTTAAAGAAAAGAATTTTCAACCCAGAATTTCATATCCAGCCAAACTAAGCTTCATAAGTGAAGGAGAAATAAAATACTTTACAGACAAGCAAATGCTGAGAGATTTTGTCACCACCAGGCCTCCCCTAAAAGAGCTCCTGAAGGAAGCGCTAAACATGGAAAGGAACAACCAGTACCAGCCACTGCAAAATCATGCCAAAGTGTAAAGACCATCGAGACTAGGAAGAAACTGCATCAACTAATGAGCAAAATCACCAGCTAACATCATAATGAAAGGATCAAATTCACACATAACAATATTAACTTTAAATGTAAATGGACTAAATCCTCCAATTAAAAGACACAGACTGGCAAATTGGATAAAGAGTCAAGATCCATCAGTGTGCTGTATTCAGGAAACCCATCTCACGTGCAGAGACACACATAGGCTCAAAATAAAAGGATGGAGGAAGATCTACCAAGAAAATGGAAAACAAAAAAAGGCAGGGGTTGCAATCCTAGTCTCTGATAAAACAGACTTTAAACCAACAAAGATCAAAAGAGACAAAGAAGGCCATTACATAATGGTAAAGGGATCAATTCAACAAGAAGAGCTAACTATCCTAAATATATATGCACCCAATACAGGAGCACCCAGATTCATAAAGCAAGTCCTGAGTGACCTACAAAGAGACTTAGACACCCACACAATAATAATGGGAGACTTTAACACCCCACTGTCAGCATTAGACAGATCAACGAGACAGAAAGTCAACAAGGATACCCAGGAATTGAACTCAGCTCTGCACCAAGCGGACCTAATAGACATCTACAGAAGTCTCCACCCCAAATCAACAGAATATACATTTTTTTCAGCACCACACCACACCTATTCCAAAATTGACCACATAGTTGGAAGTAAAGCTCTCCTCAGCAAATGTAAAAGAACAGAAATTATAACAAACTATCTCTCAGACCACAGTGCAATCAAACTAGAACTCAGGATTAAGAATCCCACTCAAAGCCGCTGAACTACATGGAAACTCAACAACCTGCTCCTGAATGACTACTGGGTACATAATGAAATGAAGGCAGAAATAAAGATGTTCTTTGAAACCAACGAGAACAAAGACACAACATACCAGAATCTCTGGGTCACATTCAAAGCAGTGTGTAGAGGGAAATTTATAGCACTAAATGCCCACAAGAGAAAGCAGGAAAGATCCAAAATTGACACCCTAACATCACAATTAAAAGAACTAGAAAAGCAAGAGCAAACACATTCAAAAGCTAGCAGAAGGCAAGAAATAACTAAAATCAGAGCAGAACTGAAGGAAATAGGGACACAAAAAACCCTTCAAAAAATCAATGAATCCAGGAGCTGGTTTTTTGAAAGGATCAACAAAATTGATAGACCGCTAGCAAGACTAATAAAGAAAAAAAGAGAGAAGAATCAAATAGACACAATAAAAAATGATAAAGGGGATATCACCACTGATCCCACAGAAATACAAACTACCATCAGAGAATACTGCAAACACCTCTATGCAAATAAACTAGAAAATCTAGAAGAAATGGATAAATCCCTCGACACATACACTCTCCCAAGACTAAACCAGGAAGAAGTTGAATCTCTGAATAGACCAATAACAGGAGCTGAAATTGTGGCAATAATCAATAGTTTACCAACCAAAAAGAGTCCAGGACCAGATGGATTCACAGCCGAATTCTACCAGAGGCACAAGGAGGAACTGGTACCATTCCTTCTGAAACTATTCCAATCAATAGAAAAAGAGGGAATCCTCCCTAACTCATTTTATGAGGCCAGCATCATTCTGATACCAAAGCCGGGCAGAGACACAACAAAAAAAGAGAATTTTAGACCAATATCCTTCATGAACATTGATGCAAAAATCCTCAATAAAATACTGGCAAACCGAATCCAGCAGCACATCAAAAAGCTTATCCACCATGGTCAAGTGGGCTTCATCCCTGGGATGCAAGGCTGGTTCAATATAAACAAATCAATAAATGTAATCCAGCATATAAACAGAGCCAAAGACAAAAACCACATGATTATCTCAATAGATGCAGAAAAAGCCTTTGACAAGATTCAACAACCCTTCATGCTAAAAACTCTCAATAAATTAGGTATTGATGGGACGTATTTCAAAATAATAAGAGCTATCTATGACAAACCCACAGCCAATATCATACTGAATGGGCAAAAACTGGAAGCATTCCCTTTGAAAACTGGCACAAGACAGGGATGCCCTCTCTCACCACTCCTATTCAACAGAGTGTTGGAAGTTCTGGCCAGGGCAATTAGGCAGGAGGAGGAAATAAAGGGTATTCAATTAGGAAAAGAGGAAGTCAAATTGTCCCTGTTTGCAGACGACATGATTGTATATCTAGAAAACCCCATTGTCTCAGCCCAAAATCTCCTTAAGCTGATAAGCAACTTCAGCAAAGTCTCAGGATACAAAATCAATGTACAAAAATCACAAGCATTCTTATACAGCAACAACAGACAAACAGAGAGCCAAATCATGAGTGAACTCCCATTCACAATTGCTTCAAAGAGAATAAAATACCTAGGAATCCAACTTACAAGGGATGTGAAGGACCTCTTCAAGGAGAACTACAAACCACTGCTCAATGAAATAAAAGAGGATACAAACAAATGGAAGAACATTCCATGCTCATGGGTAGGAAGAATCAATATAGTGAAAATGGCCATACTGCCCAAGGTAATTTACAGATTCAATGCCATCCCCATCAAGCTACCAATGACTTTCTTCACAGAATTGGAAAAAACTACTTTAAAGTTCATATAGAACCAAAAAAGAGCCCACATCGCCAAGGCAATCCTAAGCCAAAAGAACAAAGCTGGAGGCATCACACTACCTGACTTCAAACTATACTACAAGGCTACAGTAACCAAAACAGCATGGTACTGGTACCAAAACAGAGATATAGATCAATGGAACAGAACAGAGCCCTCAGAAATAATGCCGCTTATCTACAACTATCTGATCTTTGACAAACCTGAGAAAAACAAGCAATGGGGAAAGGATTCCCTATTTAATAAATGGTGCTGGGAAAACTGGCTAGCCATATGTAGAAAGCTGAAACTGGATCCCTTCCTTACACCTTATACAAAAATCAATTCAAGGTGGATTAAAGACTTAAACATTAGACCTAAAACCATAAAAACCGTAGAAGAAAACCTATGCATTACCATTCAGGACATAGGCATGGGCAAGGACTTCATGTCCAAAACATCAAAAGCAATGGCAACAAAAGCCAAAATTGACAAATGGGATCTCATTAAACTAAAGAGCTTCTGCACAGCAAAAGAAACTACCATCAGAGTGAACAGGCAACCTACAAAATGGGAGAAAATTTTCACAACCTACTCATCTGACAAAGGGCTAATATCCAGAATCTACAATGAACTCAAACAAATTTACAAGAAAAAAACAAACAACCCCATCAAAAAGTTGGTGAAGGACATGAACAGACACTTTTCAAAAGAAGACATTTATGCAGCCAAAAAACACATGAAAAAATGCTCATCATCACTGGCCATCAGAGAAATGCAAATCAAAACCACAATGAGATACCATCTCACACCAGTTAGAATGGCAATGATTAAAAAGTCAGGAAACAACAGGTGCTGGAGAGGATGTGGAGAAATAGGAACACTTTTACACTGTTGGTGGGGCTGTAAACTAGTTCAACCATTGTGGAAGTCAGTGTGGCGATTCCTCAGGGATTTAGAACTAGAAATACCATTTGACCCAGCCATTACTGGGTATATACCCAAAGGACTATAAATCATGCTGCTATAAAGACACATGCACACGTATGTTTATTGCGGCATTAGTCACAATAGCAAAGACTTGGAACCAACCCAAATGTCCAACAATGATAGACTGGATTAAGAAAATGTGGCACATATACACCATGGAATACTATGCAGCCATAAAAAATGATGAGTTCATGTCCTTTGTAGGGTCATGGATGAAATTGGAAATCATCATTCTCAGTAAACTATCGCAAGAACAAAAAACCAAACACCACATATTCTCATTCATAGGTGGGAATTGAACGATGAGATCACATGGACACAGGAAGGGGAATATCACACTCTGGGGACTGTGGTGGGGTCGGGGGAGGGGGCGGATAGCATCAGGAGATATACCTAATGCTAGATGAGGAGTTAGTGGGTGCAGCGCACCAGCATGGCACATGTATACATATGTAACTAACCTGCACAATGTGCACATGTACCCTGAAACATAAAGTATAATTAAAAAAAAAGAAAAAACATGTTTGAAGGTAACAAAAGAGTTTAAGTGTGATATTCTAAATCTTGGGTGCTTACTTGTCAATCAGTTGGAAATAAGGATCAAGTAGTTGTCTAAATTGATCTGGATTACACAAAAGTACGTAAGAGCGTGGATATAGTATTTAAAGCATTAAAGTGTGAAATAACCAAAGGAATAGATACAGACAGAGGGGAAAAAAAGGCTGCAGTAACATTAGAGTTTGAAAGATATCATGAAATAGCCCTTTCCTTTTTAAATTATAGTCTTTACATTTAAAACATCACTTGATCTCACAGTCGATAGCTGAGCCAATAAAGTAGCTCTTCATCTTCTAGTTTTTAGTTAATAATTTAGTCATGTTCAGCTATCACAATAATTCAACTATCATTTAATAATTCAGTAAAATTTCAAAATGGGTTTTTTTAATGCTCTCAGTTCACCCTTAGGGTAAATAATCTATACAGTGTGCATAGCATAATCAGGAAGGAGCAAACATACTTTGAATCTCGAATGAAAGCCACCAAGAATATATGCTCCAAATAACTTTCCATCATTGGATTCAGGAATCATTACGTGCAATGTTAATGTGTGAGAATATGCAAATTCATGATTTCTACAACATTTTTTCCTATATTTAACTCACAGGTGTAACAGGCAGAAAAACAATATTTAGTATTTTTCTAGGAATAAGAGTGACAAGTTTTAAATTTTGCAGGTTTTAAAAAATTATTATGGTCATACAGGCAAAAAGTCAGTTTGCCAGAAAGAAATAGATGGCATACTCAAAGTGCGTAATTTGAGGCAGAGTTTAATAAAGAAGCAAAAGTGACAGCTAAGATTCAGAGTGGAAACTTGGTAAAGTCATAAAACGAGTAACGTGTGTAGTGATCATTAACTTTTAACCCTTTCTGAACATAAAGTTCACAGATTTAAGATAGTATCACACTTTCACATATACCCTCACTGTTTGAACAAGTCAATTGAATTTTCCAAATTTTTCAATTTTTTTTCCAATTGAACAATTTGGGAAAACAAAGTCCAAATCTCAAAACCTTTCAGCAGACCAATTTATGTACATAAAACTTTGGAGGTTAATGTTTCAGAGTAAAAATCTGTTGCTCTATTAGAAAAGAACAATAAAGGTCAGGGTCTGCATGGTATTTAATACAGTTATAATTACTTATGAGAACAGTGTCTAAAATATTTAATTTTTTTACATTTATGGGAAATAGAAACTTTCTTACCAAATATGTTGGCAGTTAATGAGGGAGACTGATAGTTAATTATAACAACTGAGATATTTCAAAGGTGTAAGGGCATGTTCTAAATAATGATGCTAGGAACTTGCACCATGAGTGCTTGTGGTCGCTGTGCTTGATGTACTTCCTCAGGGCTTCATGTCTTTGACATCTCCTTTCTCTTTCCACTATCCTAATTCAGCCTTATTTCAGAGTCAGAGTCAGTCACCTCTCAGAGCTGGGCCACGAATCAGACATGTACGTACAATGTCCTCAGCATCCATAGATGAAGGAACTCTTACATACAAGGAGATTGCAGGGGTTCGTTATTTCTCTAATCTTGTCTGGGTATACTCACCATGCCTCATATCCTCATTATCATTCTTCATCATCCAATATAAAAGATCATCCACCCTTCTATCTTTTCCTACATTGTTATTTGTGTAATGCTTTGAGATTCCTTTCCCTGACCAAACTTACAAATTTCTTACTACCATTTCTCGTAACTGAAAAAATTCTAGAAGAATCTAAATGTGTGTATCTCCTCCCGTAGTTAGCAGTGAAATTACTTTAAGATGGTCAGTAGTACAATGCTTGAATTAGTGCAAGCTCATAGGCCTAATTTTGTAAAATATAGATTTGAATTTTAAGCATGTTGGGTTGGTGAGGCAGACTTAGAGATAAGTACTTAGAATCACAGGAAAACCCAGTTAGTGTCACAAAAGTGAAATACAGCACTTCCTCTTGGGGGCAACCCGATGAGGTAGAAACTCATTGCTCATGCTGCCATTGTCAAGACTTGCTAGCAGAAACACCGTCTCGCCGTTCTTCCAGGCATCTTAGACAATTCAAGTATACTGAGGTGAGGTTTTAAATGCTACCCTTTTGCTTCCTTATTGCATACTAAGCACCAATGGATAGATTAGAGTAGGAAGGGTGCTCTCTACCTAAATGCCAAGAGCTTTCTTTGTCTTATTGGCAAAGGCAAGGTGGGGGTAGTACATGACAGTATAAGTATTTTTGAGGAAACAATGATCAAACTGTAATTTAGATTTGTCCAAAGACTTATACTAAATAGGTTTTCCTACCACTTCTGCTTCTTCACTAAATGTCTCACTGACATCCTTACTGCTGCTGGAAACTAGCTCTTCCCTTAAGATTGCACTCCCATTGAGGCCCAGTGAATGAAAACTGTCCAATTTGTCCTTAGTCACCTTATGTTACTATAGCAGAATTACACATATTTGCTAATTGATAACAGAAATTTATTTCTCACAGTTCTGGAGGCTGAGAACTGCAGGTCATGGTACTGGCAGGTTTGATGTCTGCTAAGGTCCCAGTTTCCTTTTCCAAGATTATACCATGATTGCTCCACCCTGCAGAGGGGAGAAATGCTGTTCCTCATGTGGCAGAGTAACAGAAGAGAGAGAAGCCCCTCCCGCAATCCTTTTTTATAGCAGCACGAATGCATTCATGAGGGTAGAGCGCTCATAATCTAAACATCTCCAATTAGGCCCACCGCCCAACTCTGTTGCACTGGGAATTAAGCTTCTAATGTAGGGATTTGAAAGGGACAAGATCATTTGAACATAGCAGAAATGGTCTTTGGACAGCTAACTCTAAATCACAACATTTTTTTCATGATACCTTCAGAAATATTCATCTTAAATGAGTATTTCCAGCCACCTCAGCTTCTTCCTTAAATGTCCTATTTACATTTCCACTACAACTGGAAACTAGGTCTTCCTTTAGACTGCAGTCCCATTGATGTCACATCTAGTGAAAGCTATTTAATCTCTCATTCACCATATTCTATAACACATGGTTTGCGACTGGAGGTTGGCACACTCTTCCCTCCCCGTGTTAATTTTGGACTATTACTTGGCCACTCAAATACAAAACTGTGCTCCTTTTAAAGTTAACGTAACATGGCTGTGTCAATCACCTCTTTTTATAGGTGTTATCTTCTGAACTCTACGTGACAATTTATTATCCATTGAATGTTTTCGTATTTGGGTCATTATTTGACTCTTCTTCCAATATCTTCTAATATCGATAGAAGATAGGAAAATTCTATGGATTTGTTTCTCAGTTCTTTGTCCTTTTATGTCTAATGCTCTTATTTAAGTCTACATTTGCCAGCCATTTTGCTGTGTCCTCAAAATTCATTCACCTCTGACACAGAGATTCTAGACAACCAGTTACCACTACTTTTCATTCTTCCTTTTTACGTCGTTACCACTTTACACGTGGTCTTCTAAGCATTGAGTCCTTTCTTATATTACCTAACAGTGTTTCTCTACCCTCCTCAATCTTTTTTGTTTGTTTCCATGAACTGTTACCTAAAAACATTTAATAATTAGTTAAACCCGTTATAACACACATCTCTTATTAGATGTTATCAGAGGTTGGGGTACTCTAGATACAGAGATATGGCCTCTTATAAATTGATTTATTGGGAAGTACTCAGAGGAACAACATCTTTAGAGGAGTGCGGGGAAAAAAAAGGAATGGGTCAAATAAAGATCAATTGCAGTGTTGTTGCAATGAAGTACTAGTTGCTCATCCCGTGAACTTTGAAGTTTAGATGACCCTGCAGAGCTCAAATTGAGATAATAGGTCTTGGCCTCTATATATCCACCATCTTCATCATCAGCCAGACTCAAGTTTGAACACGTTTAAGAGTTTTAGTAGCCATACACATATTCTTCTTGCTGAAGTAATAAACTTTGTCTAATTTCTATTGTTATTTTTTCTCGTTAAATCATTTTAATGTACTTCTATGTGATATAAATATTTTCAATCTATCACTAGTATTTCACAATTTTTTCTGTTATTTTTCAAGTTTGTTTATGATATATTTGGAAAAATTAAATAACTATAAAAATAAGATATTTATGTAGTCAAATATCCAGCTTTACGAAATTATAAATTGGTGTTTACAGTCTTACGGGAAAAGATTTTCCCAAGCACTGGGTAATAGATATTTTCTAAAATTTGAGTTTTGGTATTTTAGCCCTCATTAAAACACAAACCTACTTTTATCTGTGGTAAAATGATTGTACCCTTAATTTTATTCTTGGTACCTGGGCAAATATTCATGCACAGTGATTAACAAATATTTTATAATCCTGATATATGCTAAATTATAGGACTCTCTTCTTGACAGATAAAATTGTCTTTCAAGGCTGGGCATGGTGGCTTACGCCTGTAATCCCAGCACTTTGGGAAGCTGAGGTGAAAGAATTGCTTGAGCCCAGGAGTTCAAGACCAGCCTGGGCAACATAGTGAGACCGCAACTCTTAAAAAAATTGTCTTTCAAAATAAGGATTACTTTTTAAAGGATCTTCGTAGTTATTGGTGTTTTGTAAGGTTCAAGTTTATTCCTCTAAATAAACCCTGCATAAAAGTTTTAAATGCGTACATTATTAAATAACTAAAAGCTTAAAGTAAACCTCTTTTTTTTTTTTAGAGACGGAGTCTCACACTGTTGCCCAGGCTGGAGTGCAGTGGCGCGATCTAGTCTCACTGCAAGCTCCGCCTCCCAGGTTCACGCCATTCTCCTGCCTCAGCCTCCCGAGTAGCTGGGACTACAGGCGCCCGCCACCACGCCCGGCTAATTTTTTTGTATTTTTAGTAGAGATGGGGTTTCACCATGTTAGCCAGGATGGTCTCGATCTCCTGAGCTCGTGATCCACCCGCCTCGGCCTCCCAAAGTGCTGGGATTGGAGGCGTGAGCCACCATGCCCGGCCGTAAACCTCTTATGTTTTAAAAAACTATTGAAATAACAAAAACATAAGCAAAAAAAGTAGAAAATGGGAATTAAAAATTTTTAAAGCTAAAATCAATGAAACAAAAATTTAAAAAGATAAGACAATTAACCTTTTTTTTACAGAAAAGAATTTTTTTTCAAAATAGAAAATGAATAAATAACAACTACCTATGAGAAGAACTTAAAAAAATTATAAAAGAACATCAAGTGCAATGTTATTTTAAAAAGAAAAAGGGAATTACAATGCTAGAAAAGATTATCAAGGTGTAAGTAATCAAATCTAAGTAAACAAGAACTAGAAAATTAGAATCACTGAATTATCTGAAAATAGGGAAAGGCGACAGCTTGTTTTGAAAGTCATCCATCCAAAGTATTTATTTTAGTTATATTTCACCTTTAAATAACATTGTCTCTTAACAATGACGTCACACCATGAAAAAGAAAGGTAAAGTTCTCCCCCAAAATTTATCAATAAATTTTTTTATATTTAAAATAATGAATGTCTAAAAAAATTACATCAAATTCAGCATCCATAACCCCTAAAATCCATATACATTAAAACAAAGCAAATTTTATTTCAATGGGAAAATATTTTTAAAGCTATATCTATTAAAATTTAGAACAAGATAAGGTTACCTACTGTCACTATTATTACTGAACATTGTTTTTGAAGCTCTAGCAAATCAGGTAAAAACATAAAATAAAAAAAAGTTGCAGATATTAGTATAGAAACACTTTTCTTCTTCAAATAATTTATCTCAAAAAACCAAGCTCTAGTTTTACTTGAGATTTGAATTTACTTAACAGTGAAATTTGTCAACCTTGCTATGTATAAAAAAAAATTTAAAGCCAATGATTTTTCAATATTAGCAATAACAAAATTAGGAATGTAGAAATGTTTATCTACAAAGTTTTTAAAATAAAACTGAATTACTCAGAAATAAATAAAGAATAACAGTGCAAGAGCCATATTTCAAAAGTAAAACTTCTTAATAAAGGATGTAAATAAAAAGGAAAAAATTGAAAGGCATACCATGTTTTCGGGCAGAAATACTTAATATCACAAAATGCTAATTGTACTGAGATGCATATATATAATGAAAATATGATTACCAATTTATTTGGCGTTCTAACTGGAATATCTCTAATTTTAAGTCTTTATACAATAGGACAGATGACAGAGAAGATTCAAAACGATGACAATAACAGAAAACGAATAGTGAATGTAAGAATAGACTTATTAATTATTAAATAAATTATAAATCCACTTACCTAAATTCAGTATTGACAAAAGACTAGACCAATAAATTATTTGAATCAAATAATCAATCCAGATCCCATTTTGTCTAGGAAAAAAATTAAATTGCAGCACATATAAATATGCTTATGCATATATACATACTTTATACATGTACACAGGTATAATTTGTATGTATGTATGTTTGCACATATATATAAGTATACTTCATTTTATGTATAGCCCGTGACCTTTCAGAATATATATGTGTATATATACAAAAATATGGAGATCTGGCAAGATGGCCAAATAGGAAGAGCTCTGGTCTGCAGCTCCCAGCGAGACCAATGCAGAAGTTGGGGGATTTCTATATTTCCAACTGAGATACGCAGTTCATCTCACTGGGACTGGTTAGGCAGTGATTACAGCCCGCGGAGGGCAAGCAGAAGCAGGGTAGGGTGTAGAATCACCCAGGAAGTGCAAGGAGCTGGGGATCTCCTCCCTAAGCCAAGGGAAGCCATGAGGGACTGTGCTATCCAGGCCAGATACTATACTTTTCCCACGGTTTTCGCCATCCTCACAACAGGAGATTCCATTATGTGCTGACACCACCAGACTCTGGGTTTCAAGCACAAAACTGGGTGGCTGTCTGGGCAGACACCAAGCTAGCTGCAGGAGTTTTTTTGTTTGTTTGTTTTCATACCCAGTGGTGCCTGGAACTCCAGCAAGACAGAACAGTTCACTCCCCTCAAAAGGGGGCTGAAGCCAGAGAGCCAAGTGGTCTCACTCAGCGGGTCCCACTCCCATAGAGCCCAGCAAGCTAAGGATCACTGGCTTGAAATTCTCACTGCCAGCACAGCCGTTTGAAGTCTACCTGGGACAATCGAGCTTGGTGGGGAGAAGGGCGTCCACCATTACTGAGGCTTGAGTAGGCGGTTTTCCCATGACAGTGTTAAAGAGGCCGGGAAGTCTGGACTGGGTAGAACTTACCACAGTGCGGCAAAGCGGCTGTGGCCAGACTGCCTCTCTAGATTCCTCCTCACTGGACAGGGCATCTCTGAAAAAAGGCAGCAGCCCCAGTCAGGGGCTAATAGATGAAACTCCCATCTCCCTGTGACAGAGCACCTGGGGGAAGGGGAGGCTGTGGGCGCAGCTTCAGCGGACTTAAACGTTCCTGTTTGCCGGCTCTGGAGAGAGAAGCGGATCCTGATAAGGAGAATCCTCTCAGCACAGTGCCCAAGCTCTGCCAAGAGACAGACTGCCTCCTCAAGTGCCTCCTGACTGGGAGACACTTCCCAGCAGGGGTCGATGACACCTAATGCAGGAGAGCTCCAGCTGACATCAGGTTGGTGCCCCTCTGGAACGAACCTTTCAGAGGAAGTAGTAGGTAGCAATATTTGTTCTTCTGCAGCCTCCGCTGGCGATACCCAGTCTGAAGTGGATTTCCAGCAAACTACAACAGACCTGCAGAAGTGGGCCTGACTGTTCGAAGAAAAACAAAGAGAAAGCAATAACAACAACAGCAACAAAACGGACCCCTACACAAAAACCCCATCCAAAGGTCATCAGCCTCAAGGATCAAAGGTAGATAAATCCATGAAGATGAGAAAAAAAACAGCAAAAAGAAAATGCTGAAAATTCCAAAAACCGTAATGTCTCTTCTCCTCCAAATGATTGCACCTCCTCTCCAGCAAGGGCACAAAACTGCATGGAGAATGAACTTGATGAATTGACAGAAGTAGGCTTCAGAAGATGGGTAATAACAAATTCCTCCGAGCTAAAGGAGCATGTTTTAACTCAATGCAAGGAAGCTAAAGCCCTTGATAAAAGGTTACAGGAACTGCTAACCAGAATAAACAGTTTAGAGAAGAATATAAATGACCTGATGGAGCTGAAAAACACAGTACGAGAACTTCGTGAAACATGCACAAATACCAATAGCTAAGTAGATCAAATGGAAGAAAGGATATCAGAGATTGAAGATCAACTTACTGAAATAAGGCATGAAGACAAAATTAGAGAAAGAAGAATGAAAAGTATTGAACAAAGCCATCAAGAAATATGGTACTACGTGAAAAGACCAAACCTACAATTGATTGGCATATCTGAAAGTGGTGGGGAGAATGGAACCAAGTTGGAAAACACACTTCAGGATATTACTCAGGAGAACTGCCCCAACCTAGCAAGGCAGGCCAACATTCCAATTCAGGAAATACAGAGAGAACCACTAAGGTACTCCTCGAGAAAAGCAACTCCAAGACACATAATTGTCAGATTCTCCAAACTGAAATGAAGGAAAAAATGTTAAGAGCTGCAGAGAAAAAGGTCAGGTTACCTACAAAGAGAAGCCCAGCAGACTAACAGTGGATCTCTCTGCAGAAACAATTCAGAAGAGAGTGGGGGCCAATACTCAACATACTTAAAGAAAAGAATTTTCAACCCAGAATTTCATATCCAGCCAAACTAAGCTTCATAAGTGAAAGAGAAATAAAATCGTTTATAGACAAGCAAGTGCTGAGGGATTTTGTCACCATGCACCCATTACAGGAGCACCCAGATTTATAAAGCAAGTTCTTAGAGATGCACAAAGAGACTTAGACTCCCACACAATAATAGTAGGAAACTTTAACACCCACCGGTCAGTATTAGAAAGATCAGTGAGACAGAAAATTAACAAGGATTTTCAGGACTTGAACTCAGCTCTGGACCAAGTAGACCTAATAGGCATCTACAGAACTCTCCAACCCAAATCAACAGAATATACAGAATATATTCTTCTCAGTACCACATCACACTTATTCTAAAATCAACCCCATTATTGGAAGTAAAACACCCTTCAGCAAATTCAAAAGAATAGAAATCATAACAAACAGTCTCCCGGACCACAATGCAATCAAATTAGAACTCAGGATTAAGAAACTCACTCAAAACTGCACAACTACATGAAAACTGAACAACCTGCTCCTGAATGACTATTGCGTAAATAGTGAAATTAAGGCAGAAGTAAAGTTCTTTGAAACCAATGAGAACAAAGAGACAATGCACTAGAATCTCTGGGACACAGCTAAAGTAGTGTTAAGAGGAAAATTTATAGCACTAAATGCCCACAACAGAAAGCTGGAAAGATCTAAAACTGACGCCCTAACATCACTATTTAAAGAACTAGAGAAGCAAGAGCAAAGAAATTCAAAAGCTAGCAGAAGACAAAAAATAACTAAGATCAGAGCAGAACTGAAGAAGACAGAGACAGGAAAAACCCTTCAAAAAATAAATGAATCCAGAAGCTGGCTTTTTTGAAAAAAATAACAAAACAGATAGACCTCTAGATAGAATGATAAAGAAGGAAATAGAGAAGAATCAAATAGACACAATAAAAAATGATAAAGAGGATATCACCACTAATCCCACAGATATACAAACAACCATCAGAGAATACTATAGACACCTCTATGCAAATAAACTAGAAAATCTAGAAGAAATGGATAAATTCCTGGACACATACACCCTCACAAGATTAATCAGGGAAAAGTCAAATCCCTGAATAGACCAATAATAAGTTTTGAAATTGAGACAGTTGTTAATAGCCTACCAATCAAAAACAGCCCAAGACCAGATGGATTCACAGCCAAATTCTACCAGAGGTACATAGAAGAGCTGGTACCATTCCTTCTGAAACTATTCCAAACAATAGAAAAAGAGGAATTGCTCCCGAACTCATTTTTTGAGGCCAGCATCATCCTGATACCAAAACCTGGCAGAGGCACAACACACAAAAAATTTCAGGCCAATAACCCTGATGAACACTGATGTGAAAATCCCCAGTAAAATACTGGCAAACCAAATCCAGCAGCATATCAAAAAGCTTATCCATCACAATCAAGTCGGTTTCGTCCCTGGGATGCAAGGCTAGTTCAACATATGCAAATCAATAAACATAATCCATCACATAAACAGAAGCAATGAGAAAAGCCCCACGATTATCCCAATAAATGCAGAAAAGGCCTTTGATAAAAGTCAACACTCTTTCTTGCTAAAAACTCTCAATAAACAAGGTACTGATGGAACGTATCTCAAAATAATAAGAGCTATTTATAACAAATCCATAGTCAATATCATATTGAATGGGCAAAAGCTGGAAGCATTCCCTTTGAAAACCGGCACAAGACAAGGATGTCCTCTATCACCACTCCTATTCCACATAGTATTGGAAGTTCTGGCCAGGGCAATCAGGCAAAAGAAACTATCATCAGAGTGAACAGGCAACTTACAGAATAGGAGAAAATTTTTGCAATCTATCCGTCTGACAAAGGGCTAATATCCAGCATCTACAAGGAACTTAAACAAATTTACAAGAAAAAAACAAACAACCCTAACTTTTTCCACTTTTTTCTGAGAGCCCAGACTGGAAAACTTTAGCTAGCCTTATATTAAAATGCAAATAGAACATAGAAATCATTTTTTATTTAAAAAACTGAAGAATATTACAAAAGCTAAATTTGTAGCTATTTGTCAGCAGCAGAGGATAAATAAGTTAATGCAGAACACATTTAAGACTGACAGTGCAGAAGTTGAGTGTTTCTTTGTCCCTGTGAGGAACTGTATGTTTAATAGAGATGTCTATAAATAACACAATGTAATGAAACACCTAGAAAATCTAATTATAATAGCAGAAATCAAAGAAGTCAAAGAGCACTTGAAGGTAATATTGACATTGGCTAGAATCCCTTTTACTTAGAATCTTTAAAATGGAAGATTATATTTCATGACCACACAGTCTAAATTGGTTTATTTACCTGAAAATTAAGAGATCATATTTTCAGAAGGGAATGTTACCTAGGTGGACATTTGACGACAATTAACAGAATCGCTATTATCAATAAGGTAATTCAGCTAGTGCTTCTAGACATTTTTGAATAGTAGCACACCAGATTGCATAACAGATTATGTAACAGTTAAATATAGTTTCTTATTTTCTTTTTTTTCCTGATAATCAGAGTAGATATATGGATTGGCTTGTATTTTAATTTTCAGTTTGTCTTTGAATTTCTATTCAGATGATTATACATTTTCTCATGGAATTTTCATCAATTCCCTCATTTCAATCAATATTTTTTTCTTGCTTAAAGATTAGTGTGCATGTGTTTTTTTTTTTGTGCGTGTGTGTGTATGTGCTTATCACAGATATAAAGGGCCTTTGTTTCTGTAAATGTATTTATGATCTTCTAAGTGTTTACTACAATTGCTTGAAGAATTGCTTATATTTTATTCTCCAGTGGATTTTTCAAACTGGTCTTTAATTTGGGAGTACATAAATGCATATTATGCTAAAACCTTTTACAAAATCTGTTCCTTTTAGGGTGCTTAGTTACTAGACAAGCCCTTTCGTATCCCTGTACCTCAGTTTTCATCATTTATGACGTGAGATAATTGTGTCTATCTTTAAGTTTGCTGTGAGTATCGATTTATTCGTATACATGAAGTGTGCCCGACTTACGATAAACAAGCTAAGTGTTAGCTACTATTTTCCTTTGGGTAACTCACTTCTTAGTATCCACTGGAAACACATGAAAAACCAGTATTTGATAAATAAAATTAAAACATTGATTTCTGAAGTGGTTATCGTTGTAAAATCATTCTTTTTAAATTCTTTTGAACATGCATAATGAAATTTGGATGAATAATTTTATGCTCTACCAACATATCATAAAGTTGCTTAGTATTTCATTACATTCTTTAGTCATGAGATTTGCTATGTTCTTTTGTTTTTCATTGTAACCAGTTTTTTTTTTTTTTTTTTTTTTTTTTGAGACGGGGTCTCGCTGTGTCACCCAGGCCGGAGTGCAATGGCACAATCTCAGGTCATTGCAAGCTCTGCTTCCTGGGTTCATGCCCTTCTCCCGCCTCAGCCTCCCGAGTAGCTGGGACTACAGGTACCCGCCACTACGCCTGGCTAATTTTGTTTTTGTATTTTTAGTAGAGATGGGGTTTCACCGTGTTAGCCAGGATGGCCTTGATTTCCTGACCTCGTCATCCGCCTGCCTCGGCCTCCTAAAGTGCTGGGATTACAGGCGTGAGCCACTGCGCCCAGCCCATCATGACTAGTTTTAATTACTCACATATATTAAAAAATTAAGCTGACACTTATGACAACCTCAAAGGCTTTCCAATCCAGATCCTAACATTCAAGGTATTCCATAATTATAACTCTAAGTAATTTTTCCATTCAGTTTTCTAAGAAGGCAAATTGAACTTCTTGCTTCTCTCCATTCAAACATCAATTTGTGTGATTCTTACCACTTCAAATAAACACTCCTTATTTTTCAGATTGATAGGCTTAAAGTCTCATGAAAATGCTTAGTGACATGCAATTAAGTTTTGATATAAACTGTGCTCAGTATTTTATCACTAATAAGCATACACACATAGGACATAAATCGGTTATTTTTTCCTGCTCTTGGCTTACTACATCTGTATAGGCTTAGCTAAAATGGCTTCAACTAGCACATGTAGTGGGGAGAGGTTTATGATTACAGAGTTTTTACACAGGCCTTGTTCCAGTGCAACCTTAGAAATATCTTTTCTTGGGTGAAAAAATGAGGTGGTAATGATGAAAGCTCCTGTATGGTAAGAAACTAAAACAAATATGAGCTTGCTCACAGCCAGAATATGAGTGACTCAAAAATGAGGAATGGAAGGATCATCACTAGATATTACGAGAAATAATTTTTATCAGTAATAGATAAATAAGCATTTAATATTACATCTGGAATTTGAATCTTGGAAAATTTTTTATACCAAATTTTCACAATGTCATCAAGGGTTGCAGTTCCAGGGAAGGTGGAGTAAGCAAATGCTTTCCTTTTACTCCCAAATAATACAACTCTAAAGCTCATATAGAATTCATAGCCCAACTATTTGAGAATACTAAAAATAAACTATCAACAGGCAGCTTAGAGAAGAACATCAGAATTCAACACACCAACAAATCTGTAATAAGTTTACTATATGTTTCTTCCTTTGGTATCTTCCTTTTGGAATTTAACCCAACTAAGAATCCAGAAAGAAATAAGCAATATTGGGCAGACAGAGAAAAACAGAAATATTCTGAGAAGTAAAGGGAACTCCTATAACTGAGAGAGAGTAAGAAAAGAGTCTTATTTGGTTTCTCATTTCTTCCCATTCTTCTGCACATAGCTACCAAACAATCCCACAATGACAACAGGGGCCTGTAGAAGGCAACATTCTAAGGAGTGGAAAACTTCCTCTCCATTCAGTAAGCCTAGGTTTCTATAAGACCAGGGAAAAACCCTACTGCTTTTCTTTATTTTGTTTCTCTATCTCCTACTCTTGCTGTAGGTCTCTGTCTCTGCCACATGTCTATCGGTACAGTGTGGTCACAGAAATGAGCAGTGTCTCCTGGCACACCAAATAAAGGAACCCTTGGGAAACAAAGAACTTGGGAGATAGCAGAGGGAAAGTGATTTCATAAAGTTAATCAGAAACTCCAGCACTCACCTCCAAACTGCAGACCTGTGAATCTGATACAAATTAGCATATCAAAGATTTTGAGAATGGAACTAAAGAGCATATGTCCACCTAGGTCCCAGACTCACCACCAGGTGACTCAAAAATGGGACAGGTGAGTAACAATGAAAGGCTTTGAAAACTGTAGTGATATTAGATCATCAGCTGAAATAATGTTGGGTGGAATTTTTAGCTTAAGCTTAACAAGGTCAGCAGCTCTCTACAACAAAAATATCAACATTCTCCATAATATCTAAGCAATGCCTACCTTCTCATAATGCAATATTCAAAATATACAGGAAACAATAGAAAATTACTCAGGTTATAAAAAATGTTGAAGCTGACAAGTCACATGGAAATATCAACTGAGTCCAATGACAAGATTACATATATGTTGAAATTATCAGAAAAAGACCGAAAAGTAGGTACTATAAAATTCCTTGAATGAGTAATTGTGAATACTCTTGGAACAAATAAGAAAAAACAGAAAGTATTAGCAAATAGAGCCATAACGAAACACCAAATGGAAATTATAGAGCTAAAATACACAACAATTAAAATGAAAATAATCACAAAACTGAATCAATGGCAAAATGAAAATGACAGAGAAAATAATTAGTAAACTTGCAGATAAAGCAGTAGAAATCAACAACTATAAATGAGAAGAAGAAAACGATGAAAAAATATGAAAACAAGACCTCAAAGACCTGGGAAACAACACCAAAAAAATCTAACATCAGTGTTAGATATTTAGCGTTAGAGTAGTGTGATAGCAGTCCCAGAAAAAGAGTATAACTGTAGCAGAGGAAAAATAATATTTGAATAATGACACAAAACTTTCCTAGTTCAGAAAAATACATAAACCTACAGATGCAAGAATATGAGTAAACCCTAAATAGAATGAATGTAAGAAAACCCATGCCTAGATATATTAAAATCAAATCACTGAAAACTAAAGACATGGAAAAAAAAAAACCCTTAAAAGTAGCAAGAGAAGAAAAACACACTGCTTATAGAAAAATAATTCAAATAACTGTAGGATTTTCATCAGAAACACTAAAGCCCAGAAAAGTTAGCATACATTTTTAAAGTGTTTAAACAAAATAGCTGTCAAACCCAAAATAGTATTTAGTGAAAATATTCAAGAATAGAGTACATTGAAACATTTTCAGAGGAAGAAAACTAACAAAGCTCATAGCCAAAAAACAAGCAAACAAACAAACAAAAAACTTGTTTTAAAAAATGCTACAGGAACTTCAAATAAAAGGAAATAATACCAGAGAAAACATGAAACATGGAAATCAGAAAGAACAAAAGAAATAATAAATATCTGAGTAAATATAACATACTTGCTTCTCACATTTGATTGTTTTAAATTTTATGTAGTGATTGAAAGTAAAAAGTACACTGTCACATTGTCTTTTCAATATTTGTAGACATATAAGAAAACCATTGTGTTAATGAGACAGAACGAAGGAACCTATGTGGTTGTAAGATTTTCACATTAAAATTGAAGTGGCAAAGTATCATTTTCATATAGCCTTTGAAAAGAGAACTATGTCTTTTGCAATCTTTTCAGCAACCACTAAAACAATTAGAGAAAGAGATTTTGTCAAAATCAAAGTGAAAAATTCAAAATAATTTGCTAGAATGTTGAAATAACCTCCTACATAAAAGAAAGGGAAAAATAAGGAATAAAATCAGAGAAAGAAAGAGAAAACAAATAATAACATGGCATGACTAATTCCAAAAGTATCAATAATATAAAGTATAAATGGTCTAAAAACAGAGATTGTCAGATTGGATTAAAAAATAACCTAAATATATCAACTGATCTTCTAAAGCCTGTCAAGAATATACAATGAATAAAGAATAGTCTTTTTGAATAGGATCTTTTTGAATAGTTGGGAATACTGGAAATTCATAAGCAAAAGAATAAAATGAAACCACTATCTTACACCATATATGAAAAGTAATTCAAAATAGATTAAAGACCTCAGTGTAAGACCTGAAACCTTAAAACTCTTGGGAAAAATAAAATAAAATAAACAGAAAAAAAATCCTTGATTTTTGTTTTGACAGTTTTTTGTGGGGAGGGATATCACACCAAAAGCTCAGGCAACAAAAGCAGAAATTAGTAAGTGGAATTATGCCAGACTAAAAAATTTCTGCACAGCAAAGCAAGCAGGCAACAGACTAAATAGACAACCTATGGAATGAAAGAAGATATTTGCAAACCATATATCTTGTATTTGTTCTTTCTCTCACTGATATAAAGAAATACCTAAAACTGGGTAATTTATAAAGAAAAGAGGTTTAATTGGCTCATAATTCTGCATGCCGTACAGGAGGCATGGCTTGGGAGGTCTCGATAAACTGTCAATCATAGTGGAAGGTGAAGGGGAAGCAGACACGTCTTACGTGGCTGGAGCAGGAAAAAGTGAAAGTGAAGTGGGAGGTGCTACACACTTTTAAACAACAGATCTCATGAGAACTCACTCACTAGCATGAGAAAAGCAAGGGAGAAATCTGCCTCCATAATCCAATCACCTCCCAACAGGTCCCTGCTTCAAAATTGGGATTACTATCTAACATGAGATTGGGGTAGAGGACAGAAGTACAAACCATATTATTGCATCCCTGGTGCCTCCCAAATCTCATGTCCTTCTCACATTGCAAATACAATTATCCCTTCTCAACAGTCCCCCAAGTCTTAACTTATTTCAGTATTAACTCAAAAGTCCATGTTCAGAGTCTCATTTGAGACAAAGCAAGTCCCTTCTGCCTATGAGCCTGTAAAATAAAAAACAACTTAGTTACTTCCAAGATACAATGGGGCTACAGGCACTGGGTAAATACACCCATTCCGAAATGGAGAAATCAGCCAAAAGAGAGGGGCTACAGACCCCTTGCAAGTCTGAAACCCAGCAGGGAAGTCATTAAATCTTAAAGTTCCAAAATCATCTCCTTTGACTCCATTGACTCCATGTCTCACATCCAGAGCACACTGATGTAAGGGCTGGGCTCCAAGGCCTTGCACATCTTTGCCCTTGTGGCTGTGTAGGACTCATCTCTCATGGCTGCTCTCAAGGGTTGGCATTGAATGCCTGCATCTTTTCTGCACACACAGTGCAAGCTCTCAGTGGATCTACCATTCTAGTGTCTGGAAAAGGGTGGCCCTATTCTCACAGCTCCACTAGGGAGTGCCCAAGTGAGGACTCTGTGTAGGGGCTCCAACCCCACAGTTCCCCTCTGCATTTCCCTAGTAGAGGTTCACCATGAAGGCTTCACCCATGTAACAGACTTCTGCCTGGACATCCAGACATTTTCATACACCCTCTGAAATCTAGGTGGAGGCTCCCAAACTTCAACTTTTGCCCTTCATTCACCCACAGGCTTAAGCCATGTGGAAACCATCAAGGATTACAGTTTTCACGCTCTGAAGCAGTGGCTTGAGCTGTAGCTTGGTCCCTCTTAGCCATGGCTGGAGCTGGAGAGTCCAGGATGCAGGCACCATGTCCCAAGACTACACAGAGCAGCATGGCCCTGGGCCTGGTCCACAATAGCATTCTTCCCTCTAGGCCTCTGGGCCTGTGATGGGAGGGGCTGCTGCAGAGTTCCAGGAAATGACTCCAAGGCCTTTTTCCCATTGCCTTGACAATTAGCAATTTACTCCTCTTATGCAAACTTCTGCAGCTGGCTTGAATTCCTCCCCAGAAAATGAGTTTTTCTTTTCTATCACATGGTCAGGCTGAAACTTTTCCAGTCTTTTATGCTCTGCTCCCCCTTTTAATATAAGTTCCAGTTTCAGATCATCTCTTAGCTCATGCATATGAGAATATGCTCTTAAAAGCAGCCAGATGACATCTTGAATGCTTTGCTGCTTAGAAATTTCTTCCACCCCATATCCTAAGTCATCTTTCTTGGTTCAAAGTTCCACAGATCCCTAGAGCAGGGGCACAATGCTGCCAATCTCTTTGCTAAAGCACAGTAAGAGTGATTTTATTTCAATTCCCAATAAAGTTTTTTATCTCCATCTGAGACCTCCTCAGCCCCGACTTCACTGTTCATATCACCGTAAGAATTTTGGTTACAAGCATTCGACAAGTCTCTAGGAAGTTCGAAACTTTCCCTCAACTTCCTGTATTCTTCTGAGCCCCCAAAACTATTCCAACTTCTTATTACCCAGTTCCAAAATCACTTCCACATTTTTAAGTATCTTTATAGCAATGTTCCCACTTCTCTGGTACCAATTTTCTATATTAGTTCATTCTCACACTGCTATAAAGACATATCTAAGACTTTGAAATTTATTAAATAAAAGGATTAATTGACTCATAGCTCTGTAAGCTGTACAGGAGGGATAGCTGGGGAGGCCTCAGGAAACTTTCAATCATGGAAGAAAGTGAAGGGGAGGCAGACATGTCTTACATGGCTGGAGCAAAAGAAAGTGACAGTGAAGGGGGAGGTGCTATACACTTTTAAACAACCAGATCTCATGAGAACTCACTCACTATCACAAGAACAGCAAGGGAGAAATCTACTTCCATGATCTAATCACCTTCCAGCAGGCCCCTCCTCCAACACTGGGATTACAATTTGACATGAGATTGTGTTGGGAATACACATCCAAACCATATCAGTTCTGTTAAGAAGTTAATCTCCAAAATATGTAAGAAATATATAAAGTCAATAACAACAATTTAAAAAACTAATAACCTAATTTTAAAAGTGGGATAATGTCTTGAAGACACATTTATTCAAAGAAGACCTCAAATGCCAATAGGTGTATAAGAAATGCTGAAGATCACACTATCCAAGAAATGTAAAACAAAACTACAATATCATCTCAAATCTATCTATGTCTACTATTACAAAAAGACGACAAATGTTGTTAAGCATGTGAAAAAAATGAAACTCTTGCACACTGTTGGTAGAAATGGAAAATGGTGCAAACAATATTAAAAAAGTATGGAGGTTGCTGAAAAAAATTAATATAATCCAACACATTGTCTTTTCTGTTTAGTGTTGCTATAAAGGAATCCCTGAAGCTGTGTCATTCATAAAGAATAAAAGGTTTTGCTCATGCTTATGAATGGCCTGAAAATTCAAGATTGGGCATGTGCTTCTGTTGACATCCTCACACTGCTTCAACTTATAGTGGAAGGTGAAGGAGAGATGGCATGCACAGGGATCACATGGCAAGAGCAGAAGCAAGAGAGAGCAGGTAGGTGCTGGCCTCTTTTTAACAACCAGGTCTTGCAGGAACTAATAGAGTGAGAACTGAGAGAGAGCGTTAATATATTCATGAGAGATTTGCCCCCATGACCTGAGTATCTCCCACTAGGCCCTACCTCCCAATATTGCCAAACTAGGAATTCCATTTCAATATGAGATTTGGTAGGGCCAAATCATATCCAAACCATAGCACATATTATCCAGCAATCTTACTTCTGATTATTTATTCAAAAGAAGTGAAATTAGAATATGAAAAAGATATTAGCACTTCTATTTTCATTGCAGTACTATCTATAATAGCATGATGTGGAAACAACCCAACTGTCCATCCTCACATTAATGGAAAAAATATGGTATATACACAACAACAAAATGCTATGAAACCTTAAATAATTTCTGCAATATGTGACAATGTGGATGAACCTTGAAGACATCATGCGAATATGCCAGTCACTGAAAGATGAATGCTGCACAATTTCATTTATATGAGGTATGTGAAATAGTCAAATTCATAGAATTAAACTACAGAATGGTGTTTTTCAGGGGCTGGTGGGGAGACAGAAGTGATGAGTTACTAATCAAAAGACAACATTTAAGTTAAGCAAGACTAATGAGCTCTGGATCTACTCTAAAACATTGTACAAATAATATATTGTACACTTAAAAATTTGTTGGGAAGGTGTATCTCATACTAAGTGTCTTTATGACAAAAATAATTTTAAAAAATAAAATGATAGAAAAGGATATACCCTGCAAACACTAATCAAAGGAAAGCTGGAATGTCTGTATCATTGTCAAAGGAGATTTCAGAGCAAAGAAATTTACCAAGGTTAGAGAGAGCCATAGAGATACTGCATATTAAATGAAGTGTCAATTCACTAAAAAGACATAAAAATATTAAAAGTGTATTTACCTAAAAACAGAGTTTCAAAATACATGAAACAAAAGCTGACAGAACTGAAAAATCTTGGATACCTTAAAACTTTTCTCTCAGTAATAGAAGTAGTAGAGAGAAAAATCAACAAGTTTATAGAACTGAACAACCTCATCAACTGATTGAATCTAACTGACATAGAACACTCAACAGTATCTCATTTCACATTCTTTTCAACTGGACATGGTAAATTCCACCTGCTAGATTATACCTTGGTCATAAAACAAGACAACACAATTAAAAGACTTAAAATACAAAGTATGTGTTTTGAGCATATTTGAATTTAACCAGAAATCAATAACGAAATTGGCAAAATTGCTAATCATTTGGAAATTCAACAACAGAGTCCTAAAAATTCCATGGGTAAAAGAGGAAGTCTCAGAGCAGATTAGAAAATAATTTAATTTAATAAAAATACAACATATTAAAATGTGTGTGATGCAACTGCAGCAATACTCAGAATTTATAGCTTTGAATGCTTATACTATTAATATAACAATCATTTCAAATTAATAACCTAAGGCTACATCTTAAGACAAATTAATAAATAATTTTAAGCATTAAAATTGAAAATAAAAACAAAAGACAAGCAATAATTTAAAAAAAAAGGTTTGTTCTTTAAGAAGAGCAGTGAAATTGATAAACCTCTAGCAATATTAACAAAAAAGGTGAGAAAACAAAAAACAAATTATATCAGAAATGAAAGAATGTCATTATAGACTCTTAGGTGAGGTTATTAAAAAGAAAATAAGAACATTACTACAGATCCTACAGTAATATTATTGAAAATAGACTACTACAAACAACTCCATGTACATAAATTCACCAAGTTAGATAAAATAGACTAATTCCTGAAACACTATAAACTATTAAAACTCATTCAAGATAAAATATATGATTTGAATGGTGTTATAACTATTAAAGAAATTGAATTTGTAGTTAAAGTCATCCATAAAGGATTCTCCATGCATACATGATCTCACTGGTGAATTCTACCAAACATTTAGGAAATGTTTATAGCATTTCTTCCAGTAGCAGATGATGAAGAAAAGGAAATACTTCCTACTCATTTTACAAAACTAAGATTACCCTGATACCTAAATCACACAAAGACAGTGCAAAAACAAAGAAACAAACAAAAAATTAGGGGATAGCTTCTCCAGTAAACATAGAAGCAAAATCCTTAATAAAATATTATCCAATGAAATTCATCACTATATCAAAAGAATATCATGCGTGCCCAAGTGGAGTTTACCCAAAAAATGTAAAGCTGACTCAATATTTAAAAAAACAATCAATATAATCCACCATATTAGAAGTCTAAAGAAAGAAGAAACGCATGATTATCTTAACAGATGGAGGAAAGCAACGACAAAATACAATTTTCATTCTCAATAGTTATTTTCAGCAAATTAGCAATAGAAGGGTATTCCCTTAACCTCAACCTGATAAAAGGCATCTATACAATACATCCAATATCATATTAGGTGGTGAAAGACTGAATGCTTTGCTCCTAAGATCTGGAACAGGGCAAGGATATCCACTCTCACCAAATTCAGTCAACATTCAACATTCACCACTCTTATGATACAGTGTTCAGTAAGTTCCTTTATAATGGAATTTCCCCAAAACTAAATCAATCCTCATTTCCTCACAATTGAATTGAGGGCTAAGAGATTAATAAAGGTGATTGGAACCCTGTCAGGAAGACAACAAACTGGAGCCTAACATATCACCATCTGACCACTCGATAGGTGAATTCTACTTATCCTTCAAAGCTGTCCCAGTGCTACCTCTATCATTACCTTTTATGCTGAAGATGTTTTCACTACCATAAAAACCACACCACAATGGTTTTTGTATTTCTTATTTTATGAAATTAATTTTCCTTATTAACATGGTTGGGGACATTCACATTCTATCCATGTCTTAGTATGTTAAGTATTTCAAGAGCTAAGTCTATGCCAATCATCTGGACTGCCTAAAATATAGATAGGACTTAAAAATTAGCAGATTCTCAAAGTTTATTTAATGATGAACAAATGAATGTACACTTAAGACCTCTAACTCACTAGCACAAGTTTACAGAATTTGATCTCTTGTATTTTCCCACCAATATACTTACCATCGTGACTTTCACCCAGCATTCTCATGCAAAGATGCATTTCAGACAATTAAGATAATTGGTTGAATCGGGTTATCTCTTCTTTGATGCAGCTACATATTTGTATTATAATTGGGACTTTAATTGTTAATAACATAAGTTTTTTTTCCATGTCTATCTTTCTCCCCTACTTCAGCATAAACTCCTTGAAAACAAAGAGACCGTGGCATTGTGTTTCTCTCTCTCTCTCGTATGTGTTTGTGTATGTGTCCTTACAGAGAAGTTGACAGCAAACGTGTTGGATACCTGCCTGATTATTTTTAAAAATTATATTCTTAAATCAGGCCTATTTGGTATATAAAAAAGAGTATTTTTAAACTTCTCCCTCTTGTTCCATTTAGATTTAGCCATTGAACCTGAGAGGCCATCTAGTTGTTAGATCAGATATTGCCAGAGGATAAATTTTTCATTTTTAGAGATCTTTCTATTCTTTGTTTCTCAAATATGGTTTTTGTTCTAAGCATATTCTAATATTGGCACAGAAAAGACCAAATAACCTTTTCTCTTACACTTTCTAAAATCCCTCTTCCAAATATGATACCATCTGTGCCAAGAATGTGAAAAAGTAAAACTGTAATTCATCTCAAAAATGTATCTTGATGAAATAATTATTAAAAGTTTTTCTAAGTCTTTTCTTCTGCTGCCTTATGGTGGAGACAAATTCCTATCAATAATGAATATAATTGTTAGTGTCTTTCTTCCTTTATTCTGACTTAAGCCAAATTAGAATATTCTCACATTTAAAATAAATGCATTAACAACACACTGTGAGGTTACTTGTTACGCATCAAAATAATCATTCTCTCTTGGTTAATGGAAATTCTATGGATATTATTTGTAAAACCTTCCTAAAATTTCTATTAATAATAAATAATCCTGATGCTTCTTTCTATAATATATAACCTGAAATTTAAAAATTATGCTGACTTTATTAAAGACTTTTTTTTTCAAATAAGAACTTAAATCAGATTCAATAGGCTTAAACTCTAAGTGGAGTCCCTAAGACTATTCAAAATTCAAAGTTGCATTCTGAACAGATTGCACAAGCTAGTTGATGAAACTTGAGCTAATTACACTAATGTTGACAAATGCACTGGCACAAAAACAAATGTCACATTTTTCAAAAAATTACACCTCTTCAAAAGATGCTAAATAGATTCAGTGATTTGTGGGTGTAACTGAGCTATTTGTGCAAAAACAGTTTTGAAAATTCTGATTTAAAATACAAAAAGTACAAGTGCAGTATGCGCACTTATATGCAATTTTCAAATGTATTTTAATGAAATACTTGAAGTTTTGAAACAATAAAGAAATTGCTATATTTGGCACTGGAAGATTATCTCTAAGTTGTTTATTTTAAATTATGTATCATATACAAAAATAAAGTCTTTCTATCTTGAAGAATGCCTTTATTTATTTTTAAATGAGTTATTATGGATATCTCAACTCAAAATGCATTTCTAAAAGAGATTTGAATCTGTACACTCTCAGGAACAGTATTTCTCATACGTTCAGCCACAAATATACTTACCTTTTCTATTACTTGGCAAAAGAGCTAGTATGTTCTGAAAGTTTTGTGCTAGACATTCCGCTAAAAGTTTTAAGTAAATGATCTAATTTCATTCTTCTGGTAGGCCTGTAAGGGAGAAATCATAATCTCCTTTTTAAAGATGGGATATCTGAGAATCAATGAGGTCAAATAACTCACCCTAGCTAACGAAGCTGGAATTTGATTCAAGGTATCCCTGACTCTCAAGCTTCTGCACTTCATGCTATCCCCACCACGGATCTCAAATGGAAAGTGTTTGACTATTATGTATTTAAAATTATCAGCTTCCTTCTATATTACATTCAAGGGAAAGTTACAGTGATGTTTCCAGAATATATCAATGATGCCTTTCGTGTTGGGATTTGTCTTTTCTTTGTTGTTTTAAACTACCCCCAAATCACTGTTGTGCTACCTTATAAGAGGCCAATCTGGGCCTCATATCCACTATAGCTTAAGTAATTAGTCTTGTCTGACACTTTAGAATTCTTAATTAAAAAAATAAAGTGGATTAGAAATATTGATATCAGAAATCAAGTTTGCAATTAAAAACTAAAAAGTAAATTCAAATATCAGAAGTTGTGTTTGTCGTCTACTAAAATCCTGGGTAGATGAAGAATCTTACTGAAAAAAACCTGCTCCTACCCAGCAACAGAAGGATAAGATTCATTTGGCCAATATATTATTTGCCCTTATCATTAGGGTTTAAAATGGTCATTCAGTTTGAAGCAACCAAAGTAACAAATATGTCACACAGGAGTCATTGAAGTATATTGTATATTATTTTTGGCCTATAAATTTCATCTACAAACCAATACTGAAATTATAAAGAAAATACTAACCTTTAAGTTTGACGTAAACAGAGTAGCAATATTTTTTATTTTTCTATCTCCTATTATGAGCCAATTCAAACTATTCTATATTTATTAAATTTTACCTTCACTAGAATTTTCTCTTGTCTCTGGTTTACTTGGATAGTTTGAACTGAGGATGCCTTATTTCTTACTACCTGACTCTTTGTACTAGTCTCTTCTTACATACTATAAAGAACTACCTGAGACTAGGCAATTTATGAAGAAATGAGGTTTTAATTGACTCACAGTTCCATAGGCTTAACAGGAAGCATCACTGGGAGGTCTCAGGAAACTTTCAATCATGGTAGAAGGTGAAGGGGAAGCAAGGACCTTCTTCACAGTGGTGGCAGGAGAGAGAAAGAGCAAAGGGGAAGTGCCACACACACTTCTAAATCATCAGATCTCACTCACTATCCTGCGAACAGCAAGGGGGAAATTCACCTCATGATCCAATCACCTCCCACCATGCCTCTCCTCCAATTCCACATGAGATTTGGGCGGGGACACAAATCCAAACCATATCACTCTTTGACCCATAATTTAATATGAGATTGGTTTCTCATATTCCTATCTACATATATTTTTGCCCTCCAGACTTCTGTCCCTTTGGGACTTCTGGCTTTATTGTTTTGGGGAGTTTCTCAAATATTATTCAGTGTTCTTATCTTCCAGAGGCATCTTCACATCTTATAGCCCTTTACCAACTAGTTGTTTTAAGTTGAAACATCTTTCTGTTTTACAGGCATATAAGCCATAATCTGTATCTAAGGTAATAGCTTTGGGACCAGAGAATTCTAGTCTGAATTTTTAAGATAAGTAAAAAATATTTTGATTTATTGAAGATCCAGATAAACAGTTTAAAAGAAATATTAGACTTGGTTCTTCAAAATCTTCACTTGGGGCTTTTAAAAGTAATTAAGTAAAAAAATTCAAAAAGGTTTTAAATTTAACTAAGTAGATTATTTCTACCTTTTCTATGATATAAACTTATTTAAAGATCACAAATTTACAGTTATTTAGCATACCTATAAGGTGTTTATTCATTTTACAAGAGTACAAGTATCCACACTCTATGAAGCAGCTGGAAAGTATTTTTTCCTATGTTATTTTATATTCATATATGGTAATAATAATAAAAATATTTTCTTTGTTTATTGAGGACATGTTTTAAATTCTAAGTTATATTACCATTCTAATTAAACAAATTCTGATATTTTTGATAATGTTAGTATTCAGTTTTTAATGGTCTAATATTCAGCTATTTTTAAGGTCACTTAATATAGTGCAGAGAATAAAGGCCTGGGAAAAAGAATAATTGAATTCAAATTTAAGAAATGTGTGACCCACTTGGTACTAGATATCCAGTTGGTTATTTGCCCTTCTTTGAGTACTAGTTTACTTGTCTAAAAACAGAATAGTGTTCCCTGCCTAAATTTCAATTACACAAAATCTTCTCAAATTATAACATGCAGCATATCAGGAACCAACATTCTTAATTAACAGTATACAAGTTCGATGGAATGCTAATGGAAAAACTACTAAAGTAAGAAATTTCGTTTTTACATAACCAAACTATAGAAGAAAAACATATGATTGATATGGATTCAGGTGTATCTCTATGGGATATCTCACATTTCACAGCTGTTTCATCAGTTTAGCGTCAATCACATTCTTTGTCTTTGTTCTTTGTTATTTGTCTGAGTTGTGTGTAGATATTGTGAGTAAAGTTGAATTTTCATGTTTAGTTCATGTGGAAATGAATATGGAGATATCAGAAGGTTATTTTCTAATTGGTTACTTTAAAAGCTAAGAAAAAGTCAAAAGCATACTGAACAAATCACTGTGGAGCAGAGAGAATGACTTTCTGTAAAAATAAATAATGCTTTCAAGGTCATTTAGGATGTTCCACTATCTAGTGAATGTATTTCAGAATTTATTCCGTTATAGACAGATTAACATACATATCTGTGATTTCACTTGTATATGAAAAGTGAAAGATCTAGTCATCCAGATGTTTTCAAATATTTGTTATCATGTAAGGAAAACATCTGGATGAAGATGAATTAGTATTTTTTTTCTGGTTGTTGCTGTTGTTTTTATTTTCCCTGTAAATATTTAGGCATTTTATAGAAATAACCTAGATGTCTATCAAAATAGCCATAACACAGTGATAATTGTTATTTTTACTAGATAATAAAAATCTCTAGCTTATTAATTTGTGCAGATATAGATCCAGAATGGATATTTAGAGAACCAGACTGATAAAAACATATGTATTGCTATCACTTTGCGAAATTTCATTATATAAAACATGGGTATTTAAAAAAATCTTTAAAAGTATGAATATATTTCCAGAGGCTTATCAGAATGGGATCTGCTCTACTTCAGAGCTGGCTGTAGGTTATTCATATTATTAAGTGGAAGAGTGCTTTGATCTTTAAATTGAATGTTGATGATACACATGGCTAAACATACACATTATTTTTACAGTAACACTAGAAATAACATTTCTATTTTGTCTTCAATAACTCAGAACAGAGACAAGATATCTCTGCCTCTGCACTGTTCCCCACCCCCTTCCAATTTTATTTCTCACTGTATTTGGTTTTATTATAGAGAATAATAGAGTTGGGTTTGCTTTTTGTGTTTTATTTTAAAAACAGAACTGTCACTTCTGTTGCTCCATCGATTGCTCTTCAAGTAGTTTAAAATCAGAATAGCAGAGACTGTAATAAGGTACCCTAGCCTTTCTTCTGACATTTATTAACCTTACTAGTGTTTAGTGAGCTCATATACTGACTGATAGAAACAGTAATTTTTTGTTCCCATAGACATGGATATCAGTTGCCTTGGAATAAGACCAGATCTTGCTCAAGAAGTATCTTTACAATTTTTAGGATATGGGCATCTTTTTTTTTTTTCTTTTTACATTGATACTTAATTGACCAAACTTTAATTTGGGTAAAATACCTGATGTAAAAATTACACCTTCCTTCTGAAGTATTCATCCTAAAAATAAACTCACTAAGAAGGCCATGTTTCACAGTCTAAACATTGTTTGGAGTGAGACTGTAGTCATGGCCAAAATAATAAAGTCAACCTTTAAACAGGTAAATTTTGGGCAGCATCCGGTCATAGCATACAGGTGATTCACTAATGGTTTCTGTACTTGTTTATTTTACATATTTGAAAAATAATAACTACCTGACTTTTAAAGTTAATACTGAGAAAATAAGTAACTGAGAAATCAAGGCATATTTATTCAAATAGATTACGGATTTACCCAAAGAAATATTACTGGTCTCAATCTTTATGCCCCTAAAGATCTAAAGTAAAACATTGATTAACAGAAAGTTCAGTTAAGACCCTGACCCTGTTAAGATAGTCAGATTGGTCAACATTTTTCAGTTTCTTATCCTTAATTAGCAGAGCTGTCCAAAGCGTTTTGATATAAATCTATAGAGAAAAATAGAATGTAAACTCTTTCCCCTGTTATTAATGCTTGTTTTGTAGATGATGAAGTACAAAATGATTGATCATGTACTATAATGATGGATAAGGACAATTTCTGGAAAGGTCAAACCTATTAAATAAATCTTAGAATATATTTAAAAATATCTTATCTGCCTCATTGGAGCATGGTAACTCTTTTCAATGACAGGTGGCCTTCGTATGAGAGGAATAACAGCAGTGGCAAACAATAGGCATTCATACTTCAATAAAAGTGTGGTGGAGAAAGGAATGAGAATTGTGAAATTATCAGCGCTAAAGTAAGAGGTTAACTTGAATAGGACAAAATAAGTAAAAACCTTGACTACAGCCACATAATCCTGAAACATTCTAATGAAAAGTAATGCAAAGCAAATAAAACAAAACAAAATAAAAAATAAGCAAACAACAGCAACAACAAATAACCCTTTTAAACAAGCAATTTGTTTACATGGTAACATACAAATATTTGAACAACTACTTATTTTTAATGCCATGCAAAAAAATATACTAATAATAGGTTCTTTACAAATAAACTACACTCTTTCTATCAAACACACATTTTTTATGTTGTATTCAAAAGCTTTATTTCTACCAACTTAGGAACTTAGGATAAAGTTCACTTAGATTTAACAGAATTATGTAAGCATAGAACTAAAGGAACATTGGTGCTCATCTTGTAAACACAATGCATATTTTTAAAATCTGGGTTTCACGTTGTCATAAAACAAACTAGTCATTTCTTCCACCTTCATTTATAACTCAATAGGAATGATTTCCTTATATTTAGAATTATTTGTGAAAGATAATATGTGAGTAGTATATCATTGAATGCATTTATCAGCATTAATCAGCAGTCCTTTCAGATCACTCTTTATTCCCCAAATTTCCATTTATTTTTGTAGTTGCTTAAACAAGCTAAAATATTCAGGTCACCATATTTTGCATTAGCACTTCTTCTGCCTATAAATTCCTATTTAGACTTAATTGCCCTGGAAATTTTCTTCTGATTCTTTATCACTTAACCCACGTATCATGAAATCTTTCTAACCTTTTCCAGAGAGGTTTAGGTTCTCTCCTAGGTTCCCACAAAGTTCTTTTAAGTTTCTTTTATGAAATTTAACACATGATCATAATTGTATCTTAAATATCTGTCGCCTCTACCAGACTCCTAGCTCCTCAAGGTCTCATATTATGGAATGATAATTTGTACATCTGTGAAACCTAAAATAGCAAACGATATTTAATATGGATCTAGTTTATAAATGAGTGTATGAATAAGAGAAACTTCACAGGAACTTTCATAGAGAATGTTGTCACATGAAGCTATCACAACTAGACACTCAAATGTCTTGCATACTATATTAGTTTCCTATAGAAGATGCCACAAACTACCACATACTTAGTAGGCTAACTACACAAACTTATTCTCTCACAGTTCTGAAAGGCGTAAATCTGAAATCAGTGTCAATGGGCTTAAATCAAGATATTTGGAGAGTTGGTTCCTTCTGGAGAATGAAGCAAAAATCCATTTCCTGACCTTTCCAGCATCTATTGGTCACCTGTATTCCTTGGCTTGTGGCCCCTTTTAAGAAGTTCAAAGTACATCAATCCACCCTGATTCCCTTATCAAATCTCATTATCCTCCTCCTCTGACTACTCCTGTGTCTGCCTTTAAATGATTACTATGATTACATGATTACTACGTAATCATCATGATTACATAGTACTCACCTGAATAATCTCCCCATCTCAAGATTATTAATTTAATCACAACTACGAGATCTACCTTTCCATATAAGGTAACAGTGATAGGTATTGAGAATTAGGACATGGAGGTATTTGGGGGCCGTTTTTCAACCTACCGCCAATACTCTGTTGCATTCTGACAGAGAATTATGTGAACACAGTTTAACCTTTTCTTAATGGCATAACATCATCATTACATAAGTCAGCGACTTCAGTGGGATGTAATAGAGTAATATCCATTGCAGAAAAGAGATGCCTTTCTCTACCACAGAGCTTTTCAAGGTTTATTTTGTTTTGTTTGTTTGTTTGTTTGTTTTTAATGGAATTACTATGTGAGCTGGCAGGGAGGGGAACAGAGAAGAGAAACCTTTTCTCAAAAGAGGATTTTGGGAAAAGCTTCTGCGTATTAAACATTTAAAAACAAGCTACTTAAATGGAAGCTGAGTGGTTGGTCCAGAGTTCTGTTGTTTGGTTTCCCCTCTACCCTAAAAGACCCTTTAGGTGCATTCATAGAAGCCAGATAGAGATAGGGGGAACATAGTTACAAGAATGCTAACCCTCTCTTCCATGTTTAAAAATTATTTTTACATCTTTATTTGCTATATATCATATTTCATTGTAATACAAACAATATCTGTCTCAAGCAGTCGATCCTCATTTGTTTATTATTTTAACCTAATATGGGCTAGAAAACTTGTTAGAAAATAAAGTTATTAAGCTTCTTTGACTTTTTCAAAATAGCAGAAAGACATCATTAAATCAACCATGAGTATACTTCATTTTACTACATGTAATCTTTTTAAGGTGTTTTGGTCTATTGTGTCTATTACAAATAGACTTGTATAAACTAAGACTTAAGAACCTCTTACCACAGTATAGTGACTCCAGAGATGAGTATTAGATACTAATATCATGGTATTTTTTCAAATATAAAAACTGCCTTGGTGAGTTGAAGTACTATTTAAATACGCATAGCATCCTAATTCGTGATTTCAGAAAAGAAGTGAATTTAATAGCAGTCTTTGTTAAAACAAGCAGTTTTCTGATATGTATATGGATTTGAGATTGTTGAAGTTACAGATATGAGATCTCTACATAGCATACTTGTATTTTAAAGTTGTCTGCATTCTTAAATCTCTTTTGGCCTTCAAAACAATTCTGTCAAGTATGCAGGGCAAGTGCTATTATCCCATTTGCAGATATAAAAATCTCATTTCCAAGAAGTGAAATGTTTACTCACTAAGCAATTATGATTAATTCCTTCAGGTTTATCATAATGCTATACTAAAAAAAACTCTTACTATTAAGAGGCACTGAAACAATTCTGTCTGAAGAAACAGTACAGAATCAATCTTTTCAGTAACTTTTACCAATTTAACTAACTATATGGTTCACATAGCTAAATATCCATAGTTTTACTGTATTTATTATATATTATATCAATATCATATGTTGATGTCAAAACCCATTATATTTAGAAAATATGTAATATCTCTGATTAAAAATAATTGTTTTAATATCAGGAATTAGTTTTAACATAAAGGAGTAGACATAGTTAGCCACTGCATTATGACAAATAATTACTACAGTCAAAGAACAAATTTGATGTTTTAAAAGAATTTTTAAACAAAGTGAATGAAAAGGAGAAAATAAAAGTTTAATGAGTGAAAAGATAGCAGTTATATCTTTAAACTGGTTTGTAAGGAGTGATTTTGATAATTTTGGATCAGATCAATGACATAGCAAATATTTTGTGTTGGCGATATTAATTTTATCAAATGGATTGGAAAGAAACAATAAACTAATTAGAGGGACATGGCAGTTGTCCACTGGAGAGGAAACAATGGTCTAAACTGCAGTAGAGTTAGAGTCAAAATATGCAAAGGAAAAGGGACAGATGCGAGTTACTAGAAGTAAAATCTAACAACATTTGTCTAATTGAATATGATAAATTAACAAAGAAGAAATGACGAAAGCTATTTAGAAGATAAGAAATTTGAAGAATGATGGCACCATTAAAATAATATAGGCAACCAGAAAAATGGGTAGATTGTAGAATGAAAGACTAGCAAGTTCAGTTAGAATATGCCAAGTTTCAGAGATGAGGTAGAAATATCTTACAAATTACTGAGATGAGGTTAGATTTTTTAAAAAAGTGTTCATTGGAGGTATAGGCTGGAAATAACTGCACTGACATAATAGAAGCAGTGTTAATTACAAATAAATTTGATAATGAAGACATTGTAAAACGGAGGAGAATGCCCCAAGGAGAAAGAGTAAAATGCCTACATTTTACTACATTTCAAAGTTAGATATCTTGCTTAATTCTCTCTCTCTCTCTCCCTCTCTCTTATTCTCTACCCTGCCCTCCTCTCTGCCCGTGTGTGTGTGTGTGTGTGTGTGTGTGTGTGTGTGTGTAAGTCTTGTTTTGTTTCTGTTTTTGTTGTTGTTGGTTTGTTTGTTTTGAGACAGAGACAGAGTTTCACTCTTGTTGCCCAGGCTGGAGTGCAATGGTGCAATCTCGGCTCACTGCAAGCTCCGACTCCCAGGTTCAAGCAATTCTCCTGCCTCAGCCTCCTAAGTAGCTGGGATTACAGTCACCCGCTACCACACCCAGCTAATTTTTATATTTTTAGTTGAGACAGGGTTTCATCATGTTGGCCAGGCTGGTCTTGAACTCCTGACCTCAGGTGATCCACCCGCCTTGGCCTCCCAAAGTGCTGGGAGTACAGGTGTGAGCCACTGTGCCCAGCCATTGTTTATGTTCTCTAAATATTTCTCCATATCCCATATACTTTTAAGAAATTAGTTTTACTCTAGACCTTATTATTTATCACCTAAAACACTGCAATTACTTTCTAATTCATCTCCTTGCATTTATTCTTGCAATCTATTTTCTCCAATTTGGTTAAATGCCCTTTCTTGAAATAAAATGACCTTATCATGTCCTCTTAAAACCATTGAATGCTTTCCCGTCATTTCTATGAAAAAGTCTAAATATCTCAACTTGGTATAAAAGATGTTGCATCACCTAAGGTGCCCTAAATCACCACCTTCCAATTTACGTCTCTTCCATACCAGTCTTCCTTCAACTTTACAAATGTACAATGTCTTAATGCCCAGCTCTTTTCATGACTTTTCTTCCTACATGGAATATTCTTCTCTTTAACTTTTTTCTGAAAAACACATTTTTGCTCTTTCATTTTAGGTATTGATGTAACTGTTACCTCCTAAATGAATTATTCCTTTTTGTTTCCACACCTCTGATGTACTCTCTAACATTTCTTGTGCTTCACTATTTCTGGGAGGTTGACCTTATAACTGCATCACTAGAGGTTTTTTGTGTCTGTGTGTGTTGTGGCTTCCAGTTGCACTCTTCTAATGGGAGACACACACAGATCAGTGGGCAGAAGTAAAGAGACATCAAGGTCAAGGTAGTTCTTTTCTTCCCCCTTCTTTGACACTACTCTCTGGCAGTAGTTACATCTTTCTGTAATAACAATTTCCATCAAGTGGCCAAGTTCTGTGACTCCAATAAGACTATGTTCTCTCCTCTTTCCTTTTAGTCTTAGGAAAGGTGACCATTTTGTAATGTTACTAGTCTCTGAGCATCTCAACATCTCAACATCCTCTGTTTAGTTAACTGTGCACACATTCTATTTGAAATACATTCATTAATGTTTCTCTCTGAGTGAATCTCTACAATACCAATACCTAGTTGATGTTGTAATTGATACGAGGAGTGGTCCCAGAAATTTGGTGACTACCATAAGATTCTGGATCTGTGTTGCTCACATATTTGATGAACATATGATCTCCAGTCAGGGAAAAAGGTAATAATCCTAATTTGCAGCATGCATCGCACCACAATTACCCAGGTTACCATTGGTTGTAGTTCAGGATAGATTAGCAATAGACCATAAATACTTGGGTGATCATGTGGCTCATGTTATTCATTGTTATGGCAACAGAGATGAATAGAAAGAATGTAGGCTGATATCATCAGACAGTACTGGAAAACATAAAACATTATCTTAAGGAACTCATACACCCAATTCAAGAGTAAAGAAGTGAACCTTTAAAAAAAAAAAAAGACTTATATGGGGCCTTAAAAAAATTCTATTTATTCCAATAGCTACAGGCTGACAGGGCTAAGCCTCTGTCCCTGAAACTGACTATCTGTATTTCACAGTTACTATGCCAATGCATAAACTCATCAAGTCTTTTCTTATGCTATGGATAGGAAAGTGATTAGAAGAAGTAGATCCCTGATGAGTTGAGGTAGAGACATTTGAGCACACATTAATGGTTTGAACGGACAAGTCAAATCTTTCTTTGCTTAAATATCTTGCAATGACTTTGGCTGGAGTAGGTATCTCTCAAGGAAATACCACTTTTCCAAAAGACACAAACTCTACACCCCTCACTGCCTGCTGAGTTAAATACTAGCATTTCACAGAGGACGAATTGCAAGATCTTTTCCAAGAGTACGAAGAGTACATACAAATATATCTGCAAGATCTTTCCCTGAAGACTATGTGTTAGAATTGACTCTGTTGTTATTAGATCAAACAAAACAAAATATGATGTTACATAATAACAGATGTTTCAATGTTGGGAAATTTACTTGGAATTTGTTTGTTTACCTGAAACACTTGCAATGCTCTATGAGCTCTCTTGGTTGGTTACTTGAAGCCTGAATTCAGTAGTGGCTTCCCATCAATGAGATAAAGATTCCAGAAATTGTCTTTAATACTGTGAAGGATATGATAATATCAGAGCAGATCTATTGTATGCAACTTTCCCTGACACACAGAGCAGAGAAAATGTACACATCTGGAGGATCTAGAAGATATTCCTACCCAAAGGTAACTAAAAAAAGTTTCTGGCGGAGCACCAGCATTTTCTCTAAAATTCTTTGATGTTACCCCACTGTAACCTGAAAATGCTAATGTGCCATTTAACTGCACTCTTCATCAATGTGAACAATTGGACCAAAAATTATAGAAGCTGGATGTTGGCGTCTACTAATGATCAGAGACAAGATAGCCACAAAAGACCGGAGGGCCAAAGTTGCATTCAAAATATTTTAACCACAGGATCTGTGGCAGTAGTTAATTGATTATTAAGTCCCTGTGAATGAAAGAGATGGGTAGTCATTATGATGTTGGTTCATCTATATATTCAGAGAAAACCATGTTTTTGGAATTGTGTAGTTTTACTGAGTTCCATATCTGAGCCATTTCATGTACCTAGAACCCCTAACTTATAGAGCAAGACTAGTTCATCATGGGTAACACTCTGCAGTGGAGGGTCAAATGCATATTTTAAATCTTCCTCCAAGCCATTACCAGAGGAACCTGTGGACACATACAATAATGTTTGTACATGGCTATGATAGAAATACATAGAACATTCTGGGAGTTATTGAATGGTCAGTCCAAAGTAACATTTGTTCCTATAAAACAGAAACACTACCATGATTCAGTCATCAGTATGGTTAATTACAGAGGTTACATGACAGATGAAATTGTATCCAGAATCCAATTTTCAGTGGATCCAATGGTTATTTCTCTTGTGTCTGAAAGTATAGTTAAAATAAACACATTTGAAGAATAGTAGAAAACGTATATCTGTTCCTTCACCTGTGTAATATAGCTATATCAGTGGGAAGAAGCAAGCTAAATGAAGAATAATCCCCTGAAAGTTGACAATCTTCTACCACTACAATAATAATCTAAACATGTTCCAAATTGGCATGGTCTCTGACACCCAATGTGCATCTATTGTCTCAGCAAATTTCTCTTAAAAATTTTCCAATTAGTTACAACAACCAGAAATTTGTCTTACTTAGCTGGGACAGCCATATGTCTTTACAGTCTTAAATCAAGGTCAGAACAAATCTACTGCATTCTGCCATATATGACCTATGAGAACATTTTAGTGTCCCAGAAAATATCATAATTGAACATTACATTGATGACATTATTTTACTTTGTGAGCTAAAAGTAGCAAGTATCCTATATGGCATAGTAGTGTGACACATTTTAGAGGATGAGAGAAAAACCCCAAAACATATTTAGAGGTCTATCACATTAGTGAAGTTTTAGGGTTCCAATGCTCTTGGAATGTCAAGATGTTTCTCTGAAATGAGTGATAATTTGCAACATCTTGCACTGCTGCAACATATGGTGAGCCTATTTATGTTTGATGTCTGCTATTCTGTCTACTTATTTGGTAAGCAACAAGTCTGTCAGTTTTAACTGGGCCCAATGTAAAATGCATCTCTGTGGCAGTTGTGGGTCTTAGGTCCACCACTAGGATAAGTGTATGCTATGGTTAGCTGCTATCTACAGAAGGAGATACATGTAGAGGATACCTGAATACAACATACAGACTGAAAATTCACCAGTGAGAAGCCACATTTGTTGTAATCTAAAGAGGTGTTAGGATTTTCTGTCACATGTGCTTATCGAAAAAATAGCAGAATAATACAACAGGTTTAGAGGTCTTACTTAAAAGGGAGAAACACTTTTGCCAGGGAGCACATTCATGGGTGCTGAGCATGTTTATAGGCCTTTTGGCTTTTACATCTTCTAGAATCAACAGGCATCAAGATTATTTTACTGGTTGTGGAAATTATTCCCCATTAACAAGGGAAAATTGGGTCATTGCTACACACTGGAAAGTAGGAATGTTGTACCTGGAACCTAGGAAATTCACTCATATGCCTTCTAGAGCTTCTAAGTTCATTAATAATAGTAAATGGAAAAATGGGACAATCCAATAGAGACAGAATGACTTGCTACCCAGACTACGTTAGAGTAATAAATTAGGTCACCTATCTCATGAGGAAACTCTACAAAGTGATAGAGGAAAAGAAGGATACAAAATAAATGATAGTAAAGTTAAAGTTATGAATCTTAATATTGACCCCATAACCAGCAAGCATCAGGGTCTATAGAAATTATACTTATCATTTCTGATTGTTTGCCTCATTTTTTAGGCCAACCAACATGAAGAATAATGGTGATATGTATCATTATCTTTGGGTTCTGCATGAAAATAAAGCAATTCAACATCATCCCTCATTATTTAGTCTGATGGCAGTTATGCCTCACCTGAGTTGTCAGTGAGAATTCCTTCATTTGGTTAAATGGCAAGAATAAATGCTGAGTAGCAAAAGAAGTAATCTATACTCGTTGTATTTCATCCTCTCCCACCCTAATCCATTCATTCTCTGTTTTGTTCTGTACTCCAAGCGGTTGATATCATAATATGTATCGCGTGTGCTCTCTCTAGTTCAGTTTGGTCAATGACAAGCATGGGCAAGAGACTGAAAAGTGGGGAAACAAGAGTTCTAGGTATTTTTCCTCTCAGTACTGCAGGCTGTGACCCTTATGACTGTAGCTCCCAAAGGGCTGAAATTTCATTGCCCCAGTTCCTTCTGAACTTTAGTAGCACTCTTTCTTTCTTTTCTCCTTCAACCTTGGGGATAATAATGACTTGTTTCTGTTGTTAGCCTCTAGATGTCTCTAAAATCGAACTTATCTCTGGAAGCAGTCACCTCACTAACTCTCTTTAAGCTATCTGAGGGGATTTTATCTTATGGCCATGCCGCAAATCATAGACTTTTCTTTGATCACTTCCATCCCTCTAGTATGGGATATGTATTTTTTTGTATACTCGCATGGGCCTCTGGGAAATTCCTGTTATAACCCTATCACATGTTTTGGCATTCTCTGTTATATTGTTTATGTCCAATGTAAGATAAACCTGAAAGAAATATAGAACTTTCCTCTCCTGTTCACAGTTCTGTCTCCAGGCTAGGAAAGTATGTGATATATATAGCAAGTATTTAGAAGATTATTTTTAAATGAATGAATTAATGAAGAAAGAGTCAGAGTTTTTTTTTTAGTTTAGATTCAGGGGTTACAAGTGCATGTTTGTTATATGGGTAATTATGGAGAATGGGCGTCTAGTGTGCCCATCACCCAAATATTGAACACTGTATCTAATAGGTAAAGTTTTAACCCTCAAACCCCAAACCCCTCTTTCTCTCCCTCATTTTGGAAACTTCAGTTTCTGTTATTTCCATCTTTATGTCTATGTGTATCCATCGTTTAGTTCACACTTATAAGTGAGAACATGCAATATTTGATTTTCAGTTTGAGTTAGGTCACTTAGGATAATGGCTTTTAGTTTCATCCATGTTGCTGCAGAGGACATGATTTCATTCTTTTTTTATAGCTGCATTGTATTCTATGGTGTATATAAACCATATTTTCTTTGTCCATCAACCACTGATGAACACTTAGTTGGTTCCATAACTGCTGTTGTGAATAGTGCTGTAATAAACATGCAAGGGCAGGTGGCTTTTTCACGTAATGATTTATTTTCCTATTTTTTATTGTACTTTAAGTTCTGGGATACATGTGCAGAACGTGCAGGTTTGTTACATAGGTATACACGTACCATGATGGTTTGCTGCACCCATCAACCCGTCTCCTATATTAGATATTTCTCCTAATGCTATCCCTCTCCTAGCTCCCCACCCCACAACAGGCCCCGGTGTGTGATGTTCCCCTCTCTGTGTCCATGTGTTCTCATTGTTCAACTCCCACCTATGAGTGAGAACATGTGGTGTTTGCTTTTCTGTTCCTGTGTTGGTTTGCTGAGAATGATGGTTTACAGCTACATTCATGTCCCTGGAAAGGACATGAACTCATCCTTTTTAAGGCTGCATAGTATTCCACGGTGTATATGTGCCACATTTTATTTATCCAGTTTATCATTAATGGGCTTTTGGTTTGGTTCCAAGTCTTTGCTATTGTAAATAGTGCTTCAATAAAGATATGTGTGCATGTGTGCATGTGTCTTTATAGTAGAATAATTTATAACCCTTTGGATATATACCCAGTAATGGGATGGCTGGGTCAAATGGTTTTCTGGTGCTAGATCCTGAAGAAATCGCCACACTGTCTTCCACAATGGTTGAACAAATTTACACTCCCATCAACAGTGTAAAAGTGTTCCTATTTCTCCACATCCTCTCCAGAATCTGTTATTTCCTGACTTTTTTTTTTTTTTTTTTTTTTTTTTTTGGCGGGGGCGGATGGAGCCTCGCTCTTTCACCCAGGCTGGAGTGCAGTGGCGCGATCTCGGCTCACTGCAACTTCCGCCTCTCTGGTTCAAGCGATTCTCCTGCTTCAGTCTCCCGAGTAGCTGGGACTACAGGCGCACGCCGCAGTCCCAGCCGGGCGCACGCCCGGCTAATTTTTTGTATTTTTAGTAGAGACGGGGTTTCACCATATTGCCCAGGCTGGTCTCGAACTCCTGAGCTCAGGCAATCTGCCTGCCTCGGCCTCCCAGAGTGCTAGGATTACAGACGTGAGCCACTGCGCCTGGCCTTCCTGACTTTTTAATGATCGCCATTCTAACTGGTGTGAGATGGAATCTCATTGTGATTTTCATTTGTATTTCTGTAATGACCAGTGATGATGAGCTTTTCTTCATATGTTTGTTGGCCACAAAAATGTCTTTTTTTTGAGAAGCATCCATTCATATCCTCCACCTACTTTTTGATGGGGTTGTTTTTTTCTTTTAAATGTGTTTAAGTTCCTTGTAGATTCTGAATATTAGCCGTTTGTCAGATGGATAGATTGCAAAAATTTTCTCCCATTCTATAGGTTGCCTGTTCACTCTGATGATACTTTCTTTTGCTGTGCAGAAGCTCTTTAGGTAATTAGATCCCATTTTGTCAATTTTGGCTTTTGTTGCCATTGCTTTTGGTGTTTTAGTCATGAAGTCTCTGTCCATGCCTACGTCCTGAATGGTACTGCCCAAGATTTTTTTTCTGGGGTTTCTATGGTTTGAGGACTTCTGTTTAAGTCTTTAGTCCATCTTGAGTTAATTTTCATATAAGGTGTAAGGAAGGGGTTCAGTTTCAGTATTCTGCATATGGCCAGCCAGTTCTCCCAACACCATTTATTAAAAAGGGAATCCTTTCCCCATTGCTTGTTTTCATCAGGTTCGTCAAAGAGCAGATGGTTGTAGATGTGTAGTGTTATTTCTGAAGCCTCTGCTCTGTTCCATTGGTCTATATATCTGTTTTGGTACCAGTGCCATGCTGTTTTGGTTACTCTAGCCTTGTAGTATAGTTTGAAGTCAGGTAGCGTGGTGCCTCCGGCTTTGCTCTTTTTGCATAGGATTTTCTTGGCAATGCGGGCTCTTTTTTGGTTCCATATGAAAGTTAAAGTAGGTTCTTCTAATCCTGTAAAGAAAGTCAATGGTAGCTTGATGGGGATAGCATTAAATCTATAAATTACTTTGAGCAGTATGGCCATTTTCACAATAATGATTCTTTCTATGTGTAAGCATGGAATGTTTTTCCATTTGTTTGTGTCCTCTCTTATTTCCTTGAGCAGTGGTTTGTAGTTCTCCTTGAAGAGGTCCTTCACATCCTTTGTAAGTTGTATTCTTAGGTATTGAGAATGGGAGTTCACTCATCATTTGGCTCTCTGTTTCTCTATTATTGGTGTATAGGAATGCTTGTGATTTTTGCACATTGATTTTGTATCCTGAGACTTTGCTGAAGTTGTTTAATCAGCTTAAGGAGATTTTGGGCTGAGATGATGGGGTTTTCTAAATATACAATCATGTCAACTGCAAACAGAGACAATTTGACATTCTCTCTTCCTATTTGACTATGCTTTATTTCTTTCTCTTGTCTGATTGCCCTGGCCAGAACTTCCAGTAGTACGTTGAATAGGAGTGGTGAGAAAGGGCAGCCTTGTCTTGTGCTGGTTTTCAAATGGAATGCTTCCAGCTTTTGCCCATTCAGTATGATATTGGCTGTGGGTTTGTCATTAATAGCTCTTATTATTTTCAGATATGTTCCATCAATACCTAGTTTATTCAGAGTTTCTAGCATGAAGGGGTGTTGAATTTTATCGAATAGCTTTTCTGCATTCATTGAGATAATCATGTGGTTTTGTCATTGGTTCTGTTTGTGTGATGGATTATATTTATTGATTTGCATATGTTGAACCAGCCTTGCATCCCATGGATGAAGCCAACTTGCTCGTGATGGATAAGCTTTTTGATGTGCTGCTGGATTCTGTTTGCCACTATTTTATTGAGGATTTTTGATCAATGTTCATCATGGATATTGGCCTGACATTTTCTTTTTTTGTTGTGTCTCTGCCAGGTTTTGGCATCAGGATGATGCTGGCCTCAAAAAATGAGTTAGGGAGGAGTCCCTCTTTTTCTATTGATTGGAATAGTTTCAGAAGGAATGGTACCAGCCCCTCTGTGAACCTCTGGAAAAATTCAGATTTGAATCCGTCTGTTCCTGAGCTTTTTTTGGTTGGTAGGCTATTAATTACTGCCTCAATTTCAGAACTTGTTATTCGTCTATTCAGGGATTCGTCTTCTTCCTGGTTTAGCCTTGGGAGGGTGTATGTGCTCAGGAATTTGTCCATTTCTTCTAGATTTTCCTAGCTTATTTGCATAGAGGTGTTTATAGTATTCTCTATGATACTATAGATATATTTGATATCTTGTGATAGTTTGTATTTCTGTGCGATGAGTGGTGATATCCCCTTTATCATTTTTTATTGTGTCTATTTGATTCTTCTCTCTTTTCTTCTCTATTAGTCTGGCTACTGTTCTATTTTGTTAATGTTTTCAAAAAAAAAAACTCCTGGATTCATTGATTTTTTGAAGGGATTTTTGTGTCTCTATCTCTTTCAGTTCTGCTCTGATCTTAATTATTTTCTGTCTTCTGCCAGCTATTGAATTTGTTTGCTCTTGCTTCTCTAATTCTTTTAATTGTGATGTCAGGGTGTCGATTTTGGATGTTTCTCACTTTTTCCTGTGGACATTTAGTGCTATAAATTTCCCTCTAACCACTGCTTTAGCTGTGTCCCAGATGTTCTAGTGCATTGTGTCTTTGTTCTCCCTAGTTTCAAAGAATTTATTTTATTTCTGCCTTAATTTTTTTATTTACTCAGTAGTAATTCAGGAGCCAGTTATTCAGTTTCCATGTAATTGTGCAGTTTTGAGTGAGTTTCTTAATACTGAGTTCTAACTTGATTGCACTGTGGTCTGAGAGACTGTTTGTTATGATTTCCATTCTTTTGCATTTGCTAAGGATTGTTTTACTTCCAATATGTGGTCAATTTTAGAATATGTGTAATGTGGTGCTGAGAAGAATGTATATTCTGTTGATTTGGGGTGGAGAGTTCTGCAGATGTCTATTAGGTCCACTTCACCCAGAGCTGAGTTCAAGTCCTGAATATCTTTCTTAATTTTCTGTCTCATTTATCTGTCTAATATTGACAGTGGGGTGTTAAAGTCTCCCATTATTATTGTGTGGGAGTCTAGGTCTCATTGTAGGTCTTTAAGAACTTGCTTTATGAATCTGGGTGCTCCTGTATTGGGTGCATGTATATTTAGGATAGTTAGCTCTCCTTGGTGCATTGATCCCTTTACCACTATGTAATGCCTTTCTTTGTCTTTTTTGATCTTTGTTGGTTTAAAATCTATTTTATCAGAGACTAGGATTGCAACCCCTGCTTTTTTATTTTTGCCTTCCATTTGCTTGGTAAGTGTTCCTCCATTCCTTTATTTTGAGCCTATGTGTGTCTTCGCACGTGAGATATGTCTCCTGAATACAGTACACCGATGGATCTTGACTCTTTATCCAATTTGCCAGTCTGTGTCTTTTAATTGGGGCATTTAGCCCATTTACATTTGAGGTTAATATTGTTATGTGTGAATTTGATCCTGTTATGATGATGTTAGCTGGTTATTTTGCCCATTAGTTTTTGCAGTTTCTTTGTAGTGTCATGATCTTTACTATTTGGTATGTTTTCGCAGTGGCTGGTACTGGTTTTTGCTTTCCATATTTAATGCTTCTTTCAGGAGCTCTTATAAGGCAGGCCTGGTGGTGACAAAATCTCTCAGCATTTCCTTCTCTGTAAAGGATTTTATTTCTCCTTTGCTTATGAAGCACAGTTTGGCTAGATATGAAATTCTGGGTTGAAAATTCTTTTCTTTAAGAATGTTGAATATTGGTCCCCACTCTCTTCTGGCTTGTAGGGTTTCTGCAGAGAGATTCACTGTTAGTCTAATGGGCTTCCCTTTGTGAGTAACCCAACATTTCTCTCTGGCTGCCCTTAACATTTTTTCCTTTGTTTCAACATTGGTGAATTTGACGATTATGCGTCTTGGGGTTGATCTTCTCAAGGAGTATCTTTGTGTTGTTCTCTGTATTTCCTGAATTTGAATTTTGGCCTGTCTTGCTAGGCCGGGGAAGTTCTCCTGGATAATATCCTGAAGAGTGTTTTCCAACTAGGTTGCATTCTCTCCGTCACTTTCAGGTACACCAATCAAACACAGATTTGGTCTTTGCACATAGTCCCATATTTTTTGGAGGCTTGTTCATTTCTTTTCATTCTTTTTTCTCTAATCTTGTCTTCACGGTTTATTTTACTGAGTTTATCTTCAACCTCTGATATCCTGTCTTTCACTTGATCGATTCAGCTGTTGGTAAGTGCATATGCTTCATGAAGTTCTTGTGCTGTTTTTTCAGCTCTATCAGGTCATTTATGTTCTTCTCTAAACTGGTTATTCTAGTTAGCAACTCCTCTAATCTTTTCTCAAGGTTCTTAGCTTCCTTGCATTGGGTTGGAACATGCTCCTTTAGCTCAGAGGAGTTTGCTATTACCCACCTTCTGAAGCCTACTTCTGTCAATTCATCAAACTCATTCTCCCTCCAGTTTTGTTCCCTTGCTGGCGAGGAGTTGTGATACTTCGGAGGAGAAGAGGCATTCTGGTTTTTGGAATTTTCAGCCTTTTTGCGCTAGTTTTTCCTCATCTTCATGGATTTATCTACCTTTGGTCTTTGATGTCGGTGACCTTCAGGTGGGGTTTTTGAGTGGATGTCCCTTTTGTTGATGTTGATGCTATTCCTCTTTGTTTGTTAGTTTTCCTTCTAATAGGCCCCTCTGCTGCAGGTCTGCTGGAGTTTGCTGGAGGTCCACTCCAGACCCTATTTGCCTGGGTATCACCAGCGGAGACTGCAAAACAGCAAAGATTGCTACCTGTTCCTTCTTCTAGTAGCTTTATCCCAAAAGGGCACCCACTAGATGCCAGCCAGAGCTCTCCTGTATGAGGTGTCTATTGACCCCTACTGGGCAGTGTCTCTGAGTCAGGAGGCACAGGGGTCAGGGACCCACTTGAAGAGGCAGTCTGTCCCTTAGCAGAGCTCAAAGGCTGTGCTGAGAGATCTGCTGCTCTCTTCAGGGCCGGCAAGCAGGAACATTTAAGTTTGTTGAAGCTGTACCCACAGTCACCCCTTCCCCCAGGTGCTCTGTCCCCGGGAGATGGGAGTTTTAACTCTAAGCCCCTGACTGGGGCTGCTTCCCTGCCCAGAGAGGAGGAATCTAGAGAGACAGTCTGGCTACAATGGCTGTGCAGTGCTGAGGTGGGCTCCACCCAGTTTGAACTTCCCAGTGGCTTTGTTTACACTGAGGGGAAAACCACATACTCAAGCCTCAGTAATGGCAGACGCCCTTCTCCCCACCAAGCTTCAGTGTCCCAGGTCGACTACAGACTGCTGTGCTGGCAGTAAGAATTTTAAGCCAGTGGATCTTAGCTTGCTGGGCTCCATGGGGGTGGGATCTGCTGAGCAAGATCACTTGGTTCCCTGGCTTCAGCCCCCTTTCCAGGGGAGTGAATGGTTCTGTCTCACTGGTGTTCCAGGCACCACTGGGGTATGGAAAAAAACTCCTGCAGCTAGCTCGGTGTCTGGCCAAATGGCCACACAGTTTTGTGCTTGGAACCCAGGGCCCTGGTGGTATAGGCACCCGAGGGAATCTCCTGGTCTGCGGGTTGTGAAGACCATGGGAAAAGCATAGTATCTGGGCTGGAATGCACTTTTCCTCATGGCAAAGTCTCTCACAGCTTCCCTTGACTGTGGACATTTAGTGCTATAAATTTCCCTCTAACCACTGCTTGTGGTTACTGACCACTGACTAGGGGAAGGAGTTCCCCAAACACTTATGCTTCCTGGGTGAGGCAACGACCCCACCCTGCTTTGGCTCACCCACTGAGGGCTGCACCCACTGTCTAACCAGTCCTTATGAGATGAGCCGGGTACCTCAGTTGGAAATGCAGAAATCACCCACTTTCTGCATTGATCTCGTTGGGAGCTGCAGACTGGAGCTGTTCCTAGTCGGCCATCTTGCCATCCACCCTCCTTATTTTCCTTTCAATTGACACCCAGCAGTGATATTTCTGGCTTAAATTGTAGTTCTATTTTCAGCAGTTTGAAATATCTCCATACTGTTTTCACAAGAGGTTGAACTAATTTACATTCCCACCAACAGTGTATAAGCATTCTTTTTTCTCTACATTCATGACAACATCTATTGTTTTTTGACTTTTTAATAATGGCCACTCTGACTGCTATAAAATGATATCTCAGTGTGACTTAAATTTGCATTTCTCTCATGATTACTGATGATGAGCATTTTTTTCATATGTATGTATGTTAGTCGTCTTCTGAGAAGTATCTTGTCGTGTCCTTTGCCCAATTTTTAATGAAGTTATTTGCTTTTTCCTGGTGAGTTGTTTGAGTTTCTTGTAGATTCTAAATATTAGTCCTTTGCCAAGAGGCCTAATTTGCAAATATTTTCTCTCAGTCTGTAGGTTGTCTTTTTTCACTTTTGATTATTTCTTTTGCTGTGGAGAAGCTCTTTTGTTTAATTGAGTCCCATTTGCCTATTTTTTATGGTTTTTAATTTGCTTTTGGTGTCTTTGTCATAAATTATTTGCCCAAGACAATGTATGGAAGAGTTTTTTCTAGGTTTTCTTCTAGAATTTTATAGTTTCAGTTCTTACATTTAGTTCTTTAATCAATCTTGAGGTAATTTTTGTATATGATGAGAGATACAGGTCAAGTTTCATTCTTCTGCATATGATTATCCAATTTTCCCATTATAATTTGTCAGATAGGGTGTCCTTTCCTCATTGTTAATTTTTGTTGACTTTGTTGAAGATCAGTTTGTTATAGGTACGTGGTCTTATTTCTGAGTTCTCTACTCTGTTCCATTGATCCATGTTTCTATTTTTATACCAGTTACCATGCTGTTTTAGTTAATATAACCTCATAGTATAATTTGAAGTAAGGCAATGTGATACCTCCAGATTTGTTCTTTTTGCATAGGATTGCTTTGACTAGTCAGGCTTTTTTTGTGGCAAATGAACTTTAGGATTATTTTTTCCAATTATGTGAAAAATGACACTGGTAATTTAATAGGATTTGTGTTAAATCTGTAGCTTGCTTTGAGCAATATGGTTATTTTAACAGTACTGATTCTTCCAATCCATTAGCATGTGATGTTTTTTCATTTGTTTGTGTCATCTCTGATTTCTTTCATCAGTGTTTCATAGTTCTCCTCATAGAGATCTTTTATCTCCTTGATTAAATGTATTCCTTGGTATTTTATTTTCACTGTGGCTACTGTAAATGGGATAAAGTTCTTTATTTGGTGTATAGTAATGATACTGATTTTGTACATTGATTTTGTATCCTGAAACTTTACTGAAGTTGTTTATAAAGTAGAGGAGTCTTTTGGAGGAGTGTTTAGGGTTTCTAGGTATATAATAATGTTATCAGCAAACAGACATCATTTGACTTCCTCTTTTCCAAGTTGAATGTCTTTAATTTCTTTCTCTTGCCTAGTTGTTCTGGTGAGTACTTATAGTACTATGCAGAATAGGAGTGATGAGAATGGACACTATTATCTTGTTCCAGTTCACAGGAGGAAGGCTTTCAGTTTTTGCTCATTCAGTATGATATTGACTATGGGTTTGTCAGTCATGGCTGCTATTATTTTGAAGGATATTCCATTGATGCATAGTTTGTTGAGGGCTTTTATAATGAAGAAATATTGAATTTTATTGAATGCTTCTTCTGCATCTATTGAGATGATCATATGGTTTTTGTTCTTAGTTCTGTTTACATGGTGAATCCTGTTTATTGATTCATTTATGTTGAAATATCCTTGCATCTCCACACTAAAGAAAACCCACTTGATCATGATGAATTATCTTTTTGATGTGCTATTGGATTTGATTTGCTAATATTTTGTTGAGCAACTTTGTATCTATGATCATTGGGATATTGGCTGCTTCTTTTCTCCTTTTTTAATGTTTTTGAATGATTTTCATATCAGAGTAATATAAGATTCATAGAATGAGTTAAGGAGGAATGCCTGGTCCTCAATTTTTTGGAATAATTTTAGTACATGGATACCAGCTTGTTGTTGTACATCTGGTGGAATTCAGCTGTGAATCTGTCTGGTTCCGAGATTTCTTTGTTGTTGCTGGAAGCTTTTTTACTACTAATTTGATTTTATTACACATTATTGGTCTATTCAGAATTTCTATTTCTTTCTGGTTCAATCTTGGGAGGCTGTATATATCCAGAATTTTATTAATTTTCTCTAGGTTTTCTAGTTTGTACATATAGAGGTGTTCATAGTAGACTCTGATAATACTATAAATTACTGTTGTGTCAGCTGTTATGTCACCTTCATCATTTCTGATTGTACTTATTTGAATTGTCTTTTTCTTTTGATTAATCTTGCTGGTGGTCTGTCAACTGTGTTTATCCTTTTTGGAGAAACAACTTTTTGTTTTATTGATCCTTTGTGGCTTTTCATCTCAATCTCCTTTAGTTCTGCTATATTTGTTATCTCTTTTCTTTTGCTAGCTTTGGACTTGGTTTATTTTTGTTTTTGTATGTCTTTGAGACGTGACATTAGATGGTTAACTTGAGACTTTTGTATCTTCTTTATGTAGACATTTAATGCTATAAACTTCTTTTAGCATTGTTTTTGCTGTATTCCAGTGGTTTGGTATACTGTGTCTCTACTTTCATTAGTTTTAAATAATTTTTTAATTCTTTTCTCATATTATTTGAGTTGGTGAAAAAATAGTATTTTAAATCCTGCCTTAATTTTATTGTTTAATTATCAGTCATTCTGGAGCAAGTTGTTTAGTTTCCATGTATCAGTGTAGTTTTTAGAGTTCCTCTTGGTATTGATTTCTAATTTTATTCCATTGTGGTCCAAGAAGATACTTAATATGATTTTTATCTTGTAAAATGTATTCAGACTTGCTTTATAGCCACATATATGGTCAAATTTGAAGAATATTCAATCAACATATGAGAAGAATCTATATTTTGCAATTGTTGAGTAGAAAGTTCTGTAAATGTCTATGAGCTCCATTTGGTCTAAATTCCAATTTATGTCAAGGTTTTTTGTTTGTTTATTCTCTGCCTCAGTCATCTTTGTAGTAATATTAGTGGAATATTAAAGTTCCCTACTATTATTGTATTTCCATCAGTCTGTTTTCTAGGTCTAGCAGTATTTTTTTTTTTTTTATGAATCTGGGTGCTTCAGTGATGAGTGCATATATATATATATGATAGTTAAATCTTCTTCTTGTATTAAGAGGCTTATTATTATATATTGTTCTTTTTCTGTTCTTACTGTTGTTTAAGGTTTGTTTATATGATAATGGCTACCTCTCTTCTCTTCTGTTTTTCAATTGTGTAATGTATCATTTTGGACTCTTTTGAGTGTGAGGTGTTATTAGCCAATAGATGTGTCTCTGTAGGCAACTGGTGGTTGGGTATTATTTGAATCAAATTTTCCACTGTGTATCTTTCAAGTGGATCATTTAGGCCAGGGATGCCCAATCATTTGGCTTCCCTTGGCCAAAATGGAAGAAAAATAGTTGTCTTAGGCCACACATTAAAATATACTAACACTAATGATAGCTGATGACCTAAAAATTGCAAAAAAAAAAAAAAAAAAAAAATCTCGTGTTTTAAAAAAGTTTACAAATTTGTGTTAGGCTGCAGGTTAAACAAGCTTGATTTGGGCCATCTCTATTCAAGGTTAATATTGTTATGTGGGGTTTAGTTCCTGTTACATTGTTGTTAGCTAGGTGTTTTGGAGTGTTAATTGGGTAATTGCTTTATAAGATCTAAGAGTTTTGTACTTAATGTGTCCTTTTATGATGATGAGCATCATCCTTCAATTTCCATTGTTGAACTTCTTTAATCATTTCTTGTAGGTTCAGTCTATTGGTGACAAATTCCGTCAGAATTTACTTGTCTGGAAAATACTTGATTTCTCCTTCATTTATGCAGCTTATTTTGGCACGATATGAACTTCTTGGCCAGCATCTTTTTTTCTTAACGGAGGATAAAAATAGGCCCTCAATCTTTCCTGGCTTGTATGTTTTCTGCTGAAAAGTTTGTTGTTTGATGAGTTTTTTTCTTTAGTGATTTAACCCTTTTCTTCAGCTGCCTTTCAGATTTTTATTTTTATTTGTTTTGCATTTACCTTGGACGGTCTGGTGACTGTATACTTTGATGATGTTCATCTTGTATAGTGTGAAATTATAGTTAATTATTCTCTCAAATATGTTTTCCAGGTTGCTTGTTTTTTCTTCTTCTTTCTCTGGAATGCCTGTAAGTTGTAGGTTTTATCATTTTACATAGTAAATCTCATATTTCTCAAAGGCTTTGTGCATTTTTTTAAAAATTCTTTTTTCTTTATTTTTGTCTGACTGGATTAATTCAAAAGACCAGCTTTCGAGCTCTGAAATTCTTTCTCTTTTTTTTGGTCCAGTCTATTATGCTGTATTTTGAAATTCCTTAAGTAATTATTTATTTCCGAAAGTCTTTTTTTCCCCTAAGATACATACCTCTTCCCTCTTCCTTTATTTCCTGGGTTGCTTTTGTGTTGATTTTCAACCTTCCCTTGGATCTCATTGAGCTTCATTGCAATCCATACTTTTAATTCTTCATATGCTATTTCTGAGTTCTCATTTTGGTCCTTTGCTAAAGAGCTAGTGTGATCCTTTGGTGATTTCACAACATTCAGATTTGTCAAGGTACCTGCATTTTTATGTTTCCTGAACATCTGGAGAAACTGACACTTCTTATTTTGAATTTATTTTCATTCATATGGGATTTTCTTTTCTCTGTTATTTCCCACCTTGAGACTGTGACTGTAGAATATGTTGGGTAGGGCCTTTTGGTTTTGCTTCTATAGCCCTGTACACTTTTGTTGGGAGGTTTTATATTGGTCAGTGCAGTGTAGTCTGAAGGCCAGTGTGTAGTGCTTATGGATATGAACCAGCTGTGGCACAAGAAGATGGCTGTGTACTTGATCTTTGTTTACTGTGAGGCATTCTCTGTTTCAAATGATGGGCTGGACAATGGAGTGCTTGTTGACCTGAGCTTCCTATTCAGCAAAGAAGTATGGGAGACAGCTGGGCAGTGCTGGACCCCGTGACTTCCCTATTAATACCCCAGTGATGAGAACAGACACCAACCCTGATGGGGGTGACTAGGGGATCTCCTAATGAAATGCACCACGTTCTCTGAGGGAGTGAGGGGGCTGAACCAGCTCCATGTCCTAGATAGTCAGGAACACAATTTATTTCTCTATCACATCTCTGTTCTGGGGCTCATGACTCTCAGTCCATGTGCAATTATTTTCTGTCTCAAGGCCATAGTGTAGCTGAGAGCCATGGAAAGCACCTGTCCCATGGCTTTCCATACGAGTGATTCTGAGGAAGAACCCCTTTACTCAGGGCAACACATATAACTTTATGGCTCACCTATTTTCTAATGTGGTAATGCTACTGCTTTGTTTAGAGAGGGGAAGGGCTCTGCTGTTTGGCTCATGCAGGTGTGTGTCAGATGTCATGGTGTTAGCTGGTGAAGTTGGCCCGATCTCAGTACTCAGGGGAGCAGGCTGGTGCCAGCAGTGTTGACTAGGCTAGATAATTCCCCAGTCCCAGGCCCCAGATGGCCCACTGGATGGGATGTGAGTTCTGAAGGGGCTGGAACAGGATTGAGCCAGCACAGCGTTCAGGTTCTGGTTGTGATGGAGAGGGGCAGGGTGGTCATCCCTGGGTCACCAGCAGAACTCTCAAGTTGGGGTAAGCAGAGCACTCAGGCAGTGGGAACCCAAAGGCAGATCACAGGCCTGGGATCTCTGATAGGTTCCAGGCTGCAGCCGAAATAGTCTGGTGGGAGCCATGTGACTGTGAGTCTTTTACAAGCGAGGGCAGGCCTTCTCAGCCGGGGCAATGGAGAGTGGCAGCTGTGAGGCGTGTGGTCTGCTCACATTCCCCTCCCACAGAAGTGGTGCTTGATTTCACTGTTGGGGACATGTAAAAGTGTCCAGCCTTTCTGCTCCTTCCTTGACCTGGGGCTAGCAGGGGGGAAGGCAGCAGTGGTGATGACAACTAATACAGCAGGTAGAGCAGAAACACTTATTGGTGGTCTCTAAAGGTTGGGCTCTTAGAGGTACTCTGTGTTCAGGCAGGGGTAGGGAGGCTCCAAGGTGCCTGTCATTGATGCAAGCAAGTCCATTTGGTGGGGAGCAGTGGAGGCAAGGAGTCATGTGGTATTTAGTTTGCCTGCTCCTCTATTTGGAGGTTGTGGTATCTCTCTTGGGGGGTGTATGAAAGTGCCCAGCCTCTCTGCTCCCTACCTGGGCCACGGACAGCAGGAGTGGGTGCGCAGCAACTGTTGTGAGAGTGGAAAGACTCTAAGGCTCTTAGGTAACCTCTGGGAGTTGGTACCATAGATGAATGCTGAACTGAAACTATAGTAGAACCACAGAATTCAAAGGATTCCTCCAGGCTTTCAGGGGTAAATTACAATTTGGTCTCCTAAGGACTCAAAGCAAGAAAAGTAAATGAAAATAAATGAAAAAGAGAATAAAACAATGACAAGATTATGTATACGTCTCAGCTAAAAAGAGATAAATAGAATAAGTGCATGAACAAGGGAGGTCACCTCTTTAAACAAGTTTATTTCAACATATTTTATTCTTTTGGTTTCTGTTGGGATTAGAATTCTTTTATTATTCCTCTTCAGGTAGTTCATTGCTTGTGTATAGAAAGAAGACTGAATTCTGTACTCTGCAAATTTATTGAATTTATTTGTTCTAACAGATTTTTGTTTAGTCTTCAGGGTTTTCTACATATAAGACCACGTCATTTGCATGCAGAGATAATTTTTGCTTCTTCTCTTCTGATTTGGAAGCCTTTGTTTTTTATTTTTTGTCTAATTGCTCTGAATATGACTTCTAGTATTATGTTGAAGGCAAGTGGCAAGGGTGATCATCCTTACCTTGTACCAGATTGTAAAGAAAAAGCTTTTTGTTTTTCCTCATTGATTGTAATGTAAGCTGTAGGCTGTTCATAGATGGCCTTTTTTATATTGAAGTAACTAACTTCAATGCCTATCTTGCTGACACTTTTTATTATAAATGAATGCAGAATTATCTCAACTGTTTTTCTTCATCAATTAAGGGCACTGAAAATTATAAAACATTGATGAGAGAAATTAAAGAAGAATCAGATGAATAAAAATATATCCATGTTCCTGAATGGAAAGACTTAATATTGTTGAAATGTCCAGAATACTCAAAGTGATCCACAGTTTTAATACAGTCCCTATAAAAATCCCTGTGGCATTCTTTACAAAAAGTAGGAAAAAAATTCTAAAAGTAATATGGATCTAAAAAAGACCCTGAATAGCCAAATCAATTTTGAGCAAGAAGAACAAAGCTGAAGGCATCACCTTTCCTGATTTCAAAACATATTACAAAGCTACGATAATAAAATTAATATGGTACTGGTATGAAAACAAATATAGATAAATAGAAACAAAATAGCCTAGAAATAAATCCACATATCTATAGTCAACTGATCTTTGACAAAGGTGCAACCTGCCCTAACAGGAAATGAAAGGGAGTTGAACATGGGTGTTTACATTGTGACTTTCACAGGTTACTTCTTTTACCTGGAAGACAGTCTAATGTCTAGTTGTCCAACCCAAAACCAGGGGTACCCTCACATGGAAAACTTGTTTATGCTGGCAGATGCACTCGTAGCTCTTGTCTGACCCATGGCCCACTGGACTATTGCTCTGGTTATGGGAACCTGGCCTTATGTTTTCCTGGTGTCCTGGAGAAACCACCCTATAGCAGCCTCTCATTCTTCAGATGGAAGCCACACATTCAATACACCACAACAGAAAACACGTTCAAAGATTTTTACCTACAGAAAATGAGCAAGGAGTATATAATGAGTAGGGAGGTCATACAAAACAGCAACAAAGAATCAGGCAGACAGAGAGAGAAAGGGAGAGAGAGAACATGGCAACTAACAGTATATATAAGGGAGTAAGATGTGGGCCAGTTTAAGTTCACAGGCAAATATCTGAATTGTTCCTCTAAAAAAGCTGCAGGAAAGCAGGGAGTTCAGTCTTGGTGGAAGAGCTACCTCTAAATTATTATCTCTGGACACCAGCTTGAATCATTTAGGTGTGGAATAAAACGGTAAACTGTGTCAAGGATGACTGAATCTTACTTCGGGTATGAGAAAGTTAAACTTGTATTCAAAATGGATACCAAAGCAACACGAAATTATGAGAATGTACTACAGAGGCTTACAGGTGAAAATTTTCAAGGAGAGATAGAATTGTTTTGATAAATGGTTGAAGTAGAATAAAGATTGAAATACTTGAAGTTATGAAGTGTTTAAGATACAAACAATTAGGCCAAGGTATCAAAAACGTATCAACTTTGCTATAGGGGTTTTGCGAGGAATAATAACAAGACTAATAAGTCCATTTATTAAATACCTACTCTCCATGCCAGCCTTTAGACCACGTGCTTTGGGTAACTCCTGTAATCTTTTTAAGTTCACTATAAATAGTTAACTACTTGTTGGAAAGAACAGCAAAGTCACATTGCAAAGAACATCAACATAAAGGCAATTGATCACAGCCATCAATGCAAATACTCGATCATAGTATATTAGGTAATTATCACAGTTAAAATTCAATCCTGATCAGCCTGGCCTTAATACCAATTTGCATTCTCTCTCATTATTGGTAATGAATGAGTGAAGAGGATGACTGTTACTCAAGATTTGAATCACCAACAATAGGATAGTAGCCTATCTGTTGATGAACCACAGCAATGGTTATTGGGGAAGGGTAGTATAAGCAAATGACGTGGACTTCAGTAGAGAATATAAAACACCGACTCTTATATTTCCCAGTAACAAGAAATATATGACAAAAAAGCCACACTTTCTGGGAATTCGTGCCTCCAAAGTGGACAACAAGGTCAAGGAAAAGACAAGTTTAAGTGAAAGAATGGAAATGTAAGGTAAATGCTGAGAATTTGGTCGTGAAATTTTGTTCTCAGTCTGAAAATCATAGAACTCATGGAGGGATGAACAAAGGAAATGGACTGACATTAATGAAGAATGGAAACAGTATAAGCATTCTATTCAAACAATATATAGATGATAAAATTGCGTTCAAATGGACCATCCAAATATAAATAAAATATGAAAAGGGACATAGGAACTAAAGGGTGAATGAATGGAAGAGGAAATATGAGTAACAAAATCTTGGACAAATAGTAATTGAACAGTCAAAGAAATCAAAGAAACAATTTGATCTATTTGTTGAACACCAGAAATGTAATTGTGTAGAGTTACAAATAGTTCAATATAAAACACCAACAACAAACCCACAGTGAGGGGAGAATCAGAAGAATACTTAAGTTCTTGAACTCTACTTGAAGTGGTACAATATTATTGAAGATAGATTGTGATACCTTAAAGATGTATACTGGAAACTCAGAATAAATCAATAATAAAATAAGAATTATAGCTAATAAACCAACAAAGAAATAAAATGGAATTCTAAAAAAATGTTTAGTTAATGGAAAATACAGAAAAAGAAAAAAAAAGAAACAAAAAGGAAAAGGGATATATTAAAAACTAATGGAAGATGATAGGTACAAATCCAACCATCTGTAAAAGATTAAATACAAATAAAATGCAGATATGAACTAAAAGGCAAAGATTGTCAGATTAGGTTTTTAGGAAATAAGCCTGAAATAAAATCTCGTTACTAAAATCACATAATAAATGTAAAGGCATGAGTAGGTTAAAACAGAGGGGGAAAAGTTATATTATATTAACACTAATGAAAGAAGAATGGACAGGACATATGAATATTGAACCAGTAGATTTTAAAGCACAAGATATTACCAGAATTTTTGAAACGTTATTTCATAATATTGAGGTCAGTTAAAAATAACAATCCTAGATATGAATGCACTAATAACACAGCTTAACATACATGAAATGAAAACTGAGAGAAACAGAAGGGGAAATAGACATATCCACAATTATTCCCACAGATTTTCCATCAATAATTGATATAAAAGAAGATATAAAATCAAAACATATAGAAAATATGAGCATCACTACTTACCAACTTAATCTACACAACATTCATAAAATACTGCAACCAACTGAAGCAAAAAAAATGACAAAAATATTTGCCAAGACAGACCATATTTTGGCTCACCAAATTAGTATCTACAAGTTTGAATAGTTTCAAATCATGCACTGTATGTTCTCTGACCACAATGGAATTAAATTATAAATCAACAGCTGAAAGATATCTAAAGCTCCTCTCTCCAAAAAAATTAAATAACACATTTCTAAATAGTCTATAGGTCAAAAAATAAGCAAAAGCAATACATGTATTTGAACAGAGTAAAAATGAAAACACAGCATATGAAAATTTGTGGGAAGCAGCTAAAATAGTATTTAGAGGAAATTTATAGCAATATACACTACATTTGAGAAAAATAAAGTCATCAAGTCAATAATATTATGTTTCTCACTAAAAAACTAGAAAAACAAAACAAACAAATTAAACACGAAGGAATCAGGAAAATAAATCACAACTGTAAGTGAAGAAATCAATAGAAACAGAAAATCAATAGGGAAAACCACTGAAAACAAATGCTGATTATTTTATATCAAGAAAGTTGATAAATCTTTAACCCAACTACGAAGAAAAAACATATGATAAAATACACAACTTACCAATATTAGTAATGAGATACTTCTATGTCACATTCTGCAGATAAAGACTTGTGAAGAAATATTGTTATAAAATTATTTTAAGAAATTCAGCCTACATGAATTGGAAGAATTTCTTGAAAGACACAAACTACCAAAACAGAATGATAAAATATAGAAAAAAATTAATCATTGTAAATCTATTTTTTAAATTGTATTTGTACTTAGAAACCTCCCTTCATCAAGAATAGTAACAAAAACAAAAAGGTGCCAAGATGAATTCATTCTTGATTCTAATATTTAAGGAAGAAGTAAAAATAACTTTATACAACTACTTCCAGAGCATTAAAGTGGGATTGTACTTTCTAGCTCGTTATATGATGTTGACACTATCCTTATTCCAAAAACAGATACAGAAATTAAAAGAAAACTATATGTCAGTATTCTCCATGAACATAGATAAAAATATTCTTTAAAATAGTAATAATTAAGCAATATATGAAAATGATAATACATCCCTAGTAAGGTTTCTTGCAGAAATATAAATGTGCTTAAACATTCAAAAATTAATATAATCATATTCATAGACTAAAAAAGATAAACCACATTATCATCTCAATAGATACAAAAAGCATTTGAGAAAATACAGCGTTGATTCTTATAAAAACTCTCAGCACATTAGGAAGAGAAGGGAACTACCTTAACCTTATGAAAGCATCCACAAAAAATTTCCACTGTGAACATTACACTAAAATGTTGAAAGACTGCTTTCAGTCTGACACCAGCAACCAGGCAAGTATGTCTACCTTCACTACTTCTATGCAGCATTGTATGGGAGATCCTAGCCACTCCAGTAAGACAAGAAATAAAAGACATATAGATTGGAAAGAAAATATAAAATTAACTTTATTTGCAGATAATATGATTCACTAGGTAGTCACTCTGAAGGAATTTATTGGAAAAGCCACAAATAACCTTATGAGTAAGTTTTGCAAATATGAGAAAAATTTAAAAATCAATTTAATTTCTATATAGCAACAAAAGTTGAAAATTGAAATAATACCATATGGCATTTCATCGTAGGAAATATTCAGGCATGGACTTGAAAAAATGTATAAGAGATAAATAGAGCGGAGTGAGAACTTATAAAATATGCTGAGAAATTAAAAAAGGCACAAATAAATATTATAATAAATACTGTTTTGGGGAGGTTAGGAAACTCAGAATTGCTAAGAGGTCAATATTCACAAATATTCTCCATAGACTTAATGAAATTCCAGTCAAAACCCTCGGTCTTTTTCTACATATTTTCTATATATGGGCAAGCTAGTTCTAAAGTTTCTATGCAAACGTAAAGGATTTGGAATAAACAAAATAAATGTGAAAAACAAGAACAAAGCTTGATTATATATACTACTTAATTTCATGCCCTACCTATTAAAGTCTTTAGTAATCAAGACAATTGTATCAGTCTGTTTTCAAACTGCTGATAAAGACATACCTGAAACTGGGTAATTTGTAAGAAAAAGAGGGCAATGGACTCACAGTTCCACGTGGCTGGGGAGGCCTCAAAATCATGGCGGAAGGTGAAAGGCATGTCTCACATCGCAGCAGTCAAGAGAGAGAATGAGAACCTAGAAAAAAGGGTTTTCCCTTGTAAAACCATCAGATCTCAGGAGACTTATTCACCACCATGAGAACAATATAGGGGAAACCACCTCCATGAATTAATTATCTCCAACCTGGTCCTTCCCACAACACGTGGAGATTATGGGAGCTACAATTCAAGGTAAATTTTGGATGGAGACACAGTCAAACCGTATCAATGACGTAGTACAGAATGGGTATGCATAAATGGTCAGGCAAATAATTTCTGACAAGATGTCAAGGCAATTTTATGGAGAAAAGGATGATTACTTAAACAAATGTGGCTAGAACAACTGAATAAGCAAATGCAAAAAAAAAAAAGTTCAAGCATTACCTCACACTATATACAAAAGTAAACACAAATAGTTATAAACATATGTGTGCAGACTAAAATTATAGAGCTTCTAGAAGTAAATCATAGAAACCATAGGTTTTGCAAAAATGTCTTAAATATAATGAAAATCACGTACTAAAATAATCAATATACTGAGTCTCCCAGTATAAATTAAAAACTCTTCCACTTCAAAAGATGCTGCTAATTAATGAAAAAACAAGCCATAATACAAGGAGAAAATATATGCAAAACTTTATTTCATAAAGAACACTTCACCAATGAAGACATACAGATGTCAAATATCCATAGGAAATGATGCTCAAAATAATTGGCTATTAGACAAAGGCAAAAGAAAGCTAGAATAATATACCATTATATATCCACTGGAATAACTCAAGTGTTAAAACTTGGAAGGCAGTTTGTCAATTTCTTAAATAGTCACATATACACTTACTATATGACCTTGCCTTTTCACTCTTATATGTTTTCCCAAGAGAAATAAAAACATATCTATACACTGGTATACAAATATTCATAACAGCTTTATAATAACTAAAAACATAAAACAACTAATGTGTACATAAAAGTGTATGGGTAACAAGTAGTGGCATTCACACACAATGGAATACTACTCAGCAATGCCAAGAAATAAAATATGATAAACACACAACATGAATGAATCTGAAAATAAATATATTTTAACTTAAAGAAATTCAGACTGAAAAGAATACATACCATATAATGACATTTATATAAAGTTCTATGAAATGCAAACTAATTTGTTTCAGAAGTAGATCAATGATTTCATTGGTGAGGTGGACAGAGTGGGGCACCAACAGGATATGAAAGTTTTGGGATAGAGGAATCAAGATGACTGACTAGATACAGGTAGTATGTGCCTCTTCTACAAAGAGGAACCAGAAAAGTAAATAGATACTTACATTCTAAACATAAATTAGGAGATAACACTAGGCCTCATTAGAGAAGAGACAGAAAACTCTAGAAGGAAGTAAGGAGCGTGTTTAAGGCAGCTTGGCCAGCTGGAGACTAACTGAGGGCTGAGACAGACTCCTAGACACAGGGAAAGAGTAATACAGAAATCCCTAGGACTTCAAAATGGGCTTTTATAATTTTGGCTATGGGAGAAACCCTTGACCCACTAAGGTCTTGGGCCTAATATGTGGAGCTGCCTAAAGATTGCAGACAGGCGTTGCTCCAAAAAAGGAACCCACATGGAATCCCACAGGCATCTGAAACCACAGCAGCCTCAACTGAGAGCCCTTTTAAAAGACCCGATATCAAGGATCTACAGACAGGGATGCTGCCGCTGTACTGTTCCAAGGAGAGAGATGGGAGACCAGGCACTCCCACACACTTCCAGGAAGTTCCCTACCACTCTGCTACAGACAGCTTTTGAGACAGAGAAATGAATGGACCTCTCTCCCCACAGCTTCTTGCCCATATTGCTTGCGTGGGAAGGACACTGCCCTCTCTGGTACCAGGCCCAAGATCCTATCTTGACAGTTTAATGTTAGTTTGTGCTTCACTTTCAGACTGAGTTCAGGCTGACATTGGCACAGATGCTGCCTGGCCAAGGGGAGTCAGGGAAACGAGGCCCTCTTATGCACATCTAGGATAATATTCATTGCACTACATCAGGCTTCTGTTAAATGCAAAGGCAGGCAGGCCACACTCCCCACAGCTTCTTGCCCATGCTGCTAGCCTGGAAGGTGCTCCGCCCTCTTTGGTCACAAGCCCACAGCTGGAACAATTATGAGAGTTCAATGTTGGGCTATGCCTCATCCTTGGGCAGAGTCCAAGTTGACATGACTGCAGCCCCCACATAGCTGATGAGGGACAAAAAATCCAGGGTCACTTATGTATACCCAGAACAATACCCACCATCCCGCTCCAGGTTGCTGTGAGATTGAGACTCAAGTAGACTACACTCCTCATAGCTTGTTGCTCATGCTGCTCATCTGAGAGGTGTCCCACCCTGTCTAGTCATAAGCCTACAGCTGATACCATTTTGAGAGTTTAACATTGGGTTTTGCCCCACCCAGTTGAAGGTGACATGGCTGCAGCCAACACCCAGCTGTAGGAGGGGCAGAGGGGACCAAGCTCTTTTAAGCACATTTAGGAAAATACCCACTACCCTGTTGTGGTACTGAGGACTAGTCTGCCCAACCAGGAGAAACTACCAGGAACATCAGCAAGAATTGTTTGGGTCTCAGTGGTTTGCTCCATCATGGATACTGTCATCGCCTACAACACACCAGATGCTCAGGGGCCTGAAAACCCACCCACAAACTGTACTCTTGGCTCTCACAATTAGCTTCTAAACAAGCCACCTGGAACTTCAAGACGCAGCCCCTAAGAACCTAGTAACATTGGAATCAGAGTAAGCTGCTCTGGGGCCTAAAAACTGTCACATTTACTCTATAGCTACCAACACAAGGGCCCGAAGACTGGCTCAGTTGGTGTCAAAGTCCCTAGCAATATTTCATCACAACCTCAACTAATAACTGTACCCTAAGTCACAGAGGAAATCACAGATACTACTGATTCTATATGCTGCTGAAGGAGTGATACAATTGCGCTACCACAGGCACCCTAAAACAAAACCAAGATATCCTTCACAACCAATAACATATATACATCTTCAGGAAAAAATTCTCCCTTACCAAAGCAATTTCAAAAATTTGGAACAAGTGACTATGATACCACATATGTAGATATCAAAGGAAGGACACAGGAAACATGAAAAAGCTAGGAAATATGACACCATCAAGGGACCACAACAATCATCCAGCAAAAGATCTCAATCAAAAGCATTCTTTAAAACTCCAAATAAAAAAAAATAAAAATAACAAAGCAGAAGTTCTGCAAATAAAAAGTTCATTGACATAAATACAAAATACAAAAGTTTCAATAATAGACTAGACCACGCAGAAGAGGGAATCTCAGGTCTTTTGAAATAGTCAAACAAAAATATATATTAAAACAAAAAACAAACAAACAACAACAACAAAAAACACAGCCTTTGAGAGACGTATGAGACTACTTGAAACAAGAGACCTTACAAATTATTGGTATTCCTGGGGGTGAACAGGGATCAAAAACTTTTAAAAACTTATTTAAGAAAATAATCAATGAAAATGTCCTAAGACTAGCAAAAGAGTCAGACATTCAGATATAGGAGGCCCAGATACCATCACTGAAATACATTGTAAAAATGACTTCACCATAGCATATTACATTAGAAATGTCAAAAGTCAAAGTAAATGAAATAATTTTAAAGTTAGCAAGTGTCTAGCCATCTATAAAGGAAACTCCATCAGACTAACAGCAGACTTTTAAATAGAAATCCTTATAGGTCAGAAGAGAATAGGATGGCATTTTCAAAGTGCTGAAGAAAAACAAAATCTGTCAGCCAAGAATTTTAGAATAAATAAACTCTTTTCCAGGTAAACAAACACTTGAAGAATTTGTCTTCACTAGACCAGCCTAACAGGAAACGCTCAAAGGTGAAAATGAAACATGGAAACAAAAGTTTGATATTTACCATCACACAAATATACAAAAAGATAAAACTCACAGTTCTTATAAGACAATCACACAAACAGAAAGGACTCAAATGGCAAAACGACAGAATTTCATCAAGCCACAAAGATAAAAGCACAGTGAAAAAGAAACAAAGAATTTATAAAAAAACAACTTGCAGCTGGGCACGGTGTCTCATGCCTGCAATCTCAGCACTTTGGGAGGCCTAGGCAGGCAGGACACGAGGTCAGGAGATCGAGACCATCCTGGCTAACACTGTGAAGCCCCATCTCTACTAAAAACACACAAAAAAATTAGCTGGGCTTGGTGGCAGGTGCCTGTAGTCCCAGCTACTCAGCAGGCTGAGGCAGGAGAACGGCGTGAACCCATGAGGCAGAGCTTGCAGTGAGCCGAGATAGTGTCACTGTACTCCAGCCTGGGTGACAGAGCAAGACTCCATCAAAAAAAAAAAAAAAAAAAAGGAAAAAAAAAACAGAAACTTGCAAACAATGAACAATAACATAGGAACAAAGCCTTACATATTAATATTAACCTTGAATGTAAATGAATTAAATATTCCACTTAAAACATACAGATTAATAGAATAAATTAAAAAGAAATAAAATATGATCAAATTATATACTTTCTACAAGAACCTCACCTTACCCATAAAAACACATGTAAACTGAAAATGAAAGGTTGGATAAAGGTATTCCGTGCAAACAGATAGCAAAAATGAGTAGGATATACTTATATAAGATTAAATAAACTTTAAATCAAAAACAGTAATAAAAGAGACTGCCATTATATAATGACAAAGAAATGAATTCAATAAGATAATGTAATAATCCTAAATATGTATGCACCCAATATCAAGGCACCCAGATTGACAAAATAAATATTACTATACCTAAAAAAAACAGGGAGATAGCAATAACATAAAAATGGAGGATGCCAACATTATACTTAGAGCACTAGAAAGATCATTACAGCAGAAAATTAACAAAGTAAGATTGGACTTAAATTGAACTTTAGACCAAGTGAACAGACATTTACAGAACATTCTACTCAACAATTAGAGAATATACAGTCTTAAACATAGACCATTCTTCAAGATAGGCAACATATTATACAATAAAATTCTTAACAAATTTTTAAAAATCTAAATCATATCAAGTATCATCTTAGATCACAGTGGAATAAAGGTAGATATCAATACCAAGAGGAATTTCAGAAACTATACAAATACATGAAAATGAGACAGTATGCTCTGGAAGGATTACTGGGTCAATGAAGAAATTAGGATAACATTTAAAACATTTTTTAAACCAATTAAAATGAAAATACAACAATTCAAACCTTTAAGAGGCAACAAAAGTAGTGCAAAGATGGAGGTCTATAGCATAAAATCCCTACATCAAAAAAGTAGTAATAGCTCAAATTAACAATCTAATGTCACATCTCCAAAAACTAGGAACACAAGAACAAATTAAACCCTGGGAAGCAGAAGAAAAAAAACAAATCAGAGAAAAATAAATGAGATCAGTATTAGAAAAACAATACAAAGGATTAATGAAATAAAAAGTTGGTACTTCAAAAAGATAAATGAAGTTGATAAACCACCAGTGAGACTACCAAAGGAAAGAATAGAGAAGATCCAAACAAACAGAAATGGAAAAGGAAACAATAAAACTGATACTACAGACAGAAAAAAAAATCATAGACTATTCTGAGCCACTATACTTTCACAAGCAATTACACTTTCACAAACTAGAAAAGCTAGAGGAAATGGATAAATTCCTGGATACATACAATCTCCCAGAGATTTAACCAGGAAGAAATATAAATATTGAACAGATCAATAAGGAGTAGCAAGATTGAAGCAGTAATGAAAAAAATCCAAATTAAAAAAAATGCCTGGGACCAGATGAATTCTCACCTAAACTGTAGCAAACATACAAAGAAGAGTTAATTTCAGTCCTTCTGAAAATATTTCAAAAAATTGAGGAGGAACAAATTCCCCTTAACTCATTCTACAAGACCAATATCACCCCGATACCAAAACTAGACAAAGACACCATAACAACAAATAAAACTGCACACCAATATTCATAATAAACATAGATGCAATAAATCATTAACACAATGTCAGCAAATTGACTGCAACAGGACATCAAAATGATAATACACCATCATCAGATAGGATTTATCCCAGGAATGCCAGTATGGTTCAACATATGCAAATCAGTAAATATGATATATGACATAAATAGAATTAAGGACAAAAATCATCTTCTCAATAGATGCAGAAAAAGCATTCAATAAAACTCAGCATCTCTTAACAATAAAAAATCTTCAACAAACTAGGCATAGAAGAAACATACTTCAATAAAATAAAGGCAATATATGACAAACCCACAGCCAGCAGCATGTTTAATGGGGGAAAGCTGAAAGCATTTTCTGTAAGAACCAGAACAAGACAAGTATGCCCATTTTCACTACTTCTATTCAACATAGCACTTGAAGCCCTTGCCAGAGCAATCAGGCAACAGAAAGAGATAAAAAACATTCAAATTGGAAAAGAGGAAGTCAAAATAAACCTGTTCGCTAGGGATATAATCTTTCATCTAGAAAACCTTAAAGAATCCAATAAAAAACTCTTAGAATTAATAAATAAATTCACTAAAAATTCAAGATATAAAATTAATGTACAGAAATCAGTGTTTCTATACACCAAGAGTGATCTAGCCTGGGACTCTATCGAAAAAGCAATTCTATTTACAATAGCTATAAAAAAATTAATATGCCTAGGAATATATTTAACTGAAGAGGTAAAAACCTCCATAAGGAAAACTACAAAACACTGATGAAAGAAATTATAGATGACACAAGCGAATGGAAAAACATTCCATGTTCATGAATTGGATACTGCCCAAAGAAATCTACAGATACAATGCAATTTCTATCAAATTACCAAGATCACTTTTCACAGAATTTGAAAAAAAAAAATATAAAATTCATGTGGAATCAGAAAAGAGCCCAGATAGCCCAAGAAATCCTAAGCAAAACAAAAAGAACAAAACTGGAGGATCACATTATATTGCAAGGCTATAGTAATCAAAACAGCATGGAACTTGTATAAGTGTAGACAGTAGTATCAGTGAAATAGAATAGAGAGCCGTATGCAAAAGAATGAAATTGGACCCATACCTCTCATCACATACAAAAAGTAACTTATGTTGGATTAAAGACCTAAACATAGACTTGAAACTAAAAACATCATAGAAGAAAACCTAGAAAAAAACTCTTCAGGACATTGGCCTAGGAAAATTATTTATGACCAAATTCTAAACCAAACACAACAAAACCAAAAATAGACAAATAGAGATTATTGAAATGAAAAAGCTTGTGCACAGCAAAAGAAGCATTCAATAGAGTAAACTGATAACTTACAAAATGGAAAAAATATTTGCAAATTATGCCTCCAACAAAAGACTAATATCCAGAATCTACAAGGAACTCAACAAGGGAAGAAAGCAGGTAACCCCATTAAAAAGTGGGCTAAGGACATGATCAGGTATTTTTAAAAGACATAAAAGCAGCCAACTAACATTAAAAAAATCACTAATCATCAGAGAAATGCAAATTAAAACCACAACGAAATATCATCTTAGATATTTAAAATGGCTATTAATAAAAAGTTAAAAAATAACAGGTGTTGGCAAGGATGCAGAGAAAAGAGAATGCTTACACACTGTTGATGGGAATGTAAATTAGTAAAACCTTTCTGGAAAACAGTATGGATATTTCTCAAAGAAGTAAAGATAGAACTACCAGTTCATCCAGCAGTCTCACTACTGGGTATATACCCAAAGGGAATAAAAACAAATGACAACAACAAAAATTACATCACAAAGACATTGCACTTGTAATTTTATCACAGCATTATTCACGATAGCAAAGATATGGAATCAACCTAAATGGTCATCAGTAGATGATTGGATAAAAATATGCATTACACACACACACACACACACACACACACACCACAGACTACTACTAAGCCATGAAAAGAATGAAATCATGTCTTTTGCAGCAACATAGGTGGAACTGGAGGCCATCATCTTAAGTGAAATAACTCATAAACGGGAAGTCAAATACTGCATGTTTTACTTATAAGTGGTAACTCAGTAATGAGTACACATAAACATACAGAGTAGAATAATAGACATTGAACACTCCAAAAGATGAGAGGGTGGGAGGTAGGTGAGGTTTGAAAAATTATGTTATGTACAATGTTCAACTATTAAAGGCTTCACCACAAATACAGTATACACATGTAAAAAATTTACACTTCTAACTCCTAAGTAGATTGCTAGTAAAAAAAAAAAAAAAAAAAAAAAAAAAAAACCATTTGGGGCTGTGGATATTTTCATGGTCTTTACTGTGGTTATGGTTGATTCCATTGTGTACATACACGAAAATTTATCAGATTGTGCACTTTGAGTATGCACAGCTTATTGTATGTTAATTATACCTCTGTAAGAAATTAAAGTAAAATGTTAAAAGAAAGCATATACAAGCAACAGTTCGACCTTTAGATACATTCTGATGACACATATTAGAATAACTACCTTACCATAATAGAAGAAGAAAATGGTGATTTAATCTATAGAGAATTTTAAATGAAATTTGAACTCAAAATTGTCAGGTATATCTGAGATTAGAGAGTAGAAAAATGAATTTCTACTTTGAAAGAGTTCAAAGAGACAAGTAAGATTATTAACAAAAGCAGACATACATTGAGTTTCAACACCATAAAATTTCAAAATAACATGAATTACAAAAAATAAAATTTTTAAATTTCCAGAAAATAAAACATGTTATCTAAAAAGTATTTAAAAGATGAGTATTAATTTTATCAATAGAAGCACTAATTTCCTAAAGACAATAGAGAAATACCTCAAAATCTGAGAGAGAAATGTATTAATCAATTTTAGGTTAAAATAAAGGCAGCGTGAGATAATCATGTCAGTTTACTTTACATGGACTTTTCATAAGAAACTGGAAAACTGAGCAAGCAAGACAGGGAAAATGAGTATCCAAACCAAAAAATCAACACTGGATAAAGGTAAATAATGACAGAAAGAAAACATTTTAGGAAGAAAGGCATGTAGTATTCCTCAGCACCAAGGAAGAATAGAGGATTCCAGGAATAATGCTTCCTAGAAAAACTAGTTGATTAACCAGAGTATGTATTTAAATGTGTTGAGAAATTAATACTTCAGTAGAGATTGGAGATAGATTATAAATTACCTATTGTAACAAATACTCAGTATTAAGAAAACACTATAGACTATAATCTCCTAGAAAACACAAAACTGTACAGAAATCAGGAGTAATCAAAGTACACTGTATATATAGTTCAACTGTGAATAGTGTTCACACAATCATAATAAAAACACTAATTATTAATTTAAATAAAAAGTATGGCACAACTCTCTTGTGTATGAAGTAGAGTAAATAGAAAACTCTTCTGCATTAGAAAGTCAATAGATACATCTAACACTAGCAAATCAAGAAATAATAGAATAATCATGTTTTTTTGACATATAGCATAATACGATACAGAAAGAAAACTTTTCTTAATGATGTCATCTCAGGAGTGAAGATTTGGAATTCTCTAAGTGTGAGGGAATTTTTTTCTTAATTTTTCCCTATTATAAGCCATGTAGAATTATTTCACTTTGAAAACAATGACTATACAGATGTGATAAAGCATAACAATTAAAATTAATAAAACAGGAAAAGTCTGGCTTTGAATAATATACTGACAGCAATGAATAGTATTATGGTTTAGTCATAATGATACCGAGTTTATAGTTTTGAAATAACAATTTTGAGGTTTATTCTGGTATGACAAAATTACTAAATTTGTAAAATGAGAATATAATACTTGACTCATTAGACCAGCCTCATAAGGTGACTGATTTCTTCAAAGACTCATTCTCTCTCTCCTTAATCTGTAACTTCTTTACAAGGAGTATCTAAACTGAATTCTCAGAACACAAAAAGAGACTATAAATCTCTTTGCTACTATACAACTGTCAGATTTCACTAAATCCAATTATCATTGGGTACCACCCTAAGTTAATTTGCCACTGATTTGTATCACTGCATGTTTAGATCTGTTTTACTTGCTCTTATGACAGATGTATTTCCGCCATTTTAGCAGTGGAATTAAACGGTGAAAGCCTATTGATTATTGAGGAATGATAACTCAGCTACACAGCAGCACCATCTTTTGGCCTTTGAAGGAAAATGATCCAAACTTATGAATCATGAGGTCTGTATTTCTGGCATGCGATGTATGCTTACTTTGTGAATCACCTTTGCAATGCAATTAAAGTAAGGAAATGGCTTCAAAAGGACTGGAATCAACATTTCACATGAGATCAGATATCCACAAAAACAAATCAACTGAAAAAGATCTATATTTTATTCATTCAACAAAAATTAAAGTATTATTTTAGAAAGTGTTTACCTTTAGAATTGGAATTCCTTTCTTTTTAACTTATGAATTGCTTGTACATTTATTTTGTATGGTTATTTAGTATTATCATTTAAGTTTATTCAACATTTCTGACTTATGAAAGGACTTTCTGTAATTTATTTATTTTTTGGAAAGCTGACTCCAAAGTATGCTTTTTTTCCATTTATCTTTAGAGTAGTAGTAATATATTTATTACTAAACATAATCAAATAGTTATGATTCTAATATATTTATCAAATGTTTTTACCTTTTCAGATACTATTATCAAGTGCTGTCTGCAGACAATTTGCAAGAAGTGCAAATTTTATGAAAACTAGATTTTGTTAGGTTGGTGTGATGAATAAGACAAATACTTTGTTTTAGAATATCATTTACTTTATTGCTACAGATGTATTTGCAGAAATTATATATAAAAAATAAACAGAATGCAGCATCAGAACATGTGGTTTAACTCTGACCCTAACAATGAGTAGCTCTTTATACTACAGCAGTAATTCAATCTTTATTTCATACATATGGAAATATTTGCTAAAATTAATCTAAAAGATTGCCTTATCTAACTCATATAGATGCTTCCAGGTATATATATATTTACTTTAATAGAGTTTATTTAGGGCAGTCTTAGGTTCACAGCAAAAATGAGCTGAAGACACAAAAATTTCTCATGTGCTTCTTATCCCACACATGAATAGCCTCTCCCATTGTCAACATTCCCTATCAGCACCGAACATTTGTTACAACTGATAAACCTACATTGACACATATGCATTCACCCCAAGCCTGTAATTTACATTTATCAGGGTTCACTCTTGGTGTTTTACATTCTATAGGCTTGGACAAATGTATGATATATATTCACCATTAGGGTATCATACAGAATATTTTCATTGTCTTAAAAACTCTGTGCCTGAGTTTTTATAAATTGTTAATTTTTGAATTGTGTTTTCTTTAGTTTTTACCAAATAAAACACTATAGTATTTTCATATTTTATCATTACCTTTTTCCCACTATGATATCTTATTTTTTCATAATTCTGTGGTACCAACATATAGAAAGCTTTTTAAAAATGTGTATTTCCACAGTCCTAAAAAAAATTTTTCTCCAAAAAAGCTTTCTCATTAAAGTCAATCTTAGAGTATAAACAAAATATTTATTTATCATTCCTCTACACCACGCTGAAGCCCAGAGTGTCATTTAGGTCACTGAGTTGAATAATATTCAGAAATATAAATATGAAATAATTAAGTGTATTTTTCAACATAGTTAGATTTAAATCTAGATCTGTCCTGCCTAGTATCATAGCCACTAATACTTGAGAGGCTGAGGCAGAAAAATCGCTTGAACCCTGGAGGCGGAGGTTGCAGTGAGCCGAGATTGCACCATTGCACTCCAGCCTGGGTGACAAGAGCGAAACTCTGTCTCAAAATAAATAAATAAATAAATGAAATTTAAAATTCAGTGATTCAGTCAATCTAGCCACATTTCAAGAGTGCAGTAGCTACAAGTGGCTAATAGCTTGGGTACTGCAGATATGACCATTTCTGAAGTACTAGCCTTCCGTGAAGACAATCATGGAAGAACTATTGGACAGTACAGATTATCATACACAAATTGAAATATTATTATCTAAAAAGTTAATAGAAATCAAATGATATACCAAAATGTCAACAGCAAGTTAAAGTAAATAAGACCTATAAGGCTTTAAAAAGTTATTTTTTTAAATATTGGTAAGCACACATTAAACGTTTTGAAATTAGTGCTTTTAGCAATTGAAGAATTGAAGGCACAAATTCTATGTTACTTTTCCCGATCACAGCTTCTGCTTTAAAAAAAAAAGAAAATCGATATGTCTGATAAAAATACACATTACATTTTGTTAATGACAAATGCTTGGTTTAAAACTTCGTGGTTCAAGTTAGTTAAAAGAATTTCAAGTCAAATATACAGTCTCCCAGATAAATTTTCTTTTTTTTTTTTTTTGGATCTCAAAAAGAAAATATATATCTTTATATTTATTTTTACAAAACATCTCACTTACACCTTAGTCATAGGGTGTGAAAAACAAAGAAATAGTGAAACACTAGTAATTATATTGACTAGAGAGAAGGAAATCTAAGAATCTTGTTGATTCAATGTGTTTTCTTTTTTAATTTGATAATAATTCTTTTCAATGCGCTACATACTATTGCATGCACTTTACATGCATGAATTATTTTAATCCTCACATCTGATTTAGGAAATAATTATTTTCATTTGTAAATGAAGAAATTGTGGCAACAAGAGTTTAAATGAACACCCCAAGTTCAGACACCTTGTTTATAGATGAGCCAATTTTTGAATATATGCAGTTTGAAGTTTGAATCTCGATCCCACAGTCTATGATTAAACTCTTAAGAAAACCAATTCAACTTGTAGAATTTAAAAGGTCACATATGCATGACAGGTATTAAACCATAAACTTATTTTAGCCACTTATGTGATGAAGAGGGAGTGCCAGCTCAGAAATAATCAGTATGGTTGGGAAAGTTTGATGCCTATAACAGGCTAAAAATTTATCCCCAAGATATCCACATCCCAATTCCTAGCATCTCTGAATGTTACTTTTTATGGTAAAAGAGACTTTGTAAATGTGATAAAGTTACAAATGATGAAATGGAGAAATTATTCTACATTACTTAGGTAGGCCCCAAATGCCATCACAAATGTCTTTAGATAAAGGGAGGCAGAGAGAGAATTCACACAAAGGAAGAAAGTGCAATGTGACCATAGATACAGAGATTGAAGTAATACAGCCAAAAGCCAATGAATGATGGCAGCCACCAGAAGCCACCAGATAAGAGGAGGCAGGAAATGGATTCCCCCAAGAACCTCTGGAGAGAGTGTGGCCCTGCTGAGACCTTGAGTGTAAGCTAGTGAAATTCATTTTGTACTTCTGACTCTCCTGCCTTGCTTGAGATCTTTATTTCCTCCCACATCTTCCAGTTACTGTCTAGTGTCCTTCCATTTTACCCTGTAAGATTCCCTTTAGCCTTTCTTTCAGGGTAAACCTCCGTCCGCTTTTGTTTATTGGGAACATATTATTTCTCCTTCACTTTTGAAAAACAGTTTTGCTGGATATTGGATTTTTGATTGCAATATTTTTTGTTGTTTGTTTTTTCTTTAGCACTTGGAATATATTGGCCTACTGCCTGTTAGCCTTCAAAATTCTGATAAGAAATCTGATTATAAGTGTATTTATAATCTTTTGTGTACGATGAGTTGTTTCTTTCTTGCTGCTTTCAATGTTCTATTTGTGTCTTTAACTTTTGAAAGTTTGATTAGGTTTCTCTGCCATCTTGAATGTGTCTTTGTGGGTCTCTTTGAGTTTATCTTGGAATATGTTGAGCTTCTTAGATGTTTAAATTCACATGTTTTATTAAATTTGGGAAGTTTTCAGCCATTATTTCTTCAAATATTTTCTCTGTCCTTTTATTTAAAATATTTTTTGAAACTCCTACAGTGTACGTGTTGGTCTTAATTTTTTCTCCAGTTACACAGATACCTTCAGTTTTGTTTATGTTTTCTGTTTTTTTTCTTTCTGTTCCTGAGACCTGATAATATCCATTGTCCTGTGAAGTTCCCTGACTCTTTTTTTATCCTGCATAAATCTGCCTCTAAGTCTCTCTAATAATCTTTTTTATTTCAATTGTTGTACTTTTCAGGTAATGTATCTCTTTTGGTTTCTTTTTAGGAGGTTTTCTATCTCATTATTAATATATTTATTTTCTTCCAACATTGTTTTATTAACATTGTCCGCATCTTTCTTTAGTTCTTTGAGCTAGACATCTTTAAGACGTTGTTTTAAATATTTGTCTAGTAGATCTGTCATCAGGTCTTTTTCAGGGATAATTTCTGATTATTTTGCACTTGAAAGGACAATACTTTTCTGTATGCTTTATATTTTTTTTGGCTAAAAGATAGACATTTAAATCTAGGGCCAGGCACAATGGCTCATGCCTCTAATTCCAGCAATTTGGGAGGCCAAGGTGGGCAGATCACTTGAGGCCAGAAGTTCAAGACCAGCCTGGCCAACATGGTGAAACCTCATCTCTACTAAAAATACAAAAATTAGCCAGTCATGTGGTGAGTGCCTGTAATCCCAGCTACTCAGCAGGCTAAGGCAGGAGAATCACTTGAACCCGGGAGGCAGAGGTTGCGGTGAGCCAAGATCATGCCACTGTACTCCAGCCTAGGGAAGAGCGCAAGAATGTCTCAAAAAAATAACAAAATAAAATAAAATAAAAGCATGCTAACTTTGAAAATCAAATTCACATCCTTCCATAGAATTTGTTGCTTTCTGTTATTGTTTTTTCTTTTGTTTGTTTTTTTTTTATTGTTTTAGAATGTCTCTGTGCCAAGGATTAGCATGAAATATAAATTAAGGCCTTCTTAGGTGTTTTCTGAGCTTTTACCTTTCCCTGGGAATGTTGACTCACTTTCTAATTTTCCCCATATATGCAGTTTTTTTTTTTTTGAATGTCATAAATTTTGATATGTGGCTACCAAAATAAATAAATAAAAATAAAGTAGGGAAGAAATCTGTCTCTTCAAATCCCCTGGAAGTCACTTCAGCTGCAGCAGGAGGGGCTACAACAATTGGGGAAATGCAACAACAATGGCTGTGACACTACAGTTCCTCCATCAAAGGGAGAATTTCTCTCTTCACCTCTTAAAATTCAGTTGGTCCTGTAATGTACTCTGGCCAATAGATTGTGAAAGAAATGATAACTTGCCAGTTCTGAACCCATGTCTCAATAGCCCTTGTGTGTATTCTACTACTTTTCTTGAGGTCTTTTTCTCCATAACGGACCATCCTGCTAGACAATAAAAGAGTGTGGAGCCTAGGTGAATAAGCTCAGTTACCCCAGTGGAGTCCTCCAACGGTAGAAAGAGCCCAGCTAAGATTAGCAAAGCTGGTTCTCAGTTGATAGTAGATGCATGAAGGATCCCAGCCTAGACTAAATTGCTGACCTGTAGAATATTGAGATAAATAAAGTCATTGATTTAAACCACTAAGCTTTGAGGTCATTCTTTATGCAGCATTAGCTATGTAATTTTTTTTCTCCTACTTAAACTCCTTTAATAGCTTTCCATTATTCTTAACAGAAAGTCTATTTCCTTAAAATAGCCTAACTGACAGTAGAGACTGAACAAATACATTTGGGATAAATGATTAAATAATCACTTTAATAACAGTTGCTTTTGTTATTTTAAAAATATAGTGTAAGAAATTCTGAAAAATGAAACTGGGAATAAAAAGAGGAGCTATTTCTCTGAAGTAAATAGATAATTCTACAGCAACATAGAATATAAGGTTGTCAACCAAACAAAAACAAGTTTTCTCCTTTCTATTCAGTGTCTGGAGATAACATAGCTTACCCTAAGTAATGCCATGCTGCCTACAATTCTATCTTATTACTATCCAGAGTTTACCATTAGCAAAAAGAATAACCTCACTGTTGTAAATGGCAGCTGAACCTTCAGTCAGGCATACGTTCACGTACATATAAATTGTGCCTGTGACTTTTTGAATTTTCACAAAATTACTGGCTCCAATGTTTGGGCTAAAAACATTTTCAATTTCTATAAACCAGCCATTACAAAAAATTTTCCTGGAGGTAAATCAGCACTTTTATGGTGAAACCTGAACCAAAGAGTGTTGATGAATCTGCTTTGTGCACTTATAGGTAGGTAGTATTAAATATAAAATCCAGGTAAATAAGTAATTGAAATGTGTTACTATTTTTATATAAGAAACAAAGTGGCAGATATAAATTCTATTCTCTTTCTAACAAAGTAAAGTAGACATTTTGTAATTGGGCCAGTGTGTATAATCTAGTCAAAGAATCAATTTGGATATATATGGCAACAATATAATACAATGCCAATAAAGTTAAATTTTTTAAAAAACGGATTAAAACTAAACTCTGCGTTTTTTCTTTGTATGCTACCTTTAGTTAATAGCTTTATCATATTAGAAATTTAGTTACCTTTCTAAATTCCTTATTTCCATTAATTTACTGTTTACCATAACCAGATAATATTATGTCAAACTTAGAGATTGTATATCTCTAAAATCCACTCTTCCATCACTACCATCATCGTCATTTTTCTAAATTGAGCCACAACCTTCTACTTAAATGTTGAAATCTCACTTTAAGTTTCAACCACTAATATCAAGCTTCTGTCAGTTACATTTCCCATGTCTATTCCTACTCCTACTCTCAGAGATGCTTCTTTTATACCTCTTCCTCTCTCCAATAATAATTCCATTCTCCATCTTTACTTCTAATTTATGATGTTCACTTTTTCTTGAGAAAATAAACTAATTAGAAGAGAAATTCTCCAGGCTTCTTTCATTTCATCATCCCATCCACAAATTCTGGCCAATATTTTACTTTCTCTCCAAATTACTGGGTGTTATTAATTTGCTAGGGCTGCTGTAACAAAGTAGCACAAACTGGACATCTAAAAAAATTACAATTTTATTGTCTCTCAGTTCAGAAGGATAGAAGCCCAAGATCAACGTGTCTGGTTCCTTGGTCTGGTTCCTCCTATGAAGGAGAATTTTTTTTCCATGTCTATCTCCTAGCTCGTGATGTTTTTACTGGCAATCTTTGACATTCTTTGGTTTGCAGATGCATTGCCTCAATTTCCACCTTAGCATTTGTGGATTCCCCTGTGTACATGTCTTTGTGTATAAATTTACTTTTTTATGAGACACAGTCAAATTTGATTAAGGCCCACCCTAAGGACTTCATTTTATGTTGATCATTTGCAGAGAACCTATCTGAAAAATCAGGTTGCAGTTGCAGGTGTTTGGGATTAGGACTATGACATCTTCTTGGAAGATACAATTCAACCAATTGCACTGCACACATATTAACTCTATTTCTACCAAGGTAAACTCTCTGCATATGACTTGATCCTAATCCTTCTCAACCTACTCAAGGACCTCATTTTCTTCTGAAAATTTTTCTGCCTTGCGTGTTCGCCTTTTTCTTCTCTAATAGAATCCAATAATCATGTAAACATGGTATAACATTTGATACTTTTAAAAATCACTTTTAGACTTCAGATTTAGCCTTACATGTAAAGAGTTTGGACACTGTCACTTCTGCCCTGACAATGAGAAAAAACTGTGGACAAGATGAAAATCAATGACTAAAAATGTAATGGTAATTTTGATGAACTGCTAGATACTAAGGCTAGACAAGCCTAAGACTCAGAAATTCCTGGCGACTACATTCTTAGGGAGTCCCCAGACCTCCATGAGCTTTCCATCAAGGAAACCCACCAGGTTATCACGGTAAAGCGCTGAGAAACGTTTCTTCATAGGTGTTTCAGGTAAGGGGGAAGAGTAATCCTTGTGAAATGTGCCCAGTAGTTTCCCCACAACAAAGGCCTACTCTCCCAAGGGGTGTGGATACAGAAGGAGCAAAGTATTGAGGCCATTCTTATAAGCAACATACCATAGACAGTGATGTGATAAGACTCATATTTTAGATGAAATGCACTGACTGTAGTGAGAACAGCAGATTGAAGGAGAAGATCTTATCATATTATCTCAAATATCAGTATATTCAAGAGCCTCATATTTCTTTTTAAAAGTCCTTTAATATGTAGAGCTAGTTGGATATTCCAGTGGGGAGCTTGGGGGTTTGAACTAAAAATAAATTCATCCTTAAAAAAATACTAGCAAACTGACTTCGACTGCATAGTTTTTTTAATATTTATAAATATATACACGTTAGAAGGAGAACACTTTCTAAGTCATGCCAAAAGGTAAATATCACCCTAATATTAGAACCATATAAAGATGTTACTGGAGAGGAAAACTATAGACCTAGGTGATGAAAAACAGAAAAGTCTGAGAAATTGTTACAGCCAAGAGGAGTCTAGGCAGACATGCTAACTATGTGACAGATTGTTTGAATGGGACTCTGAAACTGAAATGGGCATCAGGTAAAATCCCAGGGACCTAACTAGCATATAGACTTTACTTAATAATGTATCAATATTGGTTCACTGATTGTAACAAATGTGCCATATTGACACAAAATATTAATAGGAGAAACTGGGTGTGCGGTACATGGGGATTCTCTGTACTAAAAATGTAACACTATTCTAAATTATAAAATGCAGTTTTAAAACCATTCTTCAGATCCACTTTCTCCTCTTGTATATACACCACTTTATAGACAAAACTCCACATGAGGGTAATCTATGCTCAGTTTCTAATTACTCCTGTTCTTTTCTCTGTTACATCTTCTCCAATCACTTTTTCATACATTCTTTGATAAAAATTATTCTTCAAGGGCACTGATGATCTTTTCATTGCAAAATTCAGTGGTCAAGTCTCAGTCATGCTTGGCCAGTCATCAGCATTTGATCCCAAATTTAACTCTGTGTTTTTTGAAAATTTATCTACTTGATTTTTGGGTCAGCACACTCACCTGATTTTTATCTGATTCCAATGATAGCTATTTCTTGATCTCCGTTGACGGTTTCTTCTTATCACTCTGACTTGTTAACCTTGGAGTCATTCAGTCCTCTATCTTCGGACATCATTCTTACCTATACTCACCCCTCAATGATCTTATCAGATCTCATGACACATTTCAAATTTAACAAGTTACAAAAAGGAATCCTGATTTCTCTTTTTCAAATAACTTCTCTTTCTCATACTGTTTTTTTTTTGTTTTGTTTTGTTTTTTTTTTTTGAGACAGAGTCTCGCTCAGACTGGAGTGCAGTGGCTTGATCTCGGCTCACTGCAAGCTCCGCCTCCCGGGTTCACGCCATTCTCCTGCCTCAGCCTCCCAAGTAGCTGGGACTACAGGCGCCCGCCACCACGCCCAGCTAATTTTTTTGCATTTTTTTAGTAGAGACAAGATTTCCCCACGTTAGCCATGATGGTTGCGATCTCCTGACCTCGTGATCCACCCGCATCAGTCTCCCAAAGGGCTGGGATTACAGGCGTGAGCCGCCGCGCCCGGCCATCTCATACTGTTTCTTTGGTGTACTTTGTTCAGTTAGTAGCAATCCTCCTCTCTAGTTGCTCAAACCAAAACTCTTTGTAGATAAATTATATCAATTAATCAATCTACCATCACCATCTTCACAATACCTTTCTTGTTGGAGCCACCACTATCTTTCATCTAGATTTTGCAACGGACTTCAAAAGTCTCCTTTTCATTCCTGTTCTCTCAGTCACTCATTCACTTCTTAGCATAGTAACTAGAGACCACAAATTCTCCTTTTCAAACTCTCAAATATCTCCCCATCCCTCTCAGAGTAAACACACAGTCCTATAAGATTATTTAATTTCTGTTTACTGCATTGTCCTCACAGCATGAGTTTGATAAGTACCTACTCAATTAATGAGAGGTGACCTGAATGATCTTTAGGATTCATTCAAATCCATCCTATAATTCCGATCTTACTATTGTCCATAAAAAAGTCTTCAGTATGTTTTCTTTGCTTTTCAGATTATATAATTTTATACTCCATATTATTATCTTCTACCCTCTCTGCAGCCTTATCTCTTCCAGTCACTCAATTCACATTTTATGTCCTCACTATACTTAATTATTTAAGTTCCTTCAACTCAACACCTTTCGCATCTCTAGATCTTTCCACTTGCTGCCATCCACATGTGAAATAATCCCTATAAGCGCTCAGTCCCCTTTACCTATGTTAAATCCAAACTGGATTTAAATAGTATGTGTGTGCCCCACAGCACTGTGATTTAGAGAATAATGCTATGATGAATTGCTTATAAGTCATGCACATATCGCAAAAATTAGCTCAGTAATGCAAGGATCACATTCATAGTTAGACTTAGTATAGTGCCTAAAATATAATACTATTAATACTTTTTAGGAAGCAAGTGTATAAACTAGGCATTTAAAGTTCATTATGTTTTCTATTTTGTTGTTTTCTATTTTGTTATTTTTATAATTGTCTTGAATTTTATAATATTTATAGATGTTTGCGTCACCAGTAAAATGCCTGGTTAATACATATTTGTTAAACAAATCAAATATTATACCTAGATAAAGCCTGTGTATAAACTTTCTTCAAAATAGATTCTTAAACACTGAATTTCTCCCTTTTCCCTATAATTTAAATGACATTGAATTCCACCTGAATGCTAAGTTATTTAATCAATAGACTGATGTAGGTACAATCACAGAAAACATTGCTTCACTCAGTTTTATCACTAACTTACTAACTTCCTTGTTGGTTTTGAGAAGTATTCCTTTTATAGCTTAGTTTCCTTGCCAAAGTTTTATTTCTATGATGCTGCTCTTGACACTGCTTTAAGTGAAAATGTTGCTATACTACTTCATAGATATTCAGAACCTTTCAGATTTTGGATGAAGAGGTCTGATTGAAAATCAGATACAGACACATATGGAGAATTCTAAGTTCCCAGTTGCCTTCAAGTTAAGTGGAGTGGGCACTTGATTATTATGAAGGCTAGAATTGGATTGAAGAATCATACTTAAAGGTGTAATGGAGCTCAGAAAGTGCCAGACCTTAGAAGTACCTGGCCCTTGATTGTAGCAGCTGGAAGTGATTTAACAAGCACTTGAGGTGACAGAAGCAAATGCTTTATATGATGAATGGGCTGTTTCAATATAGTAAATTATTTTGCAATTTAAAAATCAGAATTAAATAGTTTATGTTTCATGAAAAAAGAAGAAGAAGCCCCGATACAAGGACATACATTCAGCGACATAACAAATGAGAGCTCAGATCAATAACATATTAACATATTTTTTGGCCCGCTACAGATAGTGTTATGCATGAAGATCCTGTATGTTTTTGTATTAATTACAGAAATTTATATCTTGGTGATTATCTTATTGTAGCATTCGTTAAGGCTCTGTCCTTTAAGAAAATAATATTCCATGACTGCTGTCCTAAGCAAATTGATAGTCCTTAGAAACTTGCAGATATGTTAAACGATATAAGTTATTCTTATTTGATGTATTAATGTATTAAACTCTTCCATTATTTTCTCTAATCCCAAGACTAAATAGGGTTATTTATTTATTTGCATATTTCATTCATTCATCCTTATGTTTATTGAGCACAAGCCATTTTCAAGGCACTTATAACGAGGTCTTAGGAATATAATAGTGAGTTTGAAAGTCCTTGTTCTTAAATGATCATATATGTTATCAATAATTTAAATAAGAATCTTCCTATTATTAAAAAAAGCTGTCTTTCTGAATAAGACCTGCTGCCAAAATTGCCTTTTGTACTTGAAATTTTACTAAACTTCGAACATTATTATTTCTTAATCTGTTAGTCTTATGCCATCTGAATCCCTGTTCTAAAATAATGAAATAAAAACTATTAGAAGCCCCAATCAACTTCTCCGTGTGTGTGTGTATGAAGGTGTATGTAATAAATATGGTCATATAAATGGTAAGTTGAAAAAATATATGATTCAAGTAGATAAAAGTGGCTTTTATCTTTAGTGAGATAAAATATCCTGCCTTAACAGCATTTCTTGGCTCTTACTTTCAAAAACCACCAAAAACAAACAAATAAAACAACTAAGAAACACAAATTTTAGAAAATTAGTTATTAAGTATTTTAATTGAATATTAATATTAGTGAAGAAGTATAAAGGATACATTTGAAATAATAACATTAAATCGCCCAAATAAGCCATGCATCGTGGCTCACACCTGTAATCCCAGCACTTTGGGAGGCTGAGGCAGGCAGATCACTTGAGGTCAGGAGTTCCAGACCAGCATGGCCTACATGGTGAAACCCCATCTCTACCAAAAACGCAAAAAGTTAGCTGGGCATGGTGGCAGATGCCTGTAGTCCCAGCTACTCAGGAGGCTGAGGCAGGAGAATCGCTTGAATCAGTAGGCAGAGGTTGCAGTGAGCCGAGATGGCGCCACTGCACTCCAGCCTGGGCGACAGAGAAAGGCTCCGTCTCAAAAAATAAATCAATAAATAAAATAAAATGCCCAAATAATTAATTTTAACCTGAAGCTATAAAATTAAAAATTGAAGTAACTATCCAGGAAATTTGGGTGATCTAAAACAAAACAAAAGGAACAAAATTCAGCAACAATCACATTTTTAAAAAGACAACACACAATGGGAGGGCAGAGATTCTTGTTGAGCTATCCCATTGCACAATTTACCCATATTAAATTAATTGAATTTACATTTACATTTGTCCTAAAAAAGTTACAATTTTAGTCTTCATTTAGAGTTTCAATTCTGCTATGTACAAGTTTCTCTAACTTTCCATTTTTATTTTTTAATTTCTTAATTTGGGAGGAACAATTACAGAATAAATTGTGAATTTGCTTTTACTTGCATTAATTTATTTTGTAGCACATAACATACAACTTCAAACCTAGTATATATACAGTAGTTTTTCATTCAGTAAATGAAATCAACATCTGTTCTAAGAATAACATCTATTCATGGAACCTAGAGAAAACTATTAGAAGCCCCAAATGATCAACATCTAAATAAACTTAGCTATTGATTACCTATCCTCCACCACATATATTATATCACTCAGATAACTCTACATTAATCTCTATAGTTATTTGCATATATGCCTTTCTCATCAATTTTAAACTGGCTTAGGGAAATTTCAGATTTCATGTACCTCCTTATTCTCATCACTTCAACTGAATTGATTGCACAAAGTAAATAGTCAAAATATATCTGTTGAATTAAGTAATAGAATATAGAAATTTAAAAATATAATACAGATATGTATTTATTAAATACCATAATATTCTAGGAGTAAAACAATCTTTCAAAAAATAATTTTAGAATAAAGTTATGTTAATGAAGTTTTATCAGTAAACTTCATTTATAGCATCAAAAACTTAAGCACATTCAAATGTTTTTCCCACAACTTCTGTTTATACATGGTAATTGTATGATACTAAATTCAAACTATGAATTTCTGAGTACAAACTTTAAATGTTATAGTCAAGTGTAACATTATCTTTATACTGTTGTCCTCATTTTTAATGTTTTTCATAACTATAAAAATATTTATAAACTGATTTGTGATGCTTTATCACATATTACATTGTCTTATTCATTAGGTCTAATTTCTTGGCAATTTATTATAATTATAGATTCCACCAATCTATGTTTTCATACAATCCATTATACAAGAATACAAGATCCTAGGTGGCTACAGCCAATTCTCCGACTCTTTTCACAATCATTCTAGATGTTTTTAATTTCATACTTAAATTTTCAATAAATTTTGTGCATGTTGAAATGGTATTACATTTCAACACAATTTCAATTATGGTATAATTCTGAAAGCACCAACATTTTTATCAATATCCAGCCCCCTAGCCTAGGAACTACAAAGTCTATCTCCAATTTCCTAGACTTCTCATATAACTTTAAATAAAGTGCATGCCTTTGTTGAGTTTTCATTCAGCCTTGTTAATAAGTTATTTCTTATTTTGCTACTCAGCTTACATATTTATTGCAGAGTTTTCCCCATTATACCTTCTCTCTGGTTATTTTGATATACAGAAAAACGGCGAAACTTTTGTGTTTACATTTACTCCCATTAGTATATTTCACTTGATTCTCTTAAGTCTTCCAGACAATCATATATATGCTAATGAAAAGTTTGTCCCTTCTCCTCCCAGCAGCCATAGCTATTATTCTTCTTTTAAGTATTTGACTGGTTAGGAGAATGGTAAAGTAACTATTTTAATCACTAAAAAAGTCTCCTTTGAACCCTTTTTAAATGCCTTAAAGTAAAATTGTAAGACTGATGTACATATCCCAAATGTTATGATATTTATTGGATTATACCATAAACCAAATCATGAGGTATAGTTTTCTGCTTCCGTAGATTTAACTGTGTTATTTATTCGGGCCCTGTCAATTATTTTTACTAAATATATCAATCTTTGCAATAACTTCATGAACAGCATTAGACAATCAAAAATTTAAAAGACAAAGGAGATGATGCCAATGCCTGCCTGATATCTATCCTCTCTTTGTTTCTTGCTAGCAGAATCCCAATGAGGGAGGAAGGTAGCAATACATCTGATTATAGGCATTTTGTCTCCCCAGACACACTTACAGTTACGAAAATCTACTGCTTTATATCCTGCTAAAAAGTTAAGAGATTTGGCTGACACTTATTTTACCCTTTGTTCAAGAATACTGCTCTGTTTTTTTTTTTTCTAATAAAACATGTATATAGTGCCAAGAGCTTCAGTAGATATTTTGCAATACGCATGAGGAAGGTATCCATGTATTAAAGCCAGCAGACAAGAAAGGTAGAATGTCTAGTTTTTTCCAGCACTGGAAGCCTGGTATCAGCTGATTTCAGGAAATTCTTATTACCGTCAAATTGTATACTTGTTTAAGTCACTCTAGTCAGGTTCCTGTCACACAGACGTGGATGCAATTCTGAACATGTTTTTAAAACTTTTAAAAGAACTGACTGACTAAAATAAAATTAGGCAGCATTCAAAGTGTCTTTTATAAGTTTGTTCTTTTCATTTAGTTTGTAGTTGATAAGGTTTTTTGTTGTTGTGGTTTGTTTGTTTTAGCAGTTGATCCTCTACTATTGGGCTCGTTGACATCAAAGCACTATAGTCTCCACAATAGGTATTTTTGATGGTGACAAAAGCAAAAATGATTAAATATAACCTCGTAACTCTCTCACATGCAGGCCTTCTTCTATAGAAAAGAAGAGGGTTCTTTATTGTGTTTTTTTCCTGAGTGTACAAACATCTTCTTTTTTCTTTCGTTCTTTCAAAACTTTTTCAGAAGGAAGGAATTATCTGTCCCCTGATTAGAAGCCTAAATGAGCTTTTTCTCCTCTTTCTACATAAAGTTTATGACTCTACACACGGAAATATACTGCCATATTAACTCAGTGTATCCAAAACACCTTAATAACTCCAGCTATGGCCCAAGCTAGTTACTTCAGTGAAAACCACCCTGGGTGAGAGGATCTATGTCTTCTTACACAGGGCCTAGTAGGTGAAAGCAGATTATTGCTGATTTCCTCAAATCCCATCCCTTGGCCTTTTATCTCTCCAACTGAAATGGGAATCTCAGAAAAATTGACCTTTAAATGATTTGGCTTCTGTCTGAAACATGGGTTTAAAGATGTTAATAAAAGCAGAAATGTCTTATGACCTATAAGAAATAAACTCTTTTGAACTTAAGGTGACGCTTGTTTTATTGTTATTTTATTTAAACGAAGATGTTAGGTTAGAAAAGTATTTTAAAATCTATAGTCCAAAAGAGTAAAATTTAGACAAATATCATTTTGCAATATACTAAAATTAAAGAATATTTTTAAAGTATCAAGTAAAAGATTTAAAATCTAATCAGTGTAATAAAAAGTGGAGTTAATTAATTTATATTGCTGAACATCTGTTTCTAGTTATAATAAAGTTGGAGTGGTTGCAGAGTGTATTTTCGCTTTTAGATCATCTAAAATCAGATGCTTTGAAAAATTTCAAGTATAGTGAATTTGATGATGGATACAACAGTCTCAAGAAAAAATAGCATTTTGTATTATTTGTACTGTTCAAAAACAGATGTTCTTTAAAGATGAAATCAGTGTTTACTAAAACTGAAATAAAGTTGGCAGATACTAAGACATATGACAATAAGGTCCATGAAATATTTTACAATATCATATCTATTTGTATATAAGCTTTCAAATGTCGCAAGTTTTATTTTCTGTGTGCCATATATGAGCAGAGTTTGGCACTTGAGGACTGTGCAGAACCCTCCAAGATACTGTGGGTGTCTACGTTTTTCTTTTTTTCAATCTGTTAAACCACATCTAAAATACTTCTGTATTTAAATAAATTATTTAAATCACATTAAAAACATTCACTCACACAACAGAGGTTTATTGAATGCCAATGTGCTGACCACTACATGCTGCGGATGTAGCAGTGAACAAAATATTCCTTATACTAATATGTATTCTAATATGAAAATTGTACTCTAGTATAAATAAAAGAGCCAAACAACAGATTTGCTTTTTAGCAAATTATTCCCAGCTGTACATATCTCTTGCCTTTGCTAATCCTGTTTTCCTCCTTTGATTTATCTTTTTTGTTCTCCCTGTTCTGTCTACTAGAACCTACCCAACCTTAAAATCCTAGTTCCAATTTCCCTTCTTTGAAACATTATTTTATACCACATTTATTACTTTATCTCTACCTAAAATCAATTACTTCTTTTTCTGAGTTCTTATAATAGTAATTGCACTTATATACATTTACTATATTGATTTATTAGTAATCATATATTTGTGTGATTTTTTAACATAAGGACATATGTACCTAATTTGTTTTCATAGCTTCTACTCCTAATACAATGCTAGATATACATAGCCATTAAAAATGAATCATATAAAAATAAATGAACTAATGAACAATTTTAGGATGTGTTCATAGATGGCATATCAACAGGATAAAGTGATTCCAATGAGGAGTTAATATTTTATTAGCTTTCTATTGCTGCTGTAACAAATTGTCACAAAATCAGTGACTTAAAACAATGCAAATGATTTTTCAGCTCTGTAAGTTAGAAGTCTGACATGAATATCACTGAGCTAAAATCAAGGCATTACAGGGCTGCATTCTTTACTGGAAGCTCTAGGAAAGAATCTGTTCTCTTGCCTTTTCTGTCTTGTAGAAGCTGCCTGCATTCGTTGGTTTGTGGTACCCTTCCTCCATCTTCAAAGCCAGAAGTGTTTAATCTCTCTAACGTTCTTTCTCTGAAAACAGCCAGGAAATGTTTCTGCTTTTAAGAACTCGTGTGATTAGATGGTGCAAAATGATATAATTCATGATAATCTCCCCATCTTAAAGTCATTAACCTTGATTATATCTGCAAAGTCTCTTTTGCTATGTAAGAAACATATTTACAGGTTCCTAGGATTAGGTTGTGGACATATTGGTGTGGGGAAACCATTATCCTGCCTTCCACAATAATTCTTATGGTTGGTAAATATGTTTAATGACTGCTAGTCACATGTAAAAATAAAATGGCAAGTAGTGTAACATGTTGCAGCAGTCAAGTTAATAGATTGCCAGAATGTATCTGGGAAGACATTTTCTTCATCGTTAATAAAGAATTGAGTAAGTAATTAATTCAGTAAATGGAGTCTTGAAAAGTTACATAATTAAGTCAGCAATCAAAAGTTTTGCCAGACTACATGTAAAGGTGAAAAGCATCAAAAGCAACACCAAGATTTTTCCTAGAAAATTAGTTTCAGAATTGTGACTCTGTTTCAGTTGAGAAGCAGTGAATATGAAAAGGGATTCATAAGTCTGTTTTCACCACCCAACTTCACTTGCCAGATGCAAGTTTTGAACGTACTAAAAAAAACATAGATCTTTTGCAATTTCCCCAAAGAGATTAAAGCACTGTTAAGGTATTTGTCCTGATATCCAGGCTGCAATTTCATTGGCTCAGTTTCATACCATCACTCCTACTGTCATTCCCATGAGCCATCCACAATGATACCCACAATCTTGATAAACACATCTGTCAACTACTACTACTTGTCAATGACATCAATTTAATTTTATTGGAGATAGGGTCAGAAGCAAATATCTAATAGAATACTATCCTCTAAATCACATCTAAAAATACTCACATTTGTTGTTGTCACAATTTATTTGAAGACGAAGGGAAAAAAAAGAAAATTTACCCTTGTAAATGTCAACAAAGAACAAAAGAATGGATAAAAGGAGAGTGGTAAACGTTCAATGAATGCTTGATTTAAATATATATATATATATATATATATATATAAACAAAATTGAATTTCTAGTCTTTTTAAAGTTGAAAGATGTACTTATGATTTTGGTTTTGAGAATATTAACCCAACTTTTCAACATCTTATGAAATTGACATTCAGACTACATGTTTACCTCCATAAATCAAATAATAGCCCATTTGTTTAAAACAGTTACAAACCTGAGTTTTTCTTTATGAGCAAAGTTGTCTTATTCCCTTCAAGTTATCTTAAACTATAATCAGAAAATTTCAAGGTGATATTGTGTTTTAGTAATTATCTCATATAAGTACACACTTTAAAGATGAGGTAAATGGAGGGATTTAATGATTTATCCAAAGATACATAGCTAGCTGGTGGCAAAACAGGAAGTTAAACTCAGTTTAAATGTTAATATTCCTTTTCACCACCAGCCTTACCTTCAGAATTACATCCCTGTTTTCCCAGTATCAACATTTGCATTCATGGTGTTCTATAGTGTACAGGTATTCTCCCTCCTAATTAATGGGAACCGGCTAGAATGTTATTCTTAGATAATATATATCATGATGATACTTGCATTTTTAAAAGATCACTCTAACTTTGGAGTGAGGGTGAGGAGTAGAAGAGGGAAAACAGTACCCGTAGTGTGAACTCTTAAGAATATACTTGTATAGATGAAAAATGACGGGATTTTTTTTTCTATAGAGGTAGAAAAGATGGTTTCAAATTAATTAAAATTAATAGGATATTGTGATGGAATAGGTATGGAGAAAGAGGGCCAAGAACATAATAAAGATGATTCCCAGATTTTTGGATTACACATTAGAAATACAATGGTATTATATATTGAAATACAAACTATTAGAGAAAGACCAAAGTGTTCACCATCTTTTTCTAGTTTGTAATGCAGTAACAAACAATTCTCCAATTGAAGCAACTTTTATGAGAACAAAGTTTAGTTTTTTTCTTCATCGTTAAAAAAACAGATTCTGGAGACAAGCTGATTATGAATCCCAGCTACTACACTTTACTAAATGAACATCCATGGAAAAATGACATCACTCTTGGTCTCAGTCTGCCAATTGAGGATTGTCAAATGAATGCAATAGTTGTAGGATTTCCCAGTATGCTGTAAGAATTAGATAACTTACTGTGTGTGTGTGTGTGTGTGTGTGTGTGTCTGTGTGTATACATATATATATAATGTATATATATAAAACTTCAAACATGACCTGACACATCATAAGATCCCTTTAAATATTAGCTATTATTATTATTATCCCTATTCCAATGAATAGGAAATTGAAGCATAAGAAGCCCAAATGAATTGCATAAGATCACACAGATAGTTAATGATAGAGGCAGAATTTAAAGCCAATCTTACTAGCTTCAGATCCAATGCTCTTAATGATTGTATTAACAATTCTCTACTTTCCTTGCACTTAATCCATGAAAGTACACCATGGTTTCCTCAAATACTGGCATTCTATAACCAGCCAATTGCTGAAGCTAAGCATGGATGTCCTGTTTATTCCATTAATTCTGAAGTAAACCAAGGGTATATAGACATTTGATATATAACAGATCAACATTGGTTATCTGTGGGGAAAGAATAGATATTTCAGTGAAGGGTCTGGGCAATTACAGTTCACAGAAAAAAATAAAATTAAATTGGACAGCTAGCTCCTACCAAACACAAAAATCTGTTTCAAATCATGCAGTGTCTTCATGAACTCAGGTTAGGGAAGAATTCTTAAATACGATACAAACTAAATAATGGAAGAATTGGTACGTAAACTAGAATAAAAACTACTCATTAAAAGAGTGAATTAATGCAGTTAAAAAGCAAGATAAAGAATTTTTAAAAATATTTATAACACAAGTAACTGGCATAATAATGATTTGTATAAAAAATACATAGTGGGAGAAGTTACATTACCCAGATACCTTACTAGATGCCCCTAGCTGTTTTCCCCACTCAACACAAAGACATCCAAAAAAATGAACAAACAACTACATTTTGATGAACATAATTAAAGAAGGATATCAAAATGCATCAAAGAAGTAGTGAAAATTCTGTGCAACATAGAAAGCCAGAATGGCCACATAGAGAATGGAAGAAAACACTGTGCCTTGGCCACCCTGTCTCCTGGCGAGGATCGCCTCAGAACCAGGAAGTACTTCTCCCTGCAGTGAAAAGGGAACCAAAAGAAGCCTTGCATCCCCCATCACCACCCCGGACATCTACAGACTTCACCACTGGGCACTACTGCAGTCCTCACAAGTGCTAAGCCCAGCTGAGGGAACTTACTGGATTTCCCAAAGCTGCGCTCCCACCAGAGACAGAGCCAGCACTGTGCTCCATCCCTCATGGCTGGTATGGTCTGTTCTGGGGGCAATTAACCATGGTGCCCTTTCATCTCTGAGGTTTTGTTGCTGCTGAACCACCCCTGCCTGGGAGCCTGCCATCTCTGAGTTGAGCTGCTGCTACACCCCACCCCATGGGACCAAGCTGTTACAGAGCCACTGCATCTGCATTTCCCAATTGCTGCTGTGTCTTGCCCCTGGGGCCTGAGCTGAAGCAGTGCACCGTCTCTCCAGGAAATGTTGCCTTGGCCTCCCAGAGCAGTCACAACCCCTGGTTCCTGGGCTGAAGTGGCACCCTGCCTCCTCAGGAAATGATGTCTTTGCCACTCAAAGTAGTCACACCCCCTTGTGCTTGAGCTGAAGTGTTGCCCTCTCTCCAGAGCAGCCATGCCCACTAGGCCTAAGCTGAAGCAGCACATCACCTGCTAGGAAATCAGTACCTTGGCTGGGCTAAGCAGACATACATCCCAGGGCTAAGCCAAAGTGGCTCCTCATGTCCAAGGGAAACAGAGAGTTGTCTGAGCTCAGACACCATGTCCTACAGGCCACATAACTAGTATTCTGCCTCTCTGGAACTGGCATCATTGTGTTGCTCCCTGCTCCCCTGGGTCCAAGCAATAGCTGTGTTCCACTATTCTGTTTTCCTTGCTGCCACTGCACCTGGCCTTAAAGAGTCTGGGATACCGTCATGTCCCATAATCCCAGGGTCCAGAGTCACCACTACATAAGGCTACATACCCTGAGGCCTGAGTTGCCACTGTGCCATATTAGCTAACATTTCTGAATTGCATCTGCTCCCTGGGCCAAAACCTAGAGAGCATTCCTTCTTCCTTCCTTGTACCAAGACAATTTTGTGCTCTGTCTCCTAGGGTCAGAATCACAGTGACAATCCAGCCTCCTGGGCCTGAGCTGCTTGGAGGTGGTTCAGAGTCACAGACCCTGCTTTTGTGAGCATTCTGAATCCAACCCTGCTTCAGAGAGTAAACCTGAACCCCAAAACTCAGGTGCGATGCTGAGCCCAAAATCCCTGCTCCGTAACTACTCTGAGCATCTACATCCTAAAACCCCATGGTGTTACAGCTGCTTGTGAGCTGTATCAGACCTAACACTAAGAAGGATCCTTTCAGTTAAGACTCCATATGTGGGGAAAATGAGGACAGGAGAATCCCAAGAGCACTTGCCACCAAGGACCCTAACAATCTACACTGTCACCACCACTGCTACAAACTCCTACATCTTAGGCCACTAAGGCACCCATAGTCATTGCTGACATTGATTATGACTAAAGAATCTGCACAGAGGCTACACTACTGCATCCATTCAGAACCAGAGCCACCACACACTTCCCAACCAGCACAGTAAGACCCATCTGCAGATGAACCTCTTTCCCTCTGAAGGTCACTCTGTAAAGTTTCAAAGAGGTGATTATTCCACCAGAGGCATGGACATTAATGCAGGGACACGTGAAACATGACAAAACAAGGAAACATGACATCACCAAAACAACACGATTATTCTCTAGTAACTGACCCAAAGGAAAAAAAATGAATTGCCTGAAAGGGAATTGAAAATAATAATGTTTAAAAAAAACTCAATGAGATACAAGAGAATACAGACAGACAATTCAACAAAATCAGAAAAAAAATCATGATCTGAATGAAAAATTCAATGAAGAGAGAGGTTTTTTTAAAAGGAGTAAAACAAAAATCATGAAGCTAAAGAATTCAATGAATCAAATTAAAAATATTATGGAGAGTTTGAATAGCAGACTAGATCAAGCAGAAGAAATAAACTCTAAACTTGAAGATGGGTCTTTTGAAGTTACCCAGTCAGAGACAAAAAGAGAAAAAAATTAATGAAAAAGAGTGAAGACAGTCTTCAGGACTCATGGGACATTATTCAATGAACAAACTTTTCCATTATGGGAGTTTTGGAAAGAGAGGAGATTAAGATAGAAACAGAAAGATTTTTTAATACAATAATTTCTCAAAACTTCCCAAGTCTTAGAAGAGATATGAACATCTAGATCCATGCAACTCAAATATCACTAAACAGACTCAACCCAAACAAGCCCCTTCCAAAGCACACTATAATTAAACTGTCAAAAGTCAAAGATGAGGAGAGAATTTTAAAAGGAACAAGAGAAAAAGGTTAAGTCACATGTAAGTAAATCCCCATTAGAATATCAGCAGAAACCTTGTAGGCCAGGAGAGAACAGGATGGTATATTTATGTGCTAAAAGAAAAAAAAAAAACTTTCTGACATGAACACTATACCCAAAGCTGGCCTTCAGAAATGAAGGAGAAAGTTTTTCCAAGACAAGCAAAAGTTGAGGGAGTTCACCACTTGACCTGCTTTACAAGAAATGCTTTAAAAAGTTTTTCAAGTGAAAACAAAAGAACAGTAATTACTAACTGAAAAACATAAAAGTATAAAACTTACAGATAAAGGTAAATATATAGTGAAATTCAGAATGCTCTGACTGTTATGGCGGTCTATAAATCATATATAGTGTGGCTAAGTGGATGAAAAATAGAATCTAACCATATACTATCTACAAGAGACCTACTTTAGCCTTCATGACACACATAGGCTGAAAGTGAACAGTTAGATGATATTCCACGTAAATCGCAAACAAAAGAGAGCACAAATGGCTAGATTTATGTGAGATAAAATATGCTTCAAGTCAAAATTGTAATATGAGACAGTGGGGGTCATTTAATGACAAAGGGGTTAATTCATCAAGAGGTCATAACAATTTTAAATATATAATTATATATTCTCCAATACATTACATATATTACATATATAACATGTTTTAATGTTATATTATGTTAAAATATAACATATTATAAAATAATATATATTATGTTATATTACATTATAACATTATATATTATGTTGTATTACATTGTATGTTATATATTATATATAACAATATATATTATGTTATGTTATATTATAACATATGTTACATATTATATATTATTATATATTATGTTATATTGCATTATAACATGTTATATATTATATATAATCTATATTATATTACATTATGACATATGTTATATATTATAACATTATTATAACAATATTATAACATATGTTATCTATTATAACATATTATATAATTATATATCATATATTTATATATGATATATAATTATATATTATATATTTATATATTATATTATATATTTATATGTTATATATAATTATATATTATATATGTTATATATAATTATATATTATATATATTATATATAAATATATTATTAACATATTATTAATATATAATTATATATAATATTAATATTATATATATTATATAATAGGTAATTATATATTATATAATACATATGATATAATATGTTATATATAATATATAACATGTTATATTATATAACATTATAACATATTATATAACATATATTATAACAATTATAAATATATAATTGTTATAAACATATAATTGTTTACAATTATAAATATATAAGTAAGTAGTAAACATTGATTCACCCAAACATGTAAAGCAAGTGTGAATGGGCATGAAAGAAATAGATAGAAATATAGGAATAGTAGGGGATTTCAATATCCCACTTTCAACAATGAACAGAGAAACAAGATTAAAAATAAATTTATTGACAAAAATAAATGCTGCTGTTACATGAAAATAAATTTTTTTTGAGACAGAATCTCGCTTTTCCACCCAGACTAGAGTGCAGTGGCTCACCACAACCTCCACCTCCCAGGTTCAAGCGATTCCCCTGCCTCAGCCTTCCAAGTAGCTGGGATTACAGGTGTGTGCCACCACACCCTGCTAATTTTTTGTATGTTTAGTAGAGACAGAGTTTCACCATGTTGGCCAGTCTATTCTTGAACTCCTGACCTCAAGTGATCTGCCCATCTCAGCCTCCCAAAGTGCTGGGATTACAGGCATGAGCCATTGCGCCCAGCCCATGGAAATAAATTTCTAAGGAATTCTTTAGAAATTTATTTCCATATAACAGCGGCATTTATCTTTGTCAATAAATTTTATGCTTTCATCTGTTTTTCTGTTAGTAATTAGTGTTCTTTTTTTTCACTTGGAAAACTTTTTAAAGTATTTCTTATTAAGCAGGACTAGTGATGATGAACTGCCTCAACATTTGCTCACCTGGGATAGAATTTTTTCTCCTTCATTTCTGAAGGCCAGCTTTGTTGGAATATAGTGTTATTGTCTGAAAGATTTCTTTTCTCTTTCAGCACTTAAATGTATTATCCTATTTTCTCTCTCCTGGACTACAAGGTGTCTGCTGATATTCTAATGGGGATTCATTTACATATGACTTAACCTTTTTCTCTTGCTGCTTTTAAAATTCTCTCTTCATCTTTGACTTCTGCCAGTTTAGAATGCTGGAAATGCATTTTAGACAAAATGGACCTAACAGATATGTACAGAATTGTCCAGGTAACAGCAGCAGAATGCACATTCTTTTTTAGTGTTCATGGAATATTCTCCAAAACAGATTATCTGGTAGGCCATAAAACATGTCTTAGCCAAGTTAAGATAATCAAAATATCAAGTACTATTTCTAACCACAATGGCATGAAACTAAAAATTAATAATAGAAGATATTTTTAAATATGTGGAAATGAAACAACATGCACCTGAACAGTGAAAGAAGAAATCAAAAGAGATATTTAAAAATATCTTGAGTCACATAACAAAGGAAACACAACATACCAAAACCTATGGGATGCAGTAAAAGCAGTTTTAAGAAGGAAATATATACCAATAAGTGCCTACATTAAAAATAAAAGTAAGATTCCAAATATATAGGCTGAAATTATGCCAGAATAAACTAGAAAATGGACAAACTAAACACACAGCAGAAGTAAGAAAAGAATAAATAACAGGACAGAAATAATAAAATAGAGAATAGAAAAATCACAGGAAAAAAGTCAATAAAAGGTTTTTTTTTTTTTGAAAAACAAAATCAAGAAACATTTAGCTACACTAAGAAAAAAGAGAGAAGACTCAAATATATAAAATCAAATATGAAAGTATAATCATTACAGCAGGTGCCTCAGGAAAAAAAGATTATAAAAGATGATTATGAACAGTTATATGCCAACAACTTTGGAACCTAGAGCACATGGATAAATTCCTAGAAGAATACAACATACCAAGGTTGAATAAGAAGGCAAAGAAAGACTTAACATACTAATAAAAAACAAAAAGTTTAAAGTAGTGATTAAAATCTCTCAAGAAAATAAGCTCAGGACCAGATGGCTTTCTTGTGGCTTTTTTGCCCCCACAGTTCAGTTAGTGGGAACGAGTGGCATCTAGTGGCTTCACTTCTTCTCTCCTGTTGCTCAGCAGGAGAGAGTGGTGCCCAGTGGCTTCTCTCCTGTTTTTCAATGTGTGGGAAACAGTGTTATTACAGCTTTTTTAGTCCCCCTGCCCACAGCTAGGGGAGCAGGGGTGTTACAGGGGGCGTTACAGCTCTTTTTGCTCCCACAGTTCAGCAAGTTCCAGGTTCTTGTCCTGTGATCGAAAGGAATAAGGTATGCCAACATCAGAGAGTGAGTAAGGCAGAATATAATTTTATTACATGAAAGAAAAGCTCTTGGCAGCAAGAGGGGCCCCAAAAGTGGATAGTCTGTGAGGCTGAGTCTGGGTTTTTTATGGGGTTGGGATGAGGAAGTGTGGGCTGTAGGTAGTCTTGGAAAAAGCAACATTTGATTGATTAAAAAGCATTATTCAGAAAAAAACAATAGGGAAAGAGTAGGCAAACAGTTATGGAAGTTCTCACTCCAGTGCATGGACTCCATTCAGAGCTAGTAGTTTGGTTTTCAGGCTTCATACTGTCCTTGGCTTGAAGGTCAAGTTTAACCAGGGATCTGTCTCTGTCTGCCTGGGAATTTGTCTGTCTCCTGTCACTATCAACTTCACACTGAATTCTGCAAAATTTTCAAATAAGAATTAATACCAATATTTTCTTACATTATTCCAAAAAATAGACCTGGAAAGAATACTTCCTAACACATTGCACGTGGCCAACATCACCTTGATACATGAGGTATATAAAAACAACACAAGAAAAGAAAAAATATATAAGCCAATATTTCTGAGTCACAATGAAGCAAAAATCTTTAATAAAATATTAGCAAACTGTATCCAACAACACATTAAAAATATTATACAACATGATCAAATGAAATTTATCCCTCACAACGCAAGGTTTAACATATGTAAATCAATCAATGTGATGTATTACATTAACAGACTGAAAAAAAAATATGATCTTACCTATTTATGCAGAAAGAGCATTTGAGAAATTTCAACATCTGTTCTTGATAAAATAACTTAACAATTTAAGTATAAAATAAAAGTATTCTCAATGTAATAAAGTCATTCATGAAAAACCCAGAGCTAACATCATAATCAGTGAGGGAAAACTGTTTTCCCTCTAAGATCTGGTACAAGGCAAAGATGCCCACTCTCACCACTTTTATTCAACATAGTACTAGAAGAGCTACCAAGAGCAAGTAGACAAGAGAAACAAAAAATATCCTTATTGGAAAGGAAGATGTAAAATTAGTTCTATTTGAGGATGACATAAATCCTGTATGTAGAAAACCCTGAAGATTTCGCCAAAAAACCTGTTAGATATAATAAGTGAATTCAGTAAATTTGCAGAATACAAAATCAACAAACAAAAATTAGTAGAATTTCTATACACAAATAATGACCTGTCCAAAAAAAAAAAAAAAAACAAAACAAGAAAACAACTCCATTTAAGATAGCATCAAAAATAAAATAAAGTACTTAGAAATAAATTTCACCAACGAGTTTGAAAACCCATACATTAAAAACTATAAAACATGGATGACAGAAATCAAAGCAGACATAAATGAAAGGAAAGGTATTTCATGCTAACGGGTTGGAAGAATGTCCATACTACATAGAGCAATATATATGGATTCAAAGCAATTCCTACCCAAATCCAAATGGCATTCTTCACAGAAATAGATAAAACAATTGTAAAATATGTATGAAACCACAAAAGACTTCAAATAGCCATGGCAATTGTGAAGGAAAAAAAGCAAATTTAGAAGAATCATACTTCTTGATTTAAAATTATATTCCAAAGCTATGGTAATCATAAAGTATAATACTGCTATAAAAATAGACACACAGATCAGGGGAACAGAATAGAAATCCTAGAAATAAATCTAAACATATATATGCTCAACTAATTTTTGACAAGAGCACCAAAAACACACAATGAGCAAATAATAGTCTCCTCAATAAATGTTAATGGGAAAACTGAATTTTCACATGCTAAAGAATAAAATTGGACCTTTATGTTATGCCATACACCAAAATAAACTCAAAATGGATAAAAGACCTGAACATAAGACTTGAAACCATAAAACTTTTAGAAGAAAACACGGGAAAAACTCCTGACATTCGTCTTGGCAATGATTTCTTAGAAATCACACCAGAAGTTCAGACTAGAAAAGCCAAAATAAATAAATGGTACTGCATCAACCTAAAAAGCTTCTGCACAGGAAAGGAAACAATTAACAAAATGAAAGGCAACATACAGATTGAGGAAAAAGTATTTGAAAGCCATATATCTGCATAAGCAATTAATATCCAAGGTTTTTAAAGGGTGCTTACAACTCAATAGCAAGAAAATGCATAACCTGATTTTAAAATGAACCAAAACTTGAATAGACATTGATTCAAAGGTGACATTAAAATCTCCAACAGATATGTAAAAATGTGCTCAGCATCACTAATCATCAGATAAATGCAAATCGAAGCCACTATAAGATACCATCTCACACCTCTTAGCATAGCTGTTGCCAAAAATCAAGACATAACAAGTATTGGTGATGATATGGAGAAAAAGGAACTCTTATACACTGTTGCTGGGAATGTAGATTGGTGCAGCCATTATAGAAAGCAGTATGTAAGTTGCTAAAAAATTAAAAATAGAACTGCCATAAGACCTGGAAATCCTCTTCTGGGTACATACTCAAAGAAAATGAAATCAACACCTTGTAAGTATTTGCACTCTCATGTTCATTGCAACCTTATTCACAATAACCAAAATATGGAAACAATGTAGATTTCTACCAGTGGATAAATGGATAAAGAAATGGAGATATATACTGCATATGCAATGGAATATTTTCCAGCCTTAAAAAAGAGAAAATCCTACTATTTGTCACAACATGAATAGACCAGAAGGACATCAGGCTAAGTGAAATAAGCCAGATATAGAAAGAAAAATGAAACATGATCTCATATGTTGAATCTAAACTTATTGACATTTTTAAAAGGTCAATTACATAGAGAAAAAAATCAGTTGTTATTAGGGTCAGAGTAGAGGGGAGAAAATGGGTGAAAGTAGGTCAAAGGATTCAAGGTAGCAAATACGTGGGATGAACAAGTCAAACGTCTAATCCATAACATGAAGACTATTGTTATTAATACCTGATCCTTTGACCTACATTCTCCCATTTTCTCCCTCCACTCTGACCCTAATAACAACTACTTTGTTATCTATCTCCATGTACTTGACCCTTTAAAAATGTTTATATTCATCATATGAGATCATGCAATATACATACACATACACAAATATGAATATTTTAACATGTTGTATATCTTAAATATGCAAAATAAAATGTATTAAGAAAATAAAATAGAATATATAAGAACTACAAATCAATTTATGAAAGTACATGAAATTATGAATAAAATACATTTTTTAATAAATATTTTACTCACTAAATTATTTTATGAGTAAAATAATTTCAAAGAAACTTCACAAATAAGGCTGACCAAAAGGCCAAAATAAGGCATGAAAAGTTGCTTGACTTGATAACCCTCATTAGTTATCAGGAAAATGCAAATTTATATGGTGAATATATACTATTATACACCAACAAAATTGGTAAATTTTATAAAGTTTAACAGTACCAAGTAATGGCAAAAATATGGCATAATTGGAACTTTTATATATTTTGGTAGTGCTAAACTTAATTACATTATGATTTTGTAAAACAACAATATTAATCAATTTTAAGGCACACGTTTAATGACCCTGCATTTTCACTGCTAGGGCTATGCGCTGGATAAAATTTATCATGTGTGCATTAGAATCAATATGCATAACATGTACATAACATTATAATGTCTATAACATCATTCTTTTTAAAAGGCCAAAATTGGCTTGATATTGTCAATTGAATGAACGAATAAATCTATCATGATATACTCTTACCTGCATTTGCACAATGCTATGAAACTATAATATTTAACTAAAAACTTTTACATAAACTTGACAATCAAATGGAGATATGTAAAGATGATAAACTGCCACAATGTCAAATATGTGAATACAAAAATTTGGTATTTCTGTTCATACTTTTAAAACATTTATTGTTAAAATAAATTCTAATCATAGTAACCTAAAAAAAATCTTCTTAGCATGGTTCTTAGATTCTCATAGATTTCCTACTAAACTTCAAGGATATTTTTATTTCTAAATGTCCATTTAACTATTCCCGTGATTCTCTTACTGATCATGTGAAACACACTGTCAAAAAAGACAGATAATGACTCTTGCTGGAGCAAATGGGATTTTATGACATCACACTAGAGATCCAACAAATCTGTAATTTTATCTACTTTGACAGTTATAAAGGTCATTTCAAAAACTGATTGTATCTGCTATGATTTTAAGAGGGTTAGCATACAACTAGGGAAAAAAAAATCTTAAAACCTTGTCTCCGGGGAAGGCACTGTAAAAGATTTTTATTCTTAATACAAAAATACTGTTACCCTTTCCTTTAGATGCAATAGAGATTATTATGAAATATGCATTGTCTACCACTCTAAGATGAAAGACCTTATGTTATACATCTAGGTTCATCTGGTTTTCACTATATTATGTGAAGTAAACATAGATTCTAGTTTCTTCAGTTTTAATATTTTTGTTTCTATTCTGCTATAAAAATAAGTAATGCTGGTTTTCATGGTTTTTAGTTACAAATAATATTAGGGTATAGGATTACAATGAGAATTCAATCTTATTGATATTTCAAGGTTAAGTGAATTGACTTCTCTTTATGTAGAAAGTATATTTACCAGAGCCACATGTTCCTTTATTTTGTTTATTCTGAGTTATGTATTATAGCCCAACTCTCAAAAACTCATATTATGTAATAAGAAGTGTATTTTGGAACCTGAAAATGAATGTTTCACTATTGGTATCCCTGTTTTTAGTACTAATGGCAATATCTTTAGCAAATAGAATTAAGGTATTGGTGACTTCGGTGTCCAGTGGAAAACAAATATCACCTCTCATGTTTGCTGAGTATAACATTTACCGGCAGGACAGAAATCTTAATAATTATGTTTTGAAAAAATATTTGTTTTCTGCAGTTAAAGATTCATAGAATATTGGCTAACTTGTGGTAATGTCCTCTTTTATGAATTTCCCTTATGTCTTTATTGAGCGTCATTAAATCTTAGGGATGAGGGTGATTAATCTTTCTAGACATACTTTCCTAAATTATGGTGTAGACTTTGTGGCTGTCAGACTGCTGAAGCCATGAAGCAGAACAGGATGTAACCTCATTGATTAGGCCACAGAAGTGTTGGAGAATTACATCACTAAAATTGAGTAAAAAATAATATTCTTCATGCATGCACAATATAAGTAACTACAGCTTGCTCGTGGTTTGGGATACCTAATCTTTTATTCCTTTAAATTTTGTAATACTCACTTTACAATATTAGATTTACAGAAAAGTTGTGAAAATTGTAGTGTCTGTGTATCTCACACTGAATTTCCCCTATTTTTAACATCTTACATTGATATAATCTGTCTTAATCGATGACCAATATATTGTTACTAAATAAAACATGTACTTTATTCAGATTTATTTTTATATATTTTTAATTGAAGTATCTTATCCAGGATATTACATCACATTAAGTCATCATGTCTCCTTAAGCTCCTATTGAGTCTGATAGTTTCTTAGGTTGTCTTTGTTTTTGATGACTGTTTGGGGCAGTACTTTTCAGACATTTTTTAAAGTATCTAGTAATTGGGACCTATCAAATGTTTCTATTGTGATTATTATAGGATTAGGAGTTTTGGGAAGAATAGCGCAGAGCTAATCCCCTATTCTCATTACATCATATCAAGAGTACATACTATCAACATGACTTAGGACTGTCTACATAAACATTGAGAACCTTGAAGAAGTCGTGTTTGTCAGGTTTTACTTAACTCTTTCTTTTCCCTCTCTCCATACTATGATTTTTTTTTTTTTTTTTTTTTTTTTTTTTTTTTTTTTTGAGAGAGAGTCTTGCTCTGTCGCCCAGGCTGGAGTGCAGTGGTGTGATCTCTGCTCACTGCAACCTCCGCCTGCCGGGTTCAAGCGATTCTCCTGCCTCAGCCTCCAGAGCAGCTGGGACTACAGGGGCACGCCGCCACGCCCAGCTTTTTTTTTTTTTTTTTTTTGTGTTTTTAGTAGAGATGGGGTTTCACCATGTTGGCCAGGCTGGTCTCGATATCCTGACCTGGTGATGCGCCCACCTCCGCCTCCCAAAGTGCTGGGATTACAGGCGTGAGCCACTGCACCCGGCCCATACTATGCTCTTTGGAAGGAAGTCATTCCACTTTGCCCACACTTTGGAAGTACAAATTCAGTATGCTTCTTCTCCTTGAGGCTATCTACATAAGTTATCCGAAATTCCTTGAAATTCTTTGGCATGTGAGACTTATTTCTTCTGCATTGTTTTATTTATTTATATTAACTCATGGATATGTATTTATAGTTCAAGCTATAATTCAATGCTATTTTATGAATTTTTTTGGTCAAATAGTTTTACTTTTGGACATTGAGAACTCTTTCAGTTACTTTCTGCGTGTTTGACGTACTCCCACCAGTGTGTGTGTGTGTATGTTAAGTTTTGGGATACATGTGCAGGTTTGTTACATAGGTAAACATATGCCATGGTGGTTTGCTGAACCTATCAACCCATCACCTTGGTATCAAACCCCACATGCATTAGCTATTTAGCTATTTATCCTGATGCTCTCTCTCCCACCACCCCACTGACAGGCCCCAGTGTGTATTGTTCCCCTCCCTGTGTCTATGTGTTCTCATTGTTTCACTTCCACTTATAAGTGAAGATGTGCAGTGTTTGGTTTTCTGTTCCTGTGTTAGTTTGCTGAAAGTAATGGCTACGAAATACATCCATGTCCCTGAAAAGGACATGATCTCATTTCTTTTTATGGCTGCATAGTATTGCATGGTGTATATGTACCATATTTTCTTTATCCAGTTTAACATTGATGGGCATTTGGGTTGATTCTATGTCTTTGCTATTTTGAATAGTGCTGCAATGAACATATGTGTGCATGTATTTTTATCATAGAAAGAATTGTATTCCTTTGAGTATACACCCAGTAATGGGATTGCTGGGTGAAATGGTATTTCTGGTTCTAGGCCTTTGAGAAATCACCATGCTGTCTTCCAAAAGGTTGAACTAATTTACACTCTCACCAACAGTGTAAAAGCATTCCTATTTCTCCACAACCTTGTCACCATCTGTTATTTCTTGACTTTTTAATAATTGCCATTCTGACTGGTGTGAGATGGTATCTCATTGTGGTTTTGATTTGCATTTCTCTAAGGTTCAGTGATGTTGAGCTTTTTTTCATATGTTTGTTGTCCGCATAAATGTCTCCTCTTAGAAGTGTCTGTTCATGTCCTTTGACCACTTTTTAATGAGGTTGTTTGTTTTCTTGTAAATTTAAGTTCCTTGTAGTTTCTAGATATTAGACCTTTGTCAGACGGATAGATTGCAAAAATTTTCTTCCATTCTGTAGGTTGTCTGTAGGTTGTCTGTTCACTATGATGATAGTTTTTTGTGCTGTGCAGAAGCTCTTTAATTAGATTCATTTGTCAAATTTTGCTTTTGTTGCAGTTGCTTTTGATGTTTTTGTCATGAAATCTTCACCCATGCGTATGTCCTGAATGGTATTGCCTAGTTTTTCTTATAGGGTTTTTATAGTTGTGGGGATTAGATTTAAGTCTTTAATCCATCTTGAGTTGAGTTAATTTTTGTATAAGGTGTGAGGAAGGGATCCAGTTTCAATTTTCTCTATATGGCTTGCCACTTTTCCCAACACCATTTATTAAATAGAGAATCCTTTCCCCATTGCTTGTTTTTGTCAGGTTTGTCAAAGATCAGATGGTTGTTGATGTGTGGTCTTTTTTCTGAGATCTCTATTCTGTTCCATTGGTCTATGTGTCTGGTTTTATAACAGTACCATGCTGTTTTAGTTACTGTTGCCTTGTAGTATAGTTTGAAGTCAGGTAGCATGATGCCTCCAGGTTTGTTCTTGTTGCTTAGGATTGCCTTGATAATACAGACTCATTTTTTATTCCGTATTAATTTTAATGTAGTTTTTTCTAATTCTATGAAAAATGTCAATGGTAGTGTAATGGGAATAGCATTGAATCTATAAATTACTTTGGTCAGTACAGCCATTTTCACAATATTTCTTCTTTCTATCCATGAGCATGGAATTGTTTTACATTTGTTTGTGTCTTCTCTTATTTCTTTGAGTGGTGGTTTGTAGTTCTCCTTGAAGAAGTCCCTCACTTCCCCTGTTAGCTGTATTCCTGAGTATCTTATGCTCTTTGTAGCAATTGTGAATGGGATTTCCTCCATGATTTGGCTCTCTGCATGTTTATTATTGGTGTGTAGAAAAGCTTGTGATTGTTGCACATTGATTTTGTATGCTGAAACTTTCCTGAAGTTATTTATGGGCTTAAGAAGCTTTGGGGCTGAGACAACTGGGTTTTCTAGATATGGCCATGCCATCTGCAAACAGAGATAGTATGGCTTCCTCTCCTCCTATTTGGATACACTTTATTTTTTTTTTTCTCTTGCCTGATTACCCTGGTCAGAACTTCCAGTTCTATGTTGAATAGGAGTGGTAAGAGAGCATGCTTGTCTTGTGCTGGTTTTCAAAAGAATGCTTCCAGTTTTTGCCCATTGAGTATGATACTGGCTGTGGGTTTGTCATAAAAGACTCATTATTTTGAGGTATGTTTTCCATCAATACTTAGTTTATTGAGATTTTTTGACATGAAGGAATGTTGAATTTTTTGAAGGCCTTTTCTGCATCTTTTGAGATAATCATGTGGTTTTTGTCTTTGGTTCTGTTTATGTGATGAATTAAGTTTATTGATTTGCGTGTGTTGAACCAGCCTTACATCCTGGAGATGAAGCCAACTTGATCGTGGTGGATACTCTTTTTGATGTGCTGCTGGATTCGGTTTGCCAGTATTTTATTGAGGATTTTTGCATCTATGTTTATCAGGGATATTAGCAGGAAGTTTTGTTTTTTGTTATATCTCTCCCAAGTTTTGGTACCAAGATGATGCTGGCCCCATAAAATGAGTTAGGGAGAAGCCCCTCCTTCTCAGTTGCTTGGAATAGTCTCAGAAGAACTGGTACCAGCTCCTCTTTGTATCTCTTGTAGAATTCAACTGTAAATCCATCTGGTCCCTGGGCTTTTTTCATTGGTAGGCTATTTATTACTGCCTCAACTTCAGAATTTGTTATTGGTCTATTTATGGATTCAACTAATTCCTGGTTCAGACTTGGAAGGGTGTATGTTTCCAGGAATTTAGCCATTCCTTCTAGATTTTCTAGTTTATTTGCATAGAGATGGTTACGGTATTCTCTGATGGTTGTTTATATTTCTGTGAGGTCAGTGGTGATATCCCCTTTATCATTTTTATCATGTCTATTTGATTCTTCTCTCTTTTCTTCTTTATTAGTCTAGCTGGTGGTCTACTTTACTAATTTTTTCATAAAACCAGCCTCTGGATTGATTTTTGAAGGGATTTTTCGTGTCTCTCTCTCCTTCAGTATCACTCTGATCTTAGTTATGTCTTATCTTCTGCTTGCTTTGGGGTTTGTTTACTCTTGATTCTCTAGTTCTTTTAGTTGTGATGCTCGGCTGTTGATTTGAGATCTTTCTAGCTTTTTGATGTGGGCATTTAGTGCTATAAATTTCCCTCTTCACATGCCTTTAGCTGGGTCCCAGAGATTCTGGTATGTTGTCTCTTTGTTCTCATTGGTTTCAAAGAACTTCTTTATTTCTGCTTTAATTTTATTATTTACCAAGGAGTCATTCAGGAACAGGTTGCTCAATTTCCATGCAGTTGTGTGGTTTTGAGTGAGTTTCTTAATCTAGAGTTCTAATTTGATTGTGCTGTGGTCTGAGAGACCACTTGTTATGATTTCCATTCTTTGGCATTTACTGAGTAGTGTTTTACTTCTAATTTTGTGATCGATTTTACAATAAGTGCCATGTGGTGCCAAGAAGAATGTAAATTCTGTTGTTTTGGGGTGGAGAGTTCTGTAGATATCTATCAGGTCCACTTGATCCAGAGCTGAGTTCAAGACCAGAATATCCTTGTGAATTTTCTGTCTTGACGATCTGTTTAATATTGAGAGTGGAGTGTTAAAGTCTCTCACTATTATTGTGTAGGAGTTTAAGTCTCTTTGTAGGTCTCTAAGAACTTGTTTTATGAATCTGGGTGCTCCTGTATTGGGTGCATATATATTTAGGATACTTAGCTCTTCTTGTTGAATCGATCCCTTTACCATTATGTAATGCCCTTCTTTGTCTTCTATGATCTTTGTTGATTTAAAATCTTTTTTGTCAGAAACTAGGATTGCAAACCCCTGATTTTTTCTGCTTTCCATTTGCTTGGTTAATTTTCCTCCATAATTTTATTTTGAGCCTATATGTGTCTTTGCATGTAAGACTGGTCTCTTGAATACAGCACACTAATGGTTCTTGACTCTATCTAGTGGGCATTGTGTGTCTTTTAATAGGGGCACTTAGCTCATTTACGTTTAAGGTTAATATTGTTATGTGTGAATATGATCCTGACCTCATGATGCTAGCTGGTTATTTTTCAGACTTGTTGATGTAGTTGCTTTATAGTATCATTAGCTTTTGTATTTGTATTTCAGTGTGTTTTTGCAGTGGCTGACAACAGTTTTTCCTTTCCGTATTTACTACTTCCTTCAGTAGCTATTGCAAGGCAGGCCTTGTGGTGATGAATTCCCTCAGCTTTCGCTTGTCTGAAAAGGATTTTATTTCTCCTTCGTTTACAAAGCTTAGTTTGGCTGGATATGAAATTCTGGGTTGAAATTTGTTTTATTTAAGCATGTTGAATATTGGCCCTCAATCTCTTCTGGCTTGTAGGGTTTCCGCTGAGAGGTCCACTGTTAGTCTGATGGGTTTCCCTTTGTAGGTGTCCTGGCCTTTCTTTCCGGTGGCCCTTAACATTTTTTCTTTCACTGCGACCTTGGAGAATCTAATGATTATATGTCTTTGGGTTGATCTTCTCATGGAGTGTCTTATTGGGTTTCTCTAGATTTCCTGAATTTGAATGTTGGCTTGTCTTGTTAGGTAAGGGAAGTTCTCCTGAATAATATCCTGAAGTATGTTTTCCAACTTGGTTCCATTCTACCCATCTTTTTCAGGTACCCAAATAGTCATAAGTTTGATCTTTTTACATAACTCCATAGTTCTTGGATGTGTTATTTCTTTTCATTCTACTTTCTCTAACATTGTCTCCCTGTCTTATTTCAGCAAGATAGTCTTCAAGTTCTGAAATTCTTTTCTCTGCTTATTCTATTCAGTTATCAATACTTGTGGATGCATTGTGACATTCTCATGTTGTGTTTTGCAGCTCCATCAGGTCGTTTATGTTCCTCCCTGTACTGGTTATTCTGGTTAACAGCTCCTGTAATGACTTGTCATGGTTCTTAGCTTCTTTGCTTTGGGTTAGAACATGTTCCTTTAGCTCAGTGAATTTCATTATTACCCACCTTCTGAAGCCTACTCTGTCAATTCATCCATCTCAGCCTCCACTCAGTTCTGTGCCCTTGTCAGAGAGGTATTGTGATCATTTGGAGGAGAAGAGGGGGCACTCTGGCTTTTTGAGTTTTCAGCATTTTTTTCATTGATTCTTTCTCATCTTCATGAATTTATGTAGCTTCAATCTTGGAGGCTGCTGACTTTTGGATGGGGTGTCTGTGGGGACAATTTTTTGTTGATTCTCATTGTTGTTGTTGTTGCTTTCTGCTAGTTTTTCTTTTACCAGTCAGGTCTCTCTTCCATGGAGTTGTTGGTTTGCTGTAGGTCCACTCCAGACCCTGTTTGCCTGGATCCATCTTGCACCTGGAGGTGTCACCAGTGGAGGCTGCAAAACAGCAAAGATGGCTGCCTGTTCTTTCCTCTGGGATTCCTGTCAGAGGACCACAACCTGACGCCAGCGGAAACACTCCTGTATAAGGTGTTTTGCGACCCCTGTTGGGGGGGGTCTCATCCAGTCAGGAGGCACAGGATCCAGGACCCCCTTAATGAAGCACTCTGACTGCCCCTTGGCAGAGGGGTTGCACTGTGCTGGGAAAAAACCCACTCATCCAGACTACCTGGATTCCTCAGAGCCAGCAGTGGGGGGAATACTAAGTCTGCTGATCCACAGAGACTGTGGCCACCCCTTCCCACAGAGGCTCAGTCCCAGGGAGATCAGAGTTGTATCCTTAAAACTTTGGCCGGAGTTGCTGAAATTCCTGCAGGGAGACCCTGCCCAATGAGGATGGATGGGTCAGGGTCTGGCCTAAAGAGGCAGTCTGGCCATGATCTGCCACAGCCACTGTGTTGTGCTATGGGGAATTCCTCCTGGGTCCAAACCATCCAGTTTCCCCAGCACTGGCAGGGGAAAAATGGCAGACTAGAGCTGCAGTGATGCGGCCACCCCACTAGCTGGAAGCTCTGTTGCCTTAGGCAGCAGGCAGCCACAGTGATGACAGGTGTCCCTCCCGCCAGGAACTCAGTAGTCTCAAGCAGTCTCCCACCAAGTGGCCACTGAGAATCTGCTCAGTTCTGTGCCTGCGACCCAAGGCCCTAGTAGTGGTGTGGGCTCATGAAGGGGATCTCATGATCTGCAGGTTGCACAGATCCATAGGAAAAGTGTGGTTTCCCAGGCAGGGTAACATGATCACTCACCACCTCCTTTGGCTGGGAGTGGGAGCTTCCCTTTCTCCATGTGGCTCCCAGGTGGGTTGTTGCCCACCCTGCTTTTTCTCGCTCTCCACGAGTCATGCCAACTGCTAGTCAGTCCCAATGAGAGAAGCTGGACATATCAGTTGCTGATGCAGTATTCATTCATTGTTTTTGTTCTTCTCAGTGGAAGCCTCCGACCCGACCACAGCTGTTTCTAGTCAGCCATCTTGGCCCTTCATTGTGCGTTTTGTGAACTTCCTTATTTTCTGGCACTGTAAGATGTTCCAGGTTCATCTTGTGTATTTCTTGCCCCAGTCTTAGAATCAGCCATTTCTCCAGGAGTCATGGTTTCTTTAATCGAAAAATTGTTTTAGAAGTCAAGATGTAGGTGTTAGGTGTGCTCATTGCTACTAGAGCATCATTGCTTCCAGACCTTCTAAGCTGACAGAGCAAGGAAACGTGTTTATATGACTATTGTGTATGTATGTGTGTATATATATTTCTAGATGTAACCATCTGTATCTATATTAAACTCTACATAAGTTGATAATGTCAACTCTAATTCATTATCCAAAGATCATTCTAGCCTTATCCCTTGCTTGTCTGTAACCTCCCACTCCAAAAGTAAGAAACCTGGTACCTACCATCCTGTCATTAATGAACTGAATTGTTCAGTTCCAGTGTACATATATAGTAGTGTAGAACTTTTAACACATACCCCTGTGGGAAACAACTTTATTAACTAGAACATGGTGTTTATGTGCATTTTTTTCCTTTAGTCTTACAGACTCCACTCATTTCCAAAGCAAATTAGGTCAGCATTCCCTTATGTGAAGTTATAGCATATATCTAAAATAGTGTTACATTCTTTTGTCCCAGCTAACATTCTAAATCAGGGCTCCCCACCCTCTGGGCCATGGACAGCTATGGCCATGGCCTGTTAGGAACTGGGCCATACAGCAAAAGGTGGGCAGCAGGTGAGTGAGCATTACTGCCTGAACACTGCCTCCTGTTAGATCAGCAGCGGCGTTAGATTCTCACAGAAGCCCGACCCCTATCGTGAACGGTGCATGTGAGAGATCTAGATTGTGCTCTCCGTATGAGAATCTAACTAATGCCTGATGATCTGAGGTGGGACAGTTTCATCCCCAAAACCCCCAATCCTTCCTGTCTGTAGAAAAATTGTCTTGCAAGAAAACTGGCCCCTGCTGCCAAAAAGGTTTGGAACAGCTGTTCTAAATGATATATTTTTTTGTAACTTTGAGATATCAAATTCACTCTTTCTGCTACAAAGTTTTACACATTTTGACAAATGCACAGTGTCATGGTGTATACCATTAGAGTATCATACAGAATTGTTTCACTGTCATTAAAAAAAAAAAGCCTCCTATGCTTTACTTATTCAATTGTCCCCCATTGCTGAACTCCTGGAAAAAACTTTTCTATTACTATCTCTACAGTTATCCCTTTCCCATAATGTTACATAAATATAATTATACATTATGAAGCCATTTCAGACTAGCTTTCTTCATCTAGAAGAAAGAATTTAAAATTAATCTTCATTTTTACCTGATTTAATAGGTCATTCATTCATTCCCAATGCTGAATACTATTACACTATATGGATTTACCACTGTGTTCACTCACCTATTGAAAGATATATTGGTTGTTTCCATCCTTAGGAATTATAAGTACAACTTCTATATATATTTGAATGTAGGTTCATGTGGACATAAGTTTTCAGAAATGTTGACAGTGAAATTGCTGGATCATATGATAAACTTGCTTCTTCTAAAGTGGCTGTACCATTTTGTGTTTTTACCAGCAATGAATGACAATTCTTGCTCTGCATTTTAACCAGAAATTAGCAATGTTTATTTTTTAATTTTGGCCATTCTAATAGATACAGTGGCATCTCTTTGTTGTTTAAATGGGTATTTTAATAATAAAAAATGACATTCACTGGACAACATGGTGAAACCCTGTCTCTACCAAAACAAACAAACAAACAAAAAAACTAGCCAAGTGTGGTGTACACCTGTGTTCCCAAATACCTGTGAAGCTGAAATGGGAGAATCTCTTGAACCCAGGAGGTCAAGACTGCAGTGAGCTGTGATTGCACCACTGCACTCCAGCCTGGGTGATAGATTGAGATGCTGTCTCAAAAAAAAAAAAAAAAAAAACTGAGCACATTTTATATTTTTCTTTTGGTATTTATGTGCAATTAGTGAGATATCTTTAATTTTTCATACATTTTAATTGGGTTGTTCATTTTCTTATTGCTGAGTTTTACTTTTTTTGTATTCTGGATTCAAATTCTTTACCAGATATACTTGTTTCTAATAATATCTTTCAATCTGTGGCTTAAGTTTTTAGTTTCTTAAGAGTGTATTTTGCAGAGAAAAATCTTTTGGCTTTAATAAAGTGAAATTTATCTACTTTTTCTTTCATGGATCATACTTTTGGTATTGAATCTAAAAATATTTTGCTGACTCTAAGGTCACATAAATTTCCTCCTATGTTTGATTCTAGAAGTTTTGTTGTTTTTAAGGTTACATTTAGAAATATGATCATTTCCAATTAATTTTTTTGAAATGTATTGCCTGTGTCTAGGTTCAACAGTTAGCATATGGATGTCCAATTTTTTCAGCAGCCTTTGTTGAAAAAAAAAAAACTATCCTTTCTCCATTGAATTGCCTTTGACTTTTGTCAAAAATAACTTTAGAATATTTGCATGACTCTACTTCTGGGCTCTCCTGTATGTTTCTTTGATACATAAATCTATTCTTTCACCAACAGTATGCTATCTTTATTACTGTCAATTTATAGTAAGTCTGGAAATCAGTTAATGTCAGTCCTCCAACTTTGTCCATCCTTGTCAGTATTGCGTGGTGCAATTAATGGTCTTTTGATTACTTATATAAATTTTAGTGTCATTTTTATCAGTATCTAGCAAATAGCTTCCTGGAATTTAGATTGGCATTCTATTGAACATATACATCAAGTTTGGAAGAATTGACAGCAATACTGTACCTTCCAGTCAATGAACATAAAATATCTTTTTCTTCATGTATATCTTTTCTTTCATCAGTATTTTGTAGTGTCTGCCTACAAACCTTATACATATTTTTATTTATTTAATCTTAAGTATTTTGTTGTATTATAAGTGGTATTTTATTAAATCCTCAATTCCATTTGTTCATTTATGTTCTATAGGAAGGGAATTGATTTGTGTATAATGACCTTGTATCTTGCCACCTTGCTATGTTTATTTATTTGTTCTGGAAGTTTTTTGTAGATTTCTTGGGGTTTTTTACATCATGTCATCTCTGAATGCAGACATTTTAATATTTTTCCTTTCCATTCTGTAAATCTTTTTCAAAATTTTATTGCAATAGTTAGAACTTCTACTATGATGTTAATATTGATTTTTCTCCATAATTTCTCTATTTCTTTGGTTTATGATTTTATTTTTATTATTTTCTTCCTCTGCTTATTTGGTATTTATTTCTTTTTTCTTTTTTACTTTCTTAAGGTGCAGGTTTAGAACATGGATTTTAGATTTTTTTTTCTTTTTTTCTTTTTTTTAGACAGAGTCTCACTTTGTCACCAGGCTGGAGTGCAGTGGTGCAATCTCGGCTCACTACAACCTCTGCCTCCTGAGTTCAAGCGATTCTCCTGCCTCAGCCTCCTGAGTAGCTGGGACTACAGGCGCATGCCACCATGCCCAGCTAATTTTTGTATTTTTAGTAGAGACAGGGTTTCATCATGTTGGCCAGGATGGTCTCAATCTCTTGACCTTGTGATTTGGCCTGCCTCAGCCTCTCAAAGTGCTGGGATTACAGCTGTGAGCCACCGTGCCCGGCCTTGTTTTTTTCTTTTTCAATATAAAGATTTAATGCTGTAGATCGCTCTAGGTACTATGTTAGCTGCCATACACAAACATTGATATATTGTATTTTTCTTTTTCATTTAGTTCAAAATGTTTTCTAATGTTCCTGTAATTTTTTAACACATTGATTATTTTATAGCATGTTATAAAATTTCTAATATTTGATTATTGTTCACAGTATCTTTTAAAAATGGATTTCTGGTCTAATTTTGTTATGGCCAGAGAATTTTGATAATTTGAATCTTTAAAAATCTATTGAGATTTGCCTTATCACTCATTACATCTTGCTAAATGATTAATGTATACCCAAAAAGAATGCTTATTCCATTGGTGCAGCACAGTGATTAACAGTAAAGTTTCTGGAACTAAATGTTTGGCTTTGCGTCTCTCCCACTTTCTACTCTGTAGTCATGGAAAATTATTAAACACACTATGACTCATCTTTTCTATTTGTGAAGTGGGAATAAAATGAAGATGACTACCTCATATGTAGTAATAAGGACTGAATTTGTTAACTCATATAAACACTTTGATTTTTTTATAAAAAGTAACCTTTTCATATATATTAACTGTCCTTATTTATATTATAATTTTTATGATACTTGCCTTTGTCATCATCATCCATAGCAATAGCAGTTGTATCAAATAAACTTAAAAAACAGACTAAGGGGCAGTAGCCTGAAATGTGATAGAAAATCAGAAAAATATGTCATAAAAAAGGGAAAGGAGTGATTCAAGAAGGCAGTAGAAGATCATCCTAAAGTCATCTGCTTTCTCACCCTATAATTTTTCTCATTTACATAGAACTTCATGTACAATATATGCATTTACTTATTCTTCCCAGATTTATAATTTTGAGCCAGACTTTTCTGAACTACAGCTATTTCAAGTCACTGTTTACTCCACAGTATTACTTAGATTTCTCAAGGGTTTTTCAGGACTGATATGCCTGGGTTTAATTGATAAGTTTTTTCTCAAATATTGTTATATTCCAGAGTTTCTTACAGTATTGAGCTATTCATCTTCTTCTACAGGTCAATTCCTACTATTTAATATCTATCAGGAAGTCCCATTAATTTTTCCTTCTAAATATCGTTAAACGTGAAAATTACATTCTTTCCTTAATATCATCATTTTGGATCAATAAATCATATCTCATCTAGACTATAATGGCTTCTTTATCAATGTCATCCATTCTCAATGCCTTCACTTCCGTATCTACATTTTAGCCAAACTGGTCATGGTAAAATCCAAACCTGTTGGTCTTACCCCAACCCTCTCCTCTCCATTACTTATGTTTGGCTTTCAGTTCTTTGAAAGATCTTAGCCTATTTCGCCACCTGTATTTGTTATCAAGCATCCCCTTTTCCTTCACATTCCACTCACACAGGCATTCTGGCACTTACTCAAAAGTTTTCTACTCTTTTCTGCTAAGGTGTCCTTACACATATTTTTCTATGCCTAGACTCTACTTCCCTTCAAGTTAGTAAATTAGACTCATCGTATAGACCTCATTCCAAGTGGTGCTTTCTCAGAGAGTTACCTGAAACCTGTGACTAGATCTTATTTCTCAGTTTATGCTCCCAGTGCTTCTAGGAGCACATTCATAGACACATTGAAGTGTTTGGATTTTTTAAATTTTTATTTATTTATTTATTTATTTATTTATTTATTTATTTATTTACTTACTTACTTACTTACTGTTCTTTTTTTTTCTTTTTTTTTTTGAGACAGAGTCTCGCTCTGTCCCCCAGGCTGGAGTGCAGTGGCACGATCTCGGCTCACTGCAAGCTCCGCCTCCCGGGTTCACGCCACTCTCCTGCCTCAGCCTCCCGAGTAGCTGGGACTGCAGGCGCCCACCACCACGCCCGGCTAAGCTTTTGTATTTTAGTAGAGACGGGGTTTCACCGTGTTAGCCAGGATGGTCTGGATCTCCTGACCTCGTGATCCGCCCGCCTCAGCCTTCCGAAGTGCTGGGATTGCAGGCGTGAGCCACCACGCCTGGCTGGATTTTTTTTTTATTAATATCTGTCTCCCCACTATACTTTAAAATGGGCAGGGATAGTGTTCCTTATGGTTCACTACCTTATCACCAGTACCCTCAAGTACCTAGGCATCATAACTGTAAGGAAAAATAAGTAAAGGAGTAAAGTTCCATTTTAAAGTGGAATAACCTATCAAAGATAATGCAAAAGGAAAATTAGCAAAAATTTTAACACAAGAATATTAATGAGTGAGGTCCTTGTCATATAATTTTATCTTTGGATTGATATATTTTAGTGTGAATACAAATTACTTTTCTTTTGCTTAATGCCCCCCAAAGAGGAAGCCATTGTATTATGGTAAAAAGAGCCCTATACTCCCCCAAAAATAAGAAGACTGGGTTCTGCTCCTGACTTCTACCAAAGGAATCACATGTAAACTCACCCAAAACTACAAAGAAGTTTTTCTGTAATATAACTGTTGTCTCAAGACCACTTTCCCATTAACCTGTAACAAATTCCCTTCAATAATTAAGTGTATATTTGTAGTTTTTGTTACACTAGCAGCCAACCTAAAAACAATAATAAGTTTCATTAGGAGATAAAATCAGGGAACACCTGTAAAAAATAAGAAAGTAAGATTGGAGAAATTTGGGAGTCAGCAAAGATTGTACTGCACTATTTTTTCTCCCACAGAATGAGGGACCTGGGATATTTGTGCACCAGTTCCCTTTAGTCATTGGCTGAGGGTTACTCCTGGGCTGGATGTTAATTTTCAGCACTTTTGTCCTTCCCAGCATGTAGACATAATGGGTCTAATTGCAGGGAAACTGAGCCAGTTGGGAGATGGGTTAGTGTGTATAATTTGGTAAAGCCCAAATAGATATGGGAAGGAGATCATAATTGTCTTCTGTAGTTTATTCCTTGCACTGAACAGATTTGCTTATGCTGTATAAGAACATACTTATCACTGCCATACGACTCATTCAAAATGTTGCTTATCCTTTACGAGCATTTCCGTTCTCCTAAATTGATTGCTCGGCGGAGTAACCCGGATCTTAATTGCCAAAGGAGGCTGACCCTTTGTTATCATGCTCTTTTCAAGCATTGTTGCTTTAGTCACATTATAGTTATACTAACTGAGCATGGAAAAGGAGGACCATAGTGAACACCCTGTTTTCTACATATACACTTACTTGTCCCCAGGATGTAACAGAAACCACGTCTCATATAAGTGATTTTCCCTACAAGTATAGTATACCAGAATCATATGACTTTCTTTGCCTCGTAGTCTCCTGTGAAACAGTGCCTGTATCCCTTAATAGATGCATATGTACATATTTATATAAGGTCTCTATAAGGGACGCGTTGCATACCAGAAGTTGGCATTTGAATGAGGGGAATAGTTATCTGCAACAGAGGGCATGGCCTTGGACCAGCAACCTGGGGACACTATATTCTTAGAATTTTCCTTGGTAATTGCCAGAAATGTCATGTGGTACTCTGGTTTTACCACAGATACTCTTTGTTCTAAAACCTGAATTTGTTCTAAAAGCTGAATTGATGTCTTCAAACTCCTCAGAGTCCCGCTATTCACTATGCATCTTTCTTAGAGATGGGAGTTACCAGGAGTAATAACTGTCCTTTACCTTGGATGGGACATGCTAGAACATTGTGCTTCTACAGTATTCACTGATAAGCTAGTCCCCTGCATTTTTGTAGGATTTATTTTGTACCATATAGTGCTCATGTGTCTTATTTACCTGAGTTATTTCAATTTCCTGGTTTTGATATGTAAAGAAGATGATGTCATCAATGTGAGAGAACAATTTGAGGTTTGACCGAATATGCAGATGATCGGAAGTTTTTTTGGACTGTATTGTGACAAAGAGCAAGAATATAATTATAGTGATGATGCAAAATAATGAAAGTATATTGCTGTCCATTCCATAGGAATGCAATGTTCTACTTTTCTTTCACCACAGTGATGAAAAAATACATTCAAGGAATCAATAGTTGCATGTAAGTCCTAGAGATTTTGTCGATTTGTTCTAGTATCAAATTTACATCAACTGTGGCTGTGATGCCAGTATCAGCTATGATTGAAACTAACTGTTATGTTAAAAAGGGATTTCTGTCATTTGCTGAACCAGAGGTCATATTGGTGAATTAAATTGTGATATGAGACTACCACATCTAATTTCTTTAAATCTTTGAGAAAAACATTAATCACTGCCATTCAACTTGAAATATTATATTGCCTCTGACTTTTTATTTGAGCCAAGAATGTGAGTACAATTTTACAGGCTTCTACTTGGCCTTCCCTACAGTGAAGTGAAGCTCTTACATTATACAGAGCCAGTGGGAGGATCTGCCAGCTTTTAACTATAATTATTCTTATTACAAACCCATGACCAGAGAAATGACCACAGAATTGTGCTCACATCCATTAGACTTTCTATGAGGCAAACTTCGGGCAAGGTCCATTTATCACCTGCCCTCTGTGTTCCTTCTCTCTAATGGAGGGCCATCATCACTTTTCTTTTACCATTGGTAGTACTTAGGTTTCTGACTTATATCCAACAGCCTTTGGAAGATCTGTTGCAACATCAGGAGAGCGGATCATGATTTTCCACTATGGTGACTGACATCAGCCTTCTGCTCACCTGCTGTTGATCATTTCTGATGTTTAATCAAGTAACACTCTCCTTGACTACCCATCTCTCTCACCTCTAATAACAAAATGATTTACTAGCCCTCCCCACATATTCTTGTGTGTTACTGCCGCCTCCTGGCCATTCTATGCTTGCCGCTCATTGCCAGTGTTGCATTCACCCACTGCCATGATTATGCACTGCATCTGGCCTCTGCTATTCTTGAATCCTATAATCCCCATTGACTCGACAGCTAAAATTGTCATCTCTGCCTGAAATGACATCTTTTGACGTCCTGTATTTTCCTCCCCAAAACCCATCCTAAACACTTATTATTCTAGACCCATCTTAAATTCACTTCATGGTCATAAAGCTTTCTCAGATCCCTGGCCAAAATCAGTCTTTTCCTGTGGCTTCCTTATTTTTAGTTTGTACTAGATTATCACATCTTCTCAGCATCTGTATCAGATGTGATTGTGTTTTTCACCATAATGTAGCATCATTGAGTGTAGAAGCTCTGTACAGTTTATCATTGTTATCTCCTGAGACACGTTTCTTAACACACACACACCTTTATTTGGACTAGATGATATCATCTGAATAAAAGTAACGTACAATTCGAGAAAACATGAAGTGTATAGTTCAAAGATTCTGGATGATTATATATTTCAATACTTAATATTTAGTTAATTTTAAAATAGTGGAAATTGAGAAATAAGAACAATTCAAAGTTGTGATTCTCTATATCTATGTAAGGTAGATGCTAAGGTATATTCTATAAAAGTATATTTATTTATATGAGAATATTGTCCCTAAAGAGTGGCAGGTAAAAAGGAAGTTTATTCGTTTTAATGGAGCAATTTATATCTATTACACCAAAATCCTTCTGTATCTACTATATTACATTTTCAGTGACTGATTTAAATAAAGTAGCATTAATGAAGTACTTGCAATGATCCATTTACATATACCTTGAAATTAGTAGAGGAAGGAATGTAACAATGATGATTTCTTTATGTTAGCAATTCTGGGCTAGTTTACTTTATCTAAAGATCTCTAAGTCTTTACAAACATTAACATCTCCTTCTTATCCAGTGAGATAAGTATCATTATCCAAGTTTTATAGTGAAGTGATGGAGGCACAAAGAGATTAAATGATTTCCTCAAGGTTACTGTCAGTTGTGACAAAGAAAAAGAAAGTTAGATTTATGAATCTCAGTCTTAACCATCCTTGGGCTCTGTGTAGTTGTCACCCAAAAAATCCAGATAAAAAATTGAGAATACAGTAAACAAATAACACATAGGTAAAAAAACAAATATTTCAGTATTTGACATCATATTGATTAAATAGGTAGAAGCATTCAGCACAAATCTGGAAACCTAGTATATTGAAAAGGAGATGGTCCAGAGTTTTTAATTAAATGAGGATGGAAAGGATTGTTTTACCTTAGCTGCCAATCAATTTGTATACACTAAGCATATGACTGCTTTGAGAAAATTCTAAACTTATGTATCAAAGAAAATAGCTACATCATTTGAAATTTATTAACATGGCCTATGACAATTTATATATCTAAAATAAAACACTTTATATTACAACACAACAGAAAACTTTCATTGGGTAATATATTTTCTTTGTTCTTTGTTTTAACAATCCATTCTGTCAGATTATAAAGCTTAAAATCCCTTTTCTAAGTGACCTCTATGTAAAGCAAAAATTCTATTGTGAAAGCAAAACAAAATGTATATTTTATTCTGTGAAATCAGGTAAAAGAATAATCTTTCTGCATATTATCTAAGTAATCATAAATCTGCAATATAATTAGTATTTATTTATTGAATGGCTGCTTTTAAGAAATAAAATTGGTCCCAGGCAACTACTAAAAGTTCTGGGAATTATTTTTGTTTAAATAGGATACTTCTAAATCTCAGGTAGACAATTTGCTAATGACAAAAAAAAAAAAAGGAAGTTAAATCATTTGAAGTTTCTTCACTATGAGCCAATCTTCCATTTTCACAAACAAAAGATATCCGCAGGTCCCCTGATATCTGCAATAGGAGTTCTTCCATGTCCCCAGATTGGTTGTCTTAGTATAGCACTAATATACTAAGTCACCATGGCCCATGGATACCATATCCAATCTCTCTTATAGACTGCTGTTTTCCTTCAATTCTGTTTACCCATATCCCTTTATAATAAATAAAACATACCATAAACTGCACATATTTAAGGTGTATGTTTTGAAAAGTTTTGTCTCATATATGCCCTTTAAAACCATTACTACTGTTAAGATGATGAAACTGTCCATCATTTTCCAATTTGACCCTTTGTACTTCTATCTTCCCACTCCTTCCTACCCTTACTCTCCCATCCCCAAGCAACAAGGGATCTGCTTTCTATCACTACAGTCTAGTTGTCATTTTGTAGACCTTTGTATAAATAAAATCATTTAGCATATTCTTTTTCCTGACTTATTGTACTCTACATAATTATTTTACTATTTACCCATGTTATAGTGTATATAAATAGTTCATTCATTTTATTGCTTGGTAGTATTATACGGATATATCCCAATTTTTAAAAATGTAAATTTTTAATGAAGAGTGTGAACTCTTCATTGGTTTGTTTTCAATTTATGACTATTACAAATAAAGCAACTATGAACATTTGCATAAAAGTATTTCAGTGTACGTACACTTTCATTTCTCTTAGGTGAACATCTAGGAATGAAAACACATCTTATAGTAGGTGTGTGTTTGACTTTCTTTTGAGACAGCCATCTCAGTCTCTCATCCAGGCTGGAGTGCAGTGGCACAATCTCGACTCACTGCAACCTCTGCCTCCCGGGCTCAAGCAATTCTTGTGCCTCAGCCTCCCGAATAGCTGGGACTACAGCTAGGATTACAGGCGTGCACCCCAGAGCCCAGCTAATTTTTGTATTTTTAGTAGAGACGGGGTTTCGCCATGTTCCTCAGGCTGGTCTCAAACACCTGGCCTCAAGTAATCCACCCACCTCCGCCTCCCAAAGTGCTGAGATTACAGGTGTAAGCCACCACACCCAGCCTTCACGTTTTTTTCGTTTGTTTGTTTTTTTGAGACGGAGTCTTGCTCTATCGCCCAGGCTGGAGTGCAGTGGCGCGATCGTGGCTCACTGCAACCTCCGCCTTCCGGGTTCACGCCGTTCTCCTGCCTCAGCCTCCCGAGTAGCTGGGACTACAGGCGCCCACCACCACGCCCGGTTAATTTTTTGTATTTTTAGTAGAGACAGGGTTTCACCGTGTTAGCCAGGATGGTCTCAATCTCCTGACTTCGTGATCCGCCCGCCTCGACCTCCCAAAGTGCTGGGATTACAGGCTTGAGCCACCGCGCCCGGCCTCACGTTTTAATAGACTACTAAATTTTCCAAAGTGGTGGTACAAGTTTACATTTCCGTAAACTACATAGAAGAGTTCTGGTTTTTCTACATCTTTACCGCTTCTTGGTATGGTAAAATCTTTTTAATTTTAGACATTATAATAAATATGTAGTGATAATTAGTTGGGGTTTTAATTTGTATTCTCCTAGTGACTAATGATGTTTACCATCTTTTCATGCGCTTTTTGCCATCCATATGTCTTCTTTGGTAAAATGTCTGGTCAAATATTTTCTTCATTTTTGATTTTTTAAATGAAGATTCATACTGAACAAATATAAAACATCACAACTTTAATCTGCTTGAATAGAGAGCGTGAATCAGATCTTTAAAACATGATATGCTTATACTATCTAATCAGTTTATAATCATGGAAAAAACAGATTGGTAATAGTATAAACGAATAAATGATTTTACATTTTTATGGAAACCAGTGCATTAGCTAGTTAACTTAATCTTGTAGACAGATATACTAAGATTTCTACCTTGTTTGTTCCTTCAATGCAGTGACCAGCAATCCTGTATACTTATTTTACTAGTAACTAACAGAAGAGCTAGCACAATTTTTTAGATAAGCAAGTAGCTTCCTTTTATGTAATTAATAAGGTAATTGACTAAATAATTTTTAAAATTTATTTTTGAATCAACTACTATTGACAAAATATTGCTTCTGCTTTGATAAAGTGTAGAAATAAGAACATATTATATGGATACTGACCCAACTCATAAAAGCTAGGTTACCAAAATACTTAGGCATTAAAACTCTTTTCTACTAACTTTTTCATAATGTTTATAAAATGTCATGTTTGTGCCAATTCATGTCAAAAGTTCAGTGCATTATTTTTTGATAGACATTTTGTGTGTATTTTCTATTTCAGGGATGTGCATGTCACAAATGTCAAGGATTTTAAAATGTAGGCGAATTTCTTTCTTTGAACACATTTTAAATTCAGACTGTCTTTCTTATTGCATGATTTTTTTCTGAAAATTTCTACTAAATTGACGAAATTAAATTGATTTGTATTTATTTACAGTGTATAAATTCTACAATTTTAATAGAAATAGTAATACATAGATGCATAGCAATTAATATCTGCGTTTCAGAGTGCTAGTGTTGTGTAATTTGTACTGATCCAAAAAATATCACAACACAGGGAAAAAGCAATGTTTCATATATCAGATACCTAAACACATAATATGTACAATTCTATATGCACAATACTAGTTTTAAGACATGTGAATAATTACATGCAGACCAAACTTCCAAGTTTGACAAGCCAAGTATGGTTTTAAAATGCAAGAATCTGAGTATGTATGTGTTTCTCTGTGTACACATGCTCATGATGGATACAAACAGACATATGGGAAAAATATTCTTACCCACTCCCTGCAACTCCTCTCTTTTTACTTTTTTCTTAAGAGATGAAACGTAGTACAGCTGAAATTCAAAATTTCCAGCAAGTTTGTTTTGTGAATCAATAATTCCTCCCATTTAAATTTTTGACTTTTTTTTTTCCATCAAATTGCTCTTGCAGGAGGAGAGGGCATAACTACGCAACAATCTTCAGAAAAACTTGGCATTGAATAAATCTTTATACTATAATCCCATTGATGACCAGTGTTGATTCTGATGGTTTGGTTGAGTAAATGGGGGCCCTCTTCATCCCTTGATTAAAGGAAACATAGATTGATGACTTCCTCTCTTTGGTGGTCCTACTGAACTCTTGTTCAAACTCAAGGTGAGGTACAGATTTTATCTATTTTCTTAAAGCTTCCCTAGTTGCTTTAAGAATATGCTCTCTCTTAATACAAACTGCAATATTATCTTTATAATTATTACTAGTAACTACATCGTTAATCTAACTTTGCAGAAATGAAAAGTAAAAACAAAGCTTTTTCTCTTAGGGAGATGGAAAGTTCAGTCTAGTAGAAAGAAAAAAGTTCAAGAGTCTACCAGACAGAAAAAAAATCACTAAACAGCAACATAATAAGCACTGGGAGATTTAGAACTTGAATGCAAATTTTGAGATTGGGATCAGGAAAGCTGAAACTGAAGTAGGAAACAGATAACATACCATAAAAAAACATCTTATCCAGGGCAACCATATAGTTTATTTGACCCGATGTATTCCTGTTGGTAGTGACAAAACTATCAATTGCATCCCCTTTCACTCATAAAAGTGCCTAATTTGTGCAATAAATTATAAAGTCACTGTTATTTAAGACTATCTTCTGATTTCTCTCTTTTTCCGGCAAGTAGTAAGGAGCATTTGAAATATGTTTAAAAGATACTGATAAGGTCAAATAACCACTTAGAAAAGCTAACCTGGCAATTGTTTGGAATATGACTTTCAAAGAGGTAAGACTGAGGTCAAGAAAACTAGTAAGGAGGGGCTAGGCATGGTGGCTTACGCCTCTAAATCCAGCACTTTGGGAGGACAAGGTGGGTGGATCACCTGAGGTCGGGAGTTCGATATCAGCCTGGCCAACACTGTGAAACCTCATCTCTACTAAAAATATACACACACACGCACTAAGCCAGGCATAGTGGTGCACACTTGTAATCCCAGCTACTAAGGAGGCTGAGGCAGGTGAATTGCTTGAGCCCTGGAAGTGCAGTGAGCTGAGATCGCGCCATTGCACTCCAGCTTGGGTGACAGAGCAAGGCTGTCTCAAAAAAAAAAAAAAAAGTATTTAGGAATTAAGTAACCATAGATTGAAAATGATGGAGAAAAAGAGGGAAGAAACAACTAGACACTAACTAAATGTTAAGCAGAAGAATAAACATGAGTATCTGAAAGTTTAGAAACAGAGAAAACTATAGGATATGTTCTCTAATGATGGAATGGCATAAATTAGATAAAGCATGAAATGTGTGTGGAACTTATTGTAATACACCTCTAGTAGAGTATTTTGGATATAAGTACACGATGACTTTAATGTTAGCATTAGGAAGCTTTAGCCTAGAGAGCAGAAGAAAGGCCTCGGATAATCAGGAGATTGCCTGGACAGGACACCTCGTGGGGCACTGGGGGCAGACTGCCAGGTTCTGCAATCCAGGTATGAGCTGCCCAGTGAGTCAGGTTTCAGAGCCAGTTAAGTCAGAGCTGGAGCCTGGTAAACAATTCATTGTTGGGGCTAAAGTTTGAGAACAAGTTTAATATGCTGAGGGTACAATAGGTAACTGGGTTGAAGCTCAGGTCAGAGCAAAATCAAGGATTCCTCACTGGGGCAGGAAACCAAGGCTTGCAAAACTGAAAAGAAGAGATGCTTATTTATGGATAAAGCTGACAAATGGGTGGTTGAAAAACTGCTTCCTGACCAGAGAAGCTGAAAAAAAATGGCAAGGCAGAAGCAGGCAGAGGTCAGATAAAAACAGAAGAATGTTTACTCAGTGAAGTTAAATTTCACCCCTCAAAAAGTAAGCTGTTGAATGCTACTGATTAACACTATTTTGGGTTACACAACCAACTGTATCCAAACTCAGTCTATTCAAGGGGAGTGGGCTTTACCAGGACCATGATAATTTCATTTTTTTTACCTGCAAAACGTATAATTGAAAAACATGATGACAAAAATGAGATTATAAAATGTGTTGGCAGATATATGATAAAGTCTATGTGCTTTCATAGAATGTCAGAATAGTCTAACTCTTATTGCAATTAGTTTTTATTTTACATAGGTAGGTGCAAAAAGTTAAACAGCTCTACTTGTCATACAATGTTACTATTTAGTGAAATAATTTATAACTTACTAAACATTTCTCTTCTGAAAGAATATTGTATCTTGTAACCATCCTTATTGATTTTTTTTCTTTAACAGCTCTTATATTTTTCAAAAATTTAATATTTTGTTCCCCCCCTTAAAATTTTATCTTTAAAATGGTGTGTTCTATTGAGTTACAGTCACAGTTAATCAAAAAGAAGAAAATTGGGTGCTAAAAGTTATCAAGACACTAAGGTTTGGGAAATTAATAAATAGCAACATGGAATTTAAAGTTAAAAATGATTTTCAGTGTTATCTTTCTGAATCAAGCTAATTTGTCTAATTTTAGATATTTCCTTAAAACTAGGAAGTCCCATCATTATTTTTTAACTTATTTATGTACTTAAATATTTGCTGCATATTTAATGTCGTACCTAAATGTATACCATCAAAATAGAGGCTGCCATCTTATTAAACTATACTATGAGAAAACAAACAAAACAAAATGAAATATCACCCTCTGTACCACATTTGATGTAATCTGGAGATCATCTGTTTTAGAAATAACTATCTGCAGATTATGGTTCGGGAAGATTACACATAAGGAATTGATATTTGAAAGAAAAATAAAGACAATAAATATGAATATAATTTGTAAAGAGTTAATACAATTAGTATTTGCAAAAAAGCAAATAAAGTTACTATATAATTCTGAGTTTTCATAAGTGACATAATTAACATGTCATTAAAGCTCATTGTTGGCTTCCATAGAAAATTATCTTGACATTGCATCTGTCCAGGCTAAATACAATTCATTTTACTATTTCCCATAACTTAGCTCTTACGGTTTTATGAAAGCATATGTAGTAGTTTCACCTCTGGCTCTACCCTGTGTTATATACATCACAAACTCATTTAAATGGTGATATTAATGATTTGGGAAATCACTACAAATGGTTGGCAGCATCGTTGTCGTTAATGTCTCAAGGGAGCGATACAAGGGAGTTTTATCAGCTTGAGGCTGAGGTATTTGATGAAGTAATAACAAACTAGCTCTGAATTGTCTTTCATTACCCTTTATCTCTCCTAGAGAGAATATAATCTTATTCAAATTATAATAGCCTCTGTTATCAATGAGCTTTACTATTTATTTACCTGCATCCAGACATGCAAATGCACACGCATTCTGCTTTTTCAACCTACCTTTAATGAAATTTCTTCACTATCAGAATCATGCACAATCACAAATTATAAACTAGTTACTAGTATAATTTGCTAAGCATTAAAAAAACTCTATTCATGCATTTAATATACTACCTTGATTAAAGGAGCAAAATCCTACCATTAGCGTTGAAATACAGTATATGCTAAACAACTTTTAAAATAGGATCACTACTTCAATTAGGAAGTAGTTGTGGCATATTTTGTTATTGTTTTGTCTTGTTTTTTTCCTCCAGCAAAATACTAAGTTAAATTGCATTGAGACTAACATAGGTTAGATGAAGAATTGTTAAATGAGATGGTACTTCTGCTCAAAGAGAGCACTTGATGTCTAGATATCTTTTTTTGCTTATTTATCTTTTTCATAACAATATTCTTTATATTTGCATAAGTTGGGTAATTTCAAAGAGCTTCCATACTCTTTAATAATTTTATCCTTTTATCCAATGTGTAAAGTAGGATAAACAAGTATAATTATGAAGACCCAATGAATGGAAGAACTAAAAGTTGAAGAAGTGTTTTAATGTTGTGTAAAGAACATCAACAGTAGAGTCTCTGTCCCCAAGGCAGTCTTCTTTCCTCTTTGAAAAGTCTGCTTTAGACATTGAGTATAACTGTCTTTCTTGTCTCTTTTAACATATGTTGACTAACAATGAAAAAAAAAAGATTCTTATAATGAAGTTAATGGTGGTTTGGAAACTAAGTCTTTTTTTTTCCAGTGGCTCATTTATACAACAAATATTTATTGACTATTTGCTTTGTGGCAGGTACTGTTCTAGATACAGGGGATAAGGCAGTGGATGTATACACCAGAAACTCTACCTTTATTCAGTTATAAAGGAGGTTATAAATGGGTAAGTACTATGGAAAAAATAACATATAAAATCATATAGGGTAGATGGGGACTGACAAGTGTGGTTTTTAATATCAAAAAGTATTTTGAGGTAGGCCTCAATGAAATAGTAATAGACTAGAAGGAGATGAGGCAGTAAATCACCTTATAGAAAAAAAATCAGATATTCATACGAATTACTTCCAATAATTTGTCATTTTCTACTTTGCAAAATATTCCTGATATAGCATTAGATTTTATTCTCCAAATAACCTTATGAAATAGACAGAATAATTGTGACTATTTCCGTCTTATAGATGAGAAAACACATTTGAAGATGCTGAGTGTTATAAACAGCACCAGTATTAATTTTTCCCTTCCAGGCAATAACTTAACTGGTTTAATATTCTGCAGGCCAATGTACTAGCTTCATTTAAGATTCTTTCAAATTAATGAGACTTCCTAAAATTAAGATGTTAATATTATACTAGTCGATGACATCCACAAAGGTAGGATCATGTCTGTTTTATTCACTAATGATTTTTTTTTATTAAGCTCACTAATGTCCAGCCATGCTAACCATTTTTCTGGTTCTCAAATGCACTCATTTCTTTTACTCTCTTCTGCTTTCTCTGACTGGTAAATACTTCAATACTTACTTGCACACTCTCTTTTTACATATTTGTATTCTCACAGCAGAACTTTATTTATAATTGCTGTTTACTCAGTTTCTCATATAGTAGGCATGCTATCATATGAGGCTCAATTCTCTTATCACGTATTGTTTATGTACTGTCTACCTTCTTCTCACTAGAGTAGGAGCTTCCTGAGAGCAGGAACACTGTCATTATCATCACAGTGGTGTTTTCAACTCTCAGAACTATCCAAAGCACGCTGTAAGCCCATGTATTGGTTGAGCTAATGAATGAATTATAGCTATCAACTCATCTTATGACTCCAAAATATGTTCTAAGCATTAATAATGACAGAAAGCATTTAGAATTAACACAAGTAACATTTGTTATATCAGGTACTTTAATTAGCATTACATTGTGTAAATAACATTACTGTTACCATTTTTCAGATCGGAAAAGTGAGGCACAGAGAGAGTGCCTCTACAGTCAGTAACTTGCAGTACCGATATTTGAGTACATGATCTTAACCATTTCACTCTATAAATTTCCTCCTTTATACATTATCTAAAAATATTATGAATATTTTCTTTCAGATTTTTCAACACATTGCACAAGTCTAGGGAGTATCATTTGTATAAATATTACATGAATATTGATAAGGTGAATAAATGCCCTTGGGTCAGGCAACATGAAGGTCATCGTTTTAGTCAGAATATCTTGAACAACTTATTGGTTTCCTCTAATTTTACTCTCTTCTGCCCTTTCTGACTAGTGAGTAGTTAAATATGTGCCCAAATACTCTTTCCCATCAAAATCATAACACAAACATTGGTAATTGCTGCTAAGAAAACTAAAAAGTTTTCTAAGGTGTACATCTGTCTATGTTTTAAACTTAATAATTAGCAACTTTAATTTCAAAAGCATAAATATTCATTATCACAGATACTGGATGTGGGAGTGGGGAGGAGGACTTATGTAAGACTTTTCTCATACTATAAAAGATGAGCTCTTTCTCATTTGCCAGAATTTGGATAGAAGAAAGCATGTCATTGTCATGTAAGCTTCATGAGGATATATGCAATGGCATGCAACTCTGGGTCCTGCACCCTTATCCAGCGTTTGGGAAGCAGTGGAAGTGAGCAGTGCTTCTTAAGTCATCTATATCAGAGCTATTCAAAGTGGATTCTGCAGAGTATATAAGCAGGATGTTAAGAAGCATTATATAAAACAAAATTTCCATGCCAGACAAATTTAGAAAATGCACAAATACAGTTAATAAAGTATTATTTCTGAAAAATTCCTCAGATCTTGTAACATAACAACATGAGATGTAAGTACTCAAGAGGGGGTTATAGGTTGCAATGTTGCCCAAGTTAAACTGAAGTTAATATTGTCATTGATCATAAAAAAGGCATTATATGCCTTGGAGTTTATTTGGAATTGCTAATTATTCTGATTAGTAATGATTGGAAAATCATTTGCTTGTCTCATTCATTGGATATAAAAAGTGTACCTAGTATGGTTTTGATGGATAGAAGATAAATGGAGAGAACTGACCTGAAAGGATTTTGATACAAGGTTGTTGACTGTTCCTAAGGTAAGATTCTCTATATTCAAATACAAGTGATATTAAATTGATATCATCTTAGAAAAAATGCCAAATGGATTAAGCTGTAGTTGAGGATTTTAAGACTGTTTCTAAAAACGTATTTAAAAGGTCTTAATTGTACCTAGATACAAGTATTTATTTTACTAAATTTAAAAGATTTATAAAAAATCAGTATCAACTATAAAAAAGAATATGTATTCTTATAGACTCTATTTTCAGCTAAATGAAAAATTTAGTTTGTTTAGACTTGCATCATTCTAAGGACAAATACCATGTCTCAAATTTACATGTTGGTTCCTAGAAAGAAGTAGCATCAGAAATCCCAATCTTGCATAGTCAGCCTACAAAGTAGTAGAAAATGTCAGGATAAAATTTACTAGGTAAGTCTCTTCTTGGATCCCAGGTATGTGACAAAAAAAAGTCTGAACACAGAAGTATAAAATCAATTTTATAGAATTTTTAAGCCTTGGAAATGATGGGGATGATGCCAAATAAATGAAAGATCAAATGCCAAATGAATAAAAGATCAAATAAATGAAAGATCAATTCAGAATACTGTTACCTCCCACATTCTACCTGGCCTATAAGCAGGCCCATAGGCTTCCTTTAACAAATGCCCAGATCAAATGTCTTAAGGGACTTCTTTTCTTAGAATAGTAGGTGTGACCTCAAAAGTAATTAAACATAAATGATCCTTCCAGGAAGAATATTAAAGGGATTTAAGGTAGAAAGAAAAACATCGTGAAAGAAAGGGGAAACCACAGAGCTTGACCAAGTAGTTAATATAAATGTAGTGTTTGAGGATAATGTTTGGAGCATCTAAATAAAAATAACTTTCTTATTTAGGAATTTGAAAAATAAATCTCATTGAAGTACAACACAAACAAATAAAAAATGTATAAATCATTAATGCACAGTGAAATAAATCATCATTAAAAAGAACAAAGCCATTTAGCAAAAAACAGGTAAAGATTAAAACATTACTGATGCCACGGAAGCCCTCTTAAGCCCCTGCTAAATATGACCAGCCACCTTCATTTCAAAGGAAACATTGTAGATTTGTTTTGAAATTTACATAAATAAAATTATATACTATGCTTCTCTGTTTTCACTCAACATTATGAGATTCACCCACATTAGGCTATCAGGCAATTATTTTATTGATTGAAATTTTTTAAAAATAATTACAACCAGTTATGGCAAATCACAGAAAATAATTCTATAGGTTTCCACAAATTTAAGTCATGTTTATATTTGAGTAAATCAATGACTGTTATAATTTCAAATCTGGCTCTACTGAGTAACAACTAAATAAATGCAAATATTTGGCCTTCTAACTTAAACTGGACATAGAATAGAAATAAAATACTTGTGCCATAAGGTTATTGTGAAAATCCAATGATTACGAATGCTTTATACAAAATTATAATAAAAATTAAATGCAATACCATATGAACACAGAAATTTTCACTTGTACGTAGGAAGTATGACTATAATGTAGAGAATAGGGTTTTTATGCGTGGTCTCCAGAATCCCGTTTGGTTCTCAGTCTTCTTCTGACCATGAGACCTTTTGAGTGTCTAGAGATCACCTACATTAGGATATTACCTACTCACTTGAAAATTTTTCATATTTACATATGCAACATATTGCCTTTAATTTCAGATTGTCAGAGACCACCTGAGGGAATTCCCAAATCTGTGATCCTAAGATTTAAAAAACAATAACTTTAGACTAATGCTTTGCAGATTTATCTTAACAAAACAAAAAAGTACTGATTAGAAAAATACTCATTCTTTTGTGGAGAGAAATATTACAGGGTCTTTTTTTACTTTCAAAAACAGGTGATAAGTAGGCAGAGAGTTTGCTTTCCTAGATAACTGAAATTAGACTGCAGAGACCAAACAATGCTTGCCTTTGAGTAGATTCAGATTTACCTCCTAAATCCTTTCAAATTCCTTACTCTGTTCTAGTCCCCAGATGCAGCATTTTTCTTGGGATGAAGTAATCTATGTATCCTCTCTGTCTCTCTCTCTCTCTCTCTTTCTCTCACTCTCTATCAATTTTAACTGATACTCTATTCTGACATGTAATTTGTGCAAAAGACTTCAGAAGTTCTTTTCAGATTTTTTCTCATTTTATCACTTAACCTTTTTGTTGTGAAAGTGCCAATACCAACTGGGGTTTGTTTGCAGCTAACAGAACCTGCTCTATTGGATGCAGAAAGTTATTTGATAGAAGAAACGAAGTGCTAACAAGATCATTGGAAGTTCCGGAAAAGGAGACTGTTGATTGGGCCTACTTGAATAATTTCAAAATCACATCACAGAATTGACCACTACTCTGCCTCTGACAAAATCAGGAAACTAAAGCAGGATGCTGCTCTCCCACATTCTGACTTTATGATCACGCAAACTCAGCTGGAATCTGGAGATCAGAAAACCACCACTACTGTTGCCAGTATGGAGAAGACACTGTGGGCTGTGATCCAAAAATAAAGACGCTCCACCAGGATAAATAGTTCCACAGCTACACTTCACTAGCCAAACTGACGTTAGGCACCATTCTCTACTTAGGTTAGTTCTGAATTCAAATCTTATATGAGTATACCTGATTAATAGGACCAAAACACATCCAGAACTCTTGCTGCAAGGTAGTCCTGGAAATGCAGTCTGTAGCTTTTTATCTGTATAGTACATAAGGCAGAACACTAGGAAGTGGAACAGATGCTGAGCAAGATAATCTACCTAATATGCCAAAGGCATCTAGCAGTAGTCAATCATGGCTTTGTGATTATTGAGATGTGATTATCACAGGAACATCAATACATCTCCAAATTAAAAAGAAAATAAGGTTATACTATATTTAAGCATCAGCACTATTATACAACAGCAAATGAAGAAAGGATATAGAACTGGAGTTACGCTTATTGACCCTTATACAGTGAATAATATAGATTGTTTGCAAAATCTTGCTGTACTGAAATTATTTTTACATTAAATATTTTTTGAAATAAGGAAGCTCGAAATCAGCTGGTGGTTATCTTTTGCTTTGTTTTAAAAAATGTGTATGTGTGCATTCTGATAGCAGATAATACACTTTCTTAGCATTTTTTGTAACAGAATTTGATCTGCAACATTCCAGATGTCTAGAAAGACAATAAGAAAACAGCAAAAACATTCTTTATCTATTAATTCTTATTTAATTATTATTTCTTATTTAATTAAACTTTTCTCTTACACAGTTAAGAAGAGTATTATTGTATTGGAAATGCTACATACTTTTTAAACCTTTGTCTCTATAATACTCTATAATAGTGGTATCACAAATGCATTCTCTGGAAGCAGATGTTCTCTTTTTAACATACAAGATATCAGGTTTTTTTTTTTAATTTCTTTAACTTTCAGATGGCTGTCAGGTTACTCTGAAGTCTAAAGAAACTACACTCAAATTAGTTTTTTAAAATTAATTTATGCCTAATAAAAATAATTCCAGTTATAATCAGTAACTAGAAAACTTTCTGTAATCTAACGTGGCACAACCTAGGGAAAAATAAGTTAGCTATTGTCAAATGTAAGATGTCAGATGTATCCTTATCTCTTTCCTACATGAAGACTGAAAGAAAACCTGGTATTCTAATAGAGAAAATGTTTAGAACATTTCCATAGCAAATTGACCTTTATCCATCAAGCTTTGTTACAAGGTGACAATAATTTGATATACCACCTCATTTAACATTGAATTTCACCCAACATAACTTGAAAAAGATAACATTTTAAACAACTTAAAACTACACATTTATAGACATTGTTAAAGCAAGATTATAACAAAACCACAAACATTAAAAATATCTAAGGCGTAATGGAAGCTAAATGTATCCAAATCCTCAACTGTCAAAAATATCTCTGCTTCTCTCACAATTGCAGAAAATTGAGCATGTCTTCTCACCTCTGCTCCTGTCTGCTCTGACTTTCAATGTTGACCCCATTTCTATCAGGGGATCACTCACAATGGAAGACTCTGGCCAGTGGCTTGCAGGTTACTACTCCTGATCCCACCTCTAGTGATTTCCTCCCTGCCCATTTCTGGTGGGTCTCACTCACACAGAGAATCACTGGTCTTAGTGTGGGCGTGTGCAAGTACATGTGTGTGCAGATGTTTACATGCGTGTGTTGGGGAGGAGGTGTCAGAAAACAATGGAAATAACAAGAACTCTTTTTTTCCCCCACTGTTGTCATCATGTTTTTCAATTTCTCCCTGCTATTATCAGAAAATACCAGCAACTCTGGCTAGGGAGTAAGAATATATGCCTGGATTGGAATTTAAGCTCCAGCATTTGCTAACTCTTTCTGCTGCACTAATCACAACATTCTGGAGCATCATAAAAGCTAGTTAGCCTTAAATAGGGTAAATGACTCCTACCCTCAAAGCTATTGTAAGAATTTCATAATTATTAATAACATATGTAAAAATGGCAAACCTCAAGGACCACAGAAAGTAGACTCAATAACATGTTAGTTCCCTTTCTCCAGCTATCACAGAACTGTATTTGCTCTCCCCCTAGTGGCCGACCTCCATATTCCTCATTTTTTGCATAAATTACCCATTTCAAACACTGTTTTTACTTGCAATCCATCCCAAAAGGTCAAAAGACAAGACAATCTTGTGTAGAAATTAAATATTGTGGAAACCGAATGCAAACCTGATAGTAATAAAAAGAATACAAACGCTATATGAAATATTTGCTTTAGTGGGAAAAAAATATAAAAATGAGAAAATAAACAGCATCATTACAGAGACGGAAGAGCACGTGCTGCTTGCCCAGCCTGGATATAATTTTTGGTTCTGATTGTCACAATTACAAGTTAAGTTAGCATTATGTTTTTCATGCTTAATTTACTTCTGAGATGTTTAAAAGGACTAGCTCTTCGTGTGTTTGTTTTGCTTAGACACATCTGTTGACACTGCCTTCATCTTATAGTCAAACTGCAGGAGTTGGCGATGATTACAGATTCAATCCTCTGATTAGAAACAAGACTGATTTTTATGAAACATTTGTTTCTGTATTTTAAAAAAAAGCTTCTTTAATTTCAAACATTGCAAACCACTTTGTTTATTAGAGCTAGATTTATTTCTTAAGGGTGTACTTTTTTGGTCGGTTTTTGAGGGTTAGACAGAAAGTGGCTCCATTTCAATTACTGCATGTATGATTAGCAGTGTTATCTAGTTATTCCTCTAAGCTTTTTATTTTTATTTTTCCCTGTCTTTGACGAACACACCAAAAACAAAAGTTGAAAAATGTTCGAGTGGGTACAAATGGGTTAAAATTTCCATTTACTTGCGACTTAAAAATTGGGTTCAATTGAGGAGACTAAATCTTTTACCAGAATATGTTTTTGAGAGATACAAGAGACAACTGTAGCACATTTCTTATCTGTATTCAAATATCTCTTGAACACTCTGAAATATTCCTATTGATTCATTGAACTAATGTTTGTTAAATAAAAGTTTCTTGAAAAAAATCTAGGGGAGTAATTAATCTTAAACTTATAAAACTAGCTATTTGGTGGTGACATTTTCTCCATTTTCTTCCTTTTAAACTTGGCTTATCTTCATTTGTTGTCTATTGCAGATAAGAAACATTCAGGTCAGCAACATCAATAGGTTTTATTACAGAAAAACAGATGTTATCATCACCTACTCTGTCGGTTTAATTAGAAATATTGAAATGTTCTATATCCCCGTTAAGCCTAAAACTGTGGGAAATGGCTTGTTTTCCAAGTTCTTTGAATTCTTAAAGAGCTCCTGCTTCAAAAACTATATTATTTTCTTACATTTTAATGGAAACAGAGAAGAAAAATTTTGGTATTTTTCTAAGCAAATAATCTACAATGTTTTAATAAGATATGACCACATTTGACATTGATTTTAATCCCATAGATCATGGTACTATATTAGAGGCAAAAGCCCCATTTTTTGCCAAAAAAATAGGACAATGGGTCCTCAATATGTTACAATATCAAGTGGACTGCAAAATAACAGGTGGTTAAATACCAAACAGTTTTGTTTTTTATTAAATAACACTTTAGATTAATGATGTCCTTTACATAGTCCTTTGGGAAGCCAGGCTAACACCTTTTTATCTTCAACATGCAACTTCCATGGTTCCCAAACATCACTCATTCCAATCAATCAGAGAAACGAAAATGGCCTGCAAGTGTTATAGCATTTCCGCTAGAACTGAGCCAAAATTCAGTCCCATGACCACAGGCAGGGTAGAAATAGGACCATGGAGGAAAAAAAATATGGTGACAGCTAACATTCTCTGCCTTAGTTTGCCTACTGGTAATCAAATATCCATTTGCACATTTCTTGCTATGCGTAGAATATGCTGACACTCTTTTGTAAGGAGAAAACCTGAAGTCCTATCCAGCTTAAAGTCCAGAATCACTTGGTTTTGTGTAGATTTCTCCATGATGTTCAGAAGCAAGTCCAATGGCAAACACATTAAAAAGACAAATTGTCTCTCCTTCTCCAATCTCCAACATACAAAAACCAGGCCTTCTTCCCTTAGATTGGAGAAAGTTGTTTTATTAGACCTGAGTCTGATCTCTGGTAAACATTTCCAGAGCCCCCTGCTCCTCCAGCTAATGGATTCTCTGTTGTCTTTTTCTTCTCAGCCACATCTGAAGGGTGTGTTGAAGAGTATGCTAGCTTTTGTGGTTGCTCAGACTTTTCAGCCTGATTCTCATTTATGTAAGTTTGGAGCTTGAATTAGTTTTTAGGCTTAAACAATTTGAAGCTATTTTAGAGCACAACAGCGGTTTCTTTGGCTTAACTAGTGGTTATCTCTAATATTGATCATACTTTTTATCTATTTGTGTCTGTCTCTCTTATGTCCACAAATCACAAAAAGAGAAATTCTTACCAGTTTCTAACTCTGCTCATTTTCTGCCCTCTATTTAATATACAATATACCTATTGTTCAAATTAAAGGCACCTACCCACTGACAGTAAGGTCAGCTAAAGAATAGGATTGGTGAGAAAGACAACAGCACACTCTTCTGTTCACTACTTGTTAAATATATTTGAAATATTTCATTATTGAATTTCTTTTTCTCAGTTATATTTCAAATTAGTGAAGTTGTTAAACAGAAAAAAAAGAGTTGATTTAAGTGTTGCATAAAAGCATAGTTGAAATAGCCAGAGAATCATGTATTCGTATATATAGAATAACTATTTTATTCCATTATATAAGTGTGTATACACAACAATTTTAGGACATGTCATTACTATTCTCCCTGATTAGAGTTGAATATTGCTTTCTGAGTTATAAACATTATTATTAGATGGCATGTGAGGGCAAGAATGTTTGCTGAAATGTGATCAGGGATTTAGATGGCTGAACCTTACCCAGAAACCAGAACAGTACAGCAGAATAATAAAGGAATGTATATCCTTCTTGTTGAGAGCAAACCATATTAGTCAAAGATTACACATTCACGTTTGTGGCTACCGTATTTACTTTTGCTAGATAGATGGATAGATACATTCTTTTTCTTTTCTTTTCTTTTCTTTTGAGATGAAGTCTCACTCTGTTGCCCAGGCTGGTGTGCAATGGTGCGATCTCGGCTCACTGCAACCTCCACCTCCTGGGTTCAAGCAATTCTCCTGCCTCAGCCTCCCAAGTAGCTGGGATTACAGGTGCCCACCACCATGCCCAGCTAGTTTTTTGTATTTTTAGTAGACATGGGGTTTCACTATGTTGGCCAGGCTGGTCGTGAGATAGATGCATTCTTAGTGGTGGAGTATTTTAATATTATACATTTTGATGATAGTAACACTAAAGATTACTCTCCTAGAGGAGCGTGATTGGAGAAAAAAAAGGTCAGAAAACCAAAGATTTGACTATGTCTTGACTCTAACCTCACTTTAATTAAGGTGCTTCATCTCTGGTGTTCAGTTTCCCCCTCCAACAATGAGAATTAGTGATATGTTTTCTTAGGCTGAAAGTCTCCTCTCATCAGAGACTGGACAAGCTAGTTGGTTTACTTAGAAGTTGACAATAGTGGGTTGAGAGTTCCAAAGAATTAGATTAAGAGAAATGTATTATGGAAAAAGTTAAATGAGATCTTGAAATCAGATGCTGAAGCATCAAGACGTGAAGTCAAATTTGAGATAATCATAAATAAACAGTATTCAATAAATAAACAGAATAAATAAACAGTATTCTCATCTGAATGAGAAGAGCAACAGTTGGGAAATGAATAGGATTGAATGAAGGAAAAGAGAAGACAATTCAATCGTGAGAATAATTAATAAATTTCTGGAAAACCAGTGGGCATAAGTATACTAGTGTCCCCTAGTGTGAGTCTATATCCAGGATGGAGGAGACTAGTGCATTCCATCTCAAATATTCTCTAATTCAGTGGTGTTGTCTTAAATTGGAAAACAAATAATTTAATAGAATGAGGTTCCTGAAACTACAAGAGTAATAGGGAGCCAATGGGTAAATAAAGAATAGATTACCAGATAAGGCCAGAATATGTCTGACAGACTTGATTTTCAAGGTATAAGTAGAAAATCAAGGTTTGACATAATCAGAAATACAGTATTTAAGAAACAATAAAATCTTATCATATGCAAAATTAGCATAAAAATATGTAAAACATATTTATATCTTATAGAAAATATGTTCAAATGTGTCCCCTAACTTCTCAAGAAGAATATTAGCCTTTCTTACAGAATGTGATAATGAAACGATAAACTGCCCAAGGACAGCAATTCAGGTTCAGAGAATGTCATAGCCATATTCTGATCCCTCATGAATGCAGGTATTGCATTAAAATGTCAGGTGGGAACTGCAGCTAGAAACCAGGAATTCATTTATACAGCTTCAAATACAAGTTATTAAAAATAATTTCTAATTATAATTAGGAAAGTCCTGCATTGTTTTCTAGTGACTGACGTCTGCCATATAATTTAACCCATTGAAGGATGGTAATAACTAGTTAAGACACATGCCCTACAATAATATCTTTAAAACTCGTTTCTGATTTGTTCTATTATCATACTAAAGACACCCTGACAAAAGAGTTGATGATGAGAGTATCTCAATAGCCAGCACAATCTGGAAGCTTTTGGAGCCAAAGGTAAAGAAATAATTTCCCAAATGTTAGTCTAGAGGCTCAAGTGAAAAAAAAATAAACAAAAATGGCTTACTAGAATTTCCAGTAATAAAGCAGCATTGATGGAACATGATAAAAGGACACAGCCGATAGTCCAAAATTCTTCTGAAACAGGCAACAAGAAGATACATAAATCATAAAGTCTTCAGTTCTGATTGCTGCTTCACTTCTTGAAACTTAAACATAATAGTAGAATCATTTTTTCTTTTCTTATTGCAGGAGTCTAATTCTGACCCTCACTATCTTGACCAATAAAATGAAAATAATGACACTAAAACATGTTTAGTATTTATTATTTAGCACAAAAATGGGAACAAAGAACAAGGGAAACAAATAGAAAATGGTAACAAATATTGGTCGGGCGCAGTGGCTCATGCCTGTAATCCCAGCACTTTGGGAGGCCAAGGCGGGCAGATCATGAGGTCAGGAGATCGACACCATCCTGGCTAACACGGTGAAACCCCGTCTCTACTAAAATACAAAAAATTAGCCAGGTGTAGTGGCGGGCGCCTGTAGTCCCAGCTACTAGGGAGGCTGAGGCAGGAGAATGGCGTGAACCCGGGAGGCGGAGCTTGCAGTAAGCCAAGCTCGTGCCACTGCATTCCAGCCTGGGTGACAGAGCGAGACTCCGTCTCAAAAAAAAAAAAAAAAGAAAAAGAAAAAAGAAAATGGTAACAAATATTGTAAATATTAATCCAAATATATCAATAATCACTTTAAAATAAATGGCATAAAATAAATGGCATGAATTAAAAGACTTAGCTTGTCAGAGTGAATCAAAACACAAGACCAAAATATATGTTGTCTATAAGAGTTCCACATTAAATATAAAGACATGTAGATTAAAGATAAAAAGATGGAGAAATATATACAACAATAACACTAATTAAAAGACATCAGGGGAACTTCAGTAACATGGCATCATAAGACTTTCCAGCATTTGTTCCCTTGAAGAAACAGCAATTTGAATGACTATTTAAATATCTTCACAAGAACTAAGGAAACCAGATGAGTGATTACAGCACAGAGATGCAGCACAGAAATAAAATCACTGAAGATGGTAGGAAGGGCACTTTCATGTTATCCATGTCAAAAGCCCTGGTAGCCCAGAACGGAGAGATACTCACTGCACTTAACTTTGTTATGGAACCCAGTACCAATCCCACCATAGTGAAACCCAGTGCTAGGCAGGCCCCCATACTCCAAAGTCTAGGTGAGCCTCAGTCTAAGTTTTTAGGCTCAACCCAGTACCAGGCCAGCTCCCTCCACCCCAGACTCCAGGATAACACCCACAAACCTAGCTTCTAGGCTTGCCCCAGGTGTCAGAGGGGCACCTGTAGCCCCAGGATCCAGGTCTGCCCCATAGACTCACCTTCTGGGCATGCTTCAGCTTCAGGTTGGCCCAAGGAGTAGCAGGCACCAGGCCAGCACCAGTGCCAGGCTAGAACCTAATTTCTCAGTCTCCAAGCTTGTCCCAGCTCCAGGCCAGGTTCAGGTTCAAGCTTGGTCCCCGAAAGCTTGTTGGTCCAGGTTGGGTCCAAGCCCATTCCATTGGACCTAGGGTTCAGGTTAATGCTGAAATAACATGAGATGGCTTCCATGAACCCACACTGTAGGACTGCCCCTGTGGATTCAGGGTACAGGCCAGACCCTATGACTACAAATTAAGACCTTCCCCTGTAAACTTAGACTCCATACCCACCTCAGTGCCAGGTCAGCTCCCAAGGACTGAGACTCCAAGCTTGTCCTCATGAACTTAGTGCTGGGCTAGCATCTATAGAATCAAGTTGGCTAAAGACCCACTCTAGCACCAGGCTGGCCCCAGTGGACCCAGGCTTCAGGCTGACCTCAGTGACACAGGCTTCAGGCCCAGCACTGTAAGCCCAGGATCCAGAACCACCTCATGGACTCATTCAGCAGATCCACACCCATAGACATTGACACAAGGCCAGCCCCTGTGGACCCAAAATTCAGGTTTGATCCTGTGGAAACAGACCCGAGGTCCACCCAACTGCGGACCAAACCATCAGTTCTCTCTGCCGAGGATTCCAGCTGCAAGCCAACCTACTAACCCACCAAATAGCACACACAGAAATTATGGATAGGCAAACTGGTGAAGGGCTTTTCTCAGCAAACCCAGTCTTTAAAGGCGGGAGAGGTGCCTACTTCTTAAAATGCACAGTCAATAACCTATAGCCACAAGAATCATGAATAATGGAAACCTGACACCACCAAAAAAAAAAAACAAAAACACTAGTAATTGACCCTAAAGAAAAGAGATTTATGCACTGCCTGACAAAGAATTCAAACTAATCACCCTAAGGAAACTCAGTGAGCTATAAGATAACACAAATATACAATTAAATGAAATTAAGAAAATGGTACATAAACATCAACAAAGAGAAACCACAAACCAATCAGAAATTCTGGAGCTAAAGAATACAATGAATGAACTAAAAAATCTCATAGAGAGCTTTTCAGCAGAGGAATCAGTGCATTCCAAGGCAGGTTATTTGAGATTACCCAGTTAGAAAGACAAAAAGTATGAAAAAGATTGGAAATAGGAATATTTCCTATAGGAAATAGGTGACCCCATGAAATGAACCAATTTATGCATTACAGAAATTCTGGAAGAAGAGACGAAAAAAAAGGAGCAGAAAACTTGCTTTAAAAAATAATGACAGCTGCTCAAATATGGAGAGGAAATGGACATCTTGATTCATGAATTCCAAAGAAACACAAATAGATTAAACATAAAGAATTTGTTGCTGAGACACATTATAATCAAATTCTCCAAATCAAAGATGAAGAGAGAATTTTGAAAGCAATTAAGAGCGACTTGTCACATACAAGGGAGGTTCTCATAAGACTGTAAGCAGATTTCTCAGCAGTAACCTTACAGACCAGGAGAAAGTAGGATGATATGAAAGAAAAATAAACTTGACAACCAAGAATACTACAGTCTGGCTATACTTCATATGTGAAAGAAAGATAAGGAATTTCCTAAAAAATCAAGTGCTGTGGCAGTTCCTCAGTGCAAAGGAGGTTTACCAATTACCAGTCTCAAGGGAGAATTAACACTGCATGGAGGAAAGCAAAGATCATCACTGTGCCAATCACTAGAAATAGAAGTTTGAATATTTCTGCTGATTTCATCACAGGTTTCAGTTTTACTAACTGCCTGAGTCCAGTTAGACAGAACACAGTCACATGCAACAAGTTACATTAAGTGGATTTGTTATTTACATATAGGCAGCAATGTTTCAAGAGAAGGCTATGAGTTATTGCAATCCAGTCTACAAGACTGAGAAAAGCTTCCTGGGGTGGAAGCAGTTTTGACTTCATGTGGCACACTTGTGCCAAGGCTGAGGGACTTTGAAAGCAGCCCACTACAGGTTATATACCTCAGGCTGCATGATACCCTGATCTACAGTGTTAAAGGACATTTGTTTCTAGGGGAGAGAAGAACAGAGTCTGGGCTCTCCTTGCCACAGGATGTCTCAGGAAATTCTTCTCTATCTCATGATGTTACAATTTTCTACAAGGAACAGCAACAAAGCCTGGGCTGTTTGGACACTTTCTATCTCAGGGTGTTGTATTCTCAGTGCAGTCTACAGTTATGCTGAGAACTACAAGCAAGAAGAGGTGGGGGAGAAACTGATCCAGCAAAGATATTTGGGCACTTCCCAGAAATCAGCACTAGACCTACCTTATAAGAAATGCCAAAGGAAATGTTTTCAAGTTGAAATGAAAGGATTCTAACTAACACAAGAAAATATGAAAGTATAAAACTCGATGGAAAGTATACGATCAAATTCAGAATAATCTAATACTGTAAGGTGCTATATAAATCCCTTTAAACATGAGTATAAAAGTTATGAGACAAAAGTATTAACTGAAAATAAATGTGTTAATGAATACAATAAAAAATAAAGTAAATTTTGACATCAAAACTTATAATGTGAGGGAGGATGTAAAAATGTAGAGTTATATGCAATTGAAGATAAATTTCTATCAAGTTAAAATAGATTGTTATGTTTTATCTGATAGTAACAACAAATCAAAATCTATAGTAGACACACAAAAGACAAAAAGTAAGGAATCAAAGCTACTACAATACAAAATTATGAAATCACAAGGAAACAGCAAAAGAGCAATAAAAGAACAAAGGAGCTACAAAAGAGTCAGGATACAACAAAATGAAAGTCTTAAGTCCTAATGTATTAATAATTAGTTTAAATGTGAATGATTAGATTCTCCAGTTGAAAAAACATAGATTGGCTAAATGGATTGAAAAAAAAACAAAACAACCAACTATATACTGCTCAGAAGAAACTCACTTTAAGAACACAAATTGACTAAAAGTGTTCTTTTAGTCTATTTGACTAAAATAGTTAAATAAAGAAAAAACAGATTCCGTGAAAATGGTAATCAACCCAAAAAATAGTTGAGTAGTTATAATAGTAGACAAAATAGATTTTAAGTCAAATTGTCCCAAGAGAAAATTAGGATTTTTATGTAATGATAGAGGGGTAAATTGATATAAAAATTATAAATATGTACTTAACATAGGAATGACTAAATACATAAAGAAAACATTAACGGAATGGAAATGAGAAATAAATAGAAAGAAGACACAAATAAATGGAAAGGTATTCTCTGTTCATGAATGGAAGAAAATGCCCATACTACTTAAATCAATCTAAAAATTCAATGCAATAGCTATCAAAATTCTAATGGCATTTCCCACAGATATAGAAAAAATGATAATAGTTTACAAATTCATATGAAACCACAAAGTTACTTAAATATATAAGGCAATCTTGAACAAAAGAACAAAGCTAGAGGCATCATACTATCTCATTTCAAATTATATTGCAAACCTGTAGTCATCAAAACAACATGGTCCTGGTATGAAAACAGACATACAGACCATTGGAACAGAATGGAAGGACAAGAAATAAATACACACCTTTGCAGTCAATTACTCTTTGACAAAAGTGTCAAGAACACACAATAAAGGAAGAAGTCTCCTCAATAAATGGTGTTAGGAAAACGGCATACTCACATGCTGAAGGATAAAATTGAAACCTTAACTCACATCATTTACAAAAGCAAACTCAAAATTGATTACATACTTAAACATAAGACCTGAAGCGTAAGATTTATGAAAAAAAAAAATAACACGGGGAAGCTTCATGACATTGGTCTGGGGAATAAATTATTAGATAAGACCCCATAAGCACAGGAAACAAAAGCAAAAATAGGCAAATAGGATTGCAACACATGAAAAAGCTTATTCAAGCAAGTGAAACAATCAACAGAGAAAAGTGACAACTTATGGAATAGAAGAAAATATTTTTGAACCATACACCTGATAAGGGTCTAAATTCCAAAATATATAGAAAACACAAAGATTCAATTAACAACAACAACAAAAAAACAAATGTACTCAACATTAGCAATCTTGAGGGAAATCCCAATTAAAACCACAATAAGGTATCACCTCATACCTGCTAGAATGCCTATTATAAAAAAGACAGAACATAGCAAGTGTTGACAAAGATGCAGAGAAAAGGGAGCCCTTATACATTCTTTGTTGAGATGTAGATTAGTAGAAGAATTATGAAAAACTCTGTAGAAGATCCTCAAAAAACTAAAAATATCATATAATCCTGTACACCACTTCTGGGTACATATCCAAAGAAAATGAAATCAGTATGTCAGAGAGTTATCTGTGATCCCATTTCATTGCAGCATTATTTAAAATAGCCAAGATATGAGATCAAGCTAAATGTCCATCAACAGATTAGTGAATAAAGAAGATAATATGTATGTGTGTTTGTGCATGTGTATCATATATATGATGGATTGCTATTTAGCCTTAAAAATAAAGATACCCTATAATTTGCAACAACATGTATAAACTAGGAGGATAAATGCTGAAGGAAATAAAGCAGGCACAGAAGGACAAATAGTACATGATCTCATTTATATATGGAATCAATAAAAAGCTGAATTTATAGAAGAGAGTAGTATGCTGGTAGTCAGAAGTAGAAAGAAGGATGACAAGATGTTGGTTAAGGGGTACAAAGTTTCCTTTACATGGGCTGAATAAATTCTGGAGATTTATTGCATAGCATGTTAACTATCATTAATAACAATGTATTGTTACTTGAAAATTGCTGAGAATTTATCTCTAATTTTCTTATTATTTAAAAATATGTATTTGAAGTAATGGCTATATTGATTAGCTTGATTTAATAATTCCACAATATATACATATATCATAACATCACATTGCACACTGTAAATATATACAATGTTTATTTGTCAATTATGCCTTAATAAAGTAGGGGTTGGGTAGGGGAAGAAAGTGGGAGTGGTAATGTTAATTTCAATCAGAGCAAATGTTAGAGCAAAGCAAGGTTTCAGGAATAAAAAGCAGCGTTACATAATAATAAAGAGGTCAATACTTTAAGAAGGCATAACAATCCTTAATGTGTATCCATCTAACAAAAGATGTCACAATATGTAAGGCAAAAATTGAAAGAACTGGGAGGAAAACTAGATAAATCTACTATTGTAGTTGAAGGTGTTAACACCTCTCCATCAGAAATGGGCATGTCCAGTAAGCAGAAAATCCATAAGGATATAGCTGACTGCAACACCATCAATCAACTGGATATAATTGACATTTATAGACTATTCAAAATCAGCAGATGATTACACATTCTTCTCAAACTCACATGGACCGTTCACCAAGATAGACCACATCCTGGGCCATTAAACATAATCTTAACAAATTTCTAAAAAGAGAAATCATACAATGTCTGCTCTCAGATCACAGTGAAATTACACCAAGAATCAATAGGAGAAAGGTAGCTGTAAAACCCCAAAATACTTGAAGATTAAATACACTAATAATTAAAACATGGGTCAAAAAAGAAACCTCAAAACTTTTGAAGTAAATGAGAATTAAACAGAACTCATAAAAATTTGTAGTTTGTAGTAAAAGCCGTGCTTCGAGGAAGATTTACAGCATTGAATGGATATTTGAAAATAAAATAAGATGTGAAATAAAAAATCTAAATTCCATCTTAGGAAGCTAGAAAAAGAAGAGAAAATTAAATCCAAGATAAGCAGAAGAAAAGAACTAATAAAGATTGAAACAAAAGTAAATGAAATTGAAAACAGTAAATCAATACTGAAACCTACTAAAGCAAAAGCTAGTACTTTGAAAATATTAATAAAATTGATGACCCTCTAGCTAAAGAATAAAAGAAAGAAAACCTAAATTACTAATATGACATAAGAAAGATAGGGCATCACTACAGATCCCACGAATGGTAAAACAATAATAAAGGAATATTACGAACTACCCTATGCTCACAAATTTGATAACCTGGACAAAATGCATCAATTCCTTGAAAGAAACAACCTGTCACTCACACAAGAAGAAGTATACAATCTTATACTAATAGGCTTATATCTATTAGGAAATTGAATCAATAATTAATTAATTTTCAAAATAAAAAACTCAGCTCAGATGGGTTTACCGGTGAATTTTACCAAACTTTTAACAAATAAATTATAATAATTATCTCTGATCTCCTTCAGAAGATAGAAGAAAAGTGAACTTTTCCTATGCATTCTATGAGGCCAACATTACTCTAATAACATAACTGCCCAAAGACATAACTAGAAAACTGCAGTTCAATATCTCTCATGAACGTAGATGCACAAAAACATTAATATATTAGCAAATTGAATCCAACAAGGTATAAAAAGTATCACAAACCACGATCAAGTAAAACTCATTCCAGGTATGGAAGGCTAGCTCCCAATTAGAAAATTAATTAATATAACAAATAACATCAATAGGCTAAAGACAAAACACAATCACATCAATAGATGTAGAAAAAATATTTGACAAAATTTAACAGCCATTCATGGTGAAAACTCTTAGTAAACCAGGAATAGAGGAAAATTTCCTCAACTTGATAAAGAATATCTATAGAAAAACCTACAGCTAATATCATACTTAATGATGAAACACTCGAAGCTTTCCCACTAATATCAAGAACAAGGCAAGGATATCCTCCCTTGCCACTGCTTTTCAAGTCATACCAGAAGTCCTAGCTAATGTAAAGAGATATTAAACTAAAATAAAAGATATATAAATTCAGAAGGAATAAATAAAACTCTCTTTGTACACAGGTAACATAATTGTCTATGTAGAAAATCCAAAGTTATCAACAAAAAAGCTCTTGGAAATTATAAGCAATGATGGCAAAGTTGCAAGATGCAGAGTTGACACACAAAAGTAAGCCACTTTCTTATATACCAGCAATAAACAAGTGAATTTTGAAATTAAAACACATTATGGTTTACATCAGCAACCAAAAATGAAATATTTAGATATAAATCTAATGAAATTTGTATAAGATCTATATAAGGAAAACTACAACACTGATGAAAGATTTCAAACAAAAACTAGATGAATGAAGAGATACTTCATGTTCATGGATATAAAGGTTCAATATTGTCAAGATGTCAGTTCTTCCCAGCTTGATCTATAGATTCAACAGGATGCCAATCAATATCCCAGCAAATTATTTTTTGGGTATCAACAAAGTGAGCCTAAAGTCTATATAGAGAGGCAAAACCCCCAAAATAGCTAACTCAATACCAAAGAAGATAAAAGTTCGAAGACCGACACTACCTGACTTGAAAACTTATAAAGCTACAGTAATCAAGACAGTGTATTGGCAAGGGAACAGATAAATAAAGCAATGCAACAGAATAAAGAGCATGAAAATAGATCCACATAAATATAGTCAACTGATCTTTGACAAGGGAACAGCTGCAATACTGCCCAGTGGAGTGAAAATAGTATTTTCAACAAAAAGTGCTGGAACAACTGAACATCTGCTTGCAAAACAGTGAATCCAGACACAGAACACCTTATGCCCTTCCCTTCACAAAAATTAACTCAAAATAGATCACAGAACTAAATATAAAATGTAAAATTATAAGACTCCTATAAGATAACATTGAAGAAAACCTAGATTACTTTGGGTATGATGATGGCTTTTTAGATACATCCCCAAAGGTCTGAAATAAAAAAAAATCAATAACCTGGACTTTATTAAAATAAACTTCTGCTCTGCAAAAGACAGTGTCAGAATCATTGTCTTCAGAGAATCAAAAAGCAAGCCACAGATGAGGAAAAATATATTTGCATAAGACACATCTAATAAAGGACTCATACAAAATACACAAAAATTTTTAAAACTTAAAAACAAGAAAACAACCAGTCCAAATAAAAAATGGGCAAAAGACCTGAACAGACACCTTGTCAAAAAAGATGTACAGGCCAGGCACGGTGGCTCACGCCTGTAATCCCAGGCTCACTATGGGAGGCCAAGGTGGGTGGATCATAAGGTCAAGAAATCGAGACCATCCTGGTCAACATGGTGAAATCCCATCTCTACTAAAAATACAAAAATTAGCTGGGCGTGGTGGCACATGCCTGTAGTCCCAGCTACTCGGGAGGCTGAGGCAGGAGAATCGCTTGAACTAAGGAGGTGGAGGTTGCAGTGAGCAGAGATCACGCCACTGCACTCTAGCCTGGAAACAGAGTGAGACTCTGTCTCAAAAAACAAACAAACAACAACAACAACAAAAAAACAGATGTACAGATTGCAAGTAAACATATACAAATATTTTAAACAACATATCTCGTTAGAAAATTTCAAATTAAAACAACAAGGACATACCAACACATACAAATTTAAATGTCCCAAATCGAAAACACTGACAACAGCAAATGCCACAAGGATGTCAGGAAACAGGATCTTTCATTCACTGCTGGTGGATATGCATAATGGTACAGCCTCTTTGGAAGACAGTGCAGCAGTTTCTTACAAAATTAAACATATTCTTACTATAAGATCAAGCAACTGTGCTCCTTGGTATGTACTCAAATGAAGAGAAAACTTATTTCCACAAACAAAAAACCTGCCTGCAGATGTTTTTGACAGATTTATTCATGATTGTCAAAACATGGAAGTAACCAAGATGTCCTTTTCAGTAGGTAAATAGATAAACTGTGATTTATGCAAGGCAATAAAATATTATTCAGTGCTAAAATGAAATGAGCTATCAAGCCAGCTAACAACATAAAGGAAATTTAAATGCATATCACTAAGTGAAAGAAGTAAATCTAAAACAATGTATAGGCCAGGTGCGGTGGCTCACGCCTCTAATCCCAGCACTTTGGAAAGCCGAGACGGGCAGATCACCTGATGTCAGGAGTTCCAGACCAGCATGGTCAACATGGTGAAACCCCGTCTTTACCAAAAATACAAAAATTAGCTGGGCATGGTGGTAACCACCTGTAGTTTCAGCTACTCGAGAGGCTGAGGCAGGAGAATCACTTGAACCTGGGAGGCAGAGGTTGCAGTGTGCCGAGATCATGCCACTACACTCCAGCCTGGGCAACAGAGGGAGACTCCATTTCAGAATAAAACAATGTATAACTACATACATTATGACTATAGAATGGATGACTCAAATTACAGAACATTCTAGAAAAGGCAAAATTATGGCGGAAGTAAAAACATTTGTGAATCCCATGGATTGGAGGGGAGAGAGGGATGAAAAGGCAAAGTACAAAGGATGTTTAAGACAGTAAAACTATTATGTGATGCTACAATGTTGGATAAATGTCATTATGTATTTATCCAAAAACAAAGAATGTATAATAACAAGAATGAACTGATTATAAACTGTGGACTTTGGGATAATAAAGTGTAAAATCTAGGTTCATCAACTGTAAAATATATACCACTGTGCTGTGTGATGCCAATAGTGTGGGAGGTTCTGCGTATGTGGTGAGGGGGTATATAGGAACCCTAGGTACATTCCTCTCAATTTTGCTGTGAACCTAAAATTGCTCTAAAAAGTAAATGTATTACTTTTAAAATATCAATAAAATGTGTAAACTGCCCCAGTGTGTGTGTGGTGGGGGGATAGAGATAGGTTCCTTAAAAAGCATGGAGTTTTCTTTTGGGGTGATTAAACTATTTTGAAACTAGACAGAGGTGGTGATTGTACAACATTCTGAATGCAGTAAATATCACTGAATTGCATAAATTTTACCTTGATAAATAAATAAATGCAAAAAGGTTACTATGAAGTATACACAAAGCAATAGCAAAGTTTATACAAAATAGTAGCAAATTTTACACAGATTTAGGGCTTGATCCAGCTAAAATTTAACTGTTTTACACATACTAAATCTATTAATCAGAACATGCCTATAAAGTAGGGACCTACCTTTTTCTGATGAAAAAGAAGATGAAATAATTTCCCAAGACCACAAAGCTAGTAAAGTCACTGAGCTGAGGACTGGTGCTGATCTATCTTCATCAGTATGGTGTAATACCACTTCTCGAGAAAGAAACAGACTGAAGTTGATTTCCAAAGATGTTTTATACTGAAAGAATTCCTATTTCAGGTTCAGTCTATGTGATTCTTAATTATAAGTCATGTTTATTAAGGCAGCTTAACTTAGTTTCTGTTGCTTGCAGCCAAATGACCCTATTTATAGTACAAATGGCCAGTATGGAGAGAAGACTCTGGAACTAAGTAGTAGCCTAATGCTCAGAACAGAAGCCTGAGCAGGGTCAGATTATCAGGAAAGAAAAGCTGATGCTGAGTATAAATATGAGAGACTAGAGAGACATGGAATCTGGGCACAACCAGTTGGTCAGAGTCAAATTATTTCTGTTATGAAAAGGAAAAATTAGTAGTGGCTTGAAATCAAATTCAACCTGATAGTGGAATTAAAATCTCAAAATACTACATGGAACTCTTGCCAGCTAAATAGCTGCTGAAAACTAGATTAAATGAACTTTGCCTTCAATTTAATGAGCAAAAGTAATCATATTGCTGACATAGGAATTTTACTGCTTTGGCTATGCTATTTTTTGTAGTATTATTAGTTACAGGTTCATGATCTGTCAACATTTTAAAAATGTAAAGTTTTGGAGTTAAAATAGTTTGAGTCCCAATTTGCCAGTAGCTGAACCATTTGGACATGTCACTGAGCAGCAGTTTCTTCATATATGGAGAGAAAAATACTTTCCTTGACACATGTAGAGAAGAACAAAATGAATAATGTGTAAATTAACTACTCCAATACCTCATTGGTGATTCTAAGTGGTTTATTATCATGTTACTATAATATTTATGATTATCATTTCATATGTAAAGTATCCAAGCATACAGAAAAATTTCTGAAATATAACACTTAGTAAAATCAAGTTCCAGTTTTTTCACATATAATTATTTTATATAAGCTTGCTTCCTCATGGAAACCTTCACAATGGTAGAGTTTACAGGATCTCTGAATTTTAGCAATAAGGTACTTCTCTACATTCTCAAATTTAATTTAAATATTCAAAGTTTATTGAGGCCTAGACTTATCTCTTTATTAATATCTAAAACCTAATCCTGTTAATCATATACAAACTCAAAAGTTTATATCATAATCATATACAAACTCAAAAGTTTGTATCATAATCATATACAAACTCAAAAGTTTGTATCATAATCATATACAAACTCAAAAGAAGTTTTCTGGCTCAAGAAGCAAAGCAAAAACATACAAAATATGGTTTTCAAACCTCTTTTGTCACTAATTATAAAAGTCTGTCTCTGTATCTGTGAGTCTGGGTGTGCTATGTTGTATGTATTATATGTGTATGAATGTGCTCTAAATGGTACTTCTGTGATATTAACATATAATCTAAACATCTTTTAATTAATGTAGATATTGTGTCATTTCCATCTGTTCACTTTTAAACCTATGTATGTTTTCTTGAATTATGTTTTACATGGCATATATCTGTTTTACTTTTTTATTTAATCTGACCATCATGACCTTTTAACTGTAGTGAGTGTTTAGATAATTTAATATGTAATGTAATTATTCATATGGTTAAGTTTATAGCACCTTATTCTTCACTGTCTATTTTTCTTATCTCTTATTTGTTCCCCTTTTCTTATTTTTCTGCCTTTGGATGAATTTGTACTTTTTATAATGCCAGTTTAGCTCCTTTGCTGTTTGACTGTCTAACCAGTTAGTTTTGGAATTATAGGGCATACCTTTAACACAGTCTACCCTGAGTGCTATAGTACTAAAAACATAGTTTAAGAACCTTACATCAGTGGACTTCCATTTATCTTCTCCTGACCTTTATGACACTATTGTTATGTATTTTAGTTTTGCATATGTTATTAACCCAACAATACATTTCTATTATTTTTATTTAGGCCATCACTTTCCTTTTAAAGAAACTTAAATGATTAAACAGTCACGTATTTAGCCATATAGGTATTTCCAAAGCTCTTTACTCTTTTGTAGACTTCCAGATTTCCAGCTGGTACCATTTTCTCTGATTGAGAGCTTTTCTTTAACATTTATCAGAGTACAGGTCTATTAGTGATGAAATCTCTCAGCTCTTTTATGTCTGAGAAAGGCTTTATTGTACCACTTTGTAAAATTTATATTTCCTGTATATAGAGTTCTAGGTTGGTAGAAGTTTTTTCTTTCAGTAATTTAATGATGTTAGTACACCCCCTCTTCTTGCTTATACTGTTTTCAACAAGAAATCTTCTGTCATCTTTATCTTTGTTTGCTATATATAACATGATTTTTTTCATCAGGTTGTTTTTAAGATTTTCTTTTTATCACTCATTTTGAGTAACTTGATTATATTCCTTGATGTAGTTTCCTTCATATTTCTTTTGCATAGAGCTTATTGAAATTTCTGAAAAATCTGAATTTACATATTTTATAAAATGTGGAATTCTGCAACTATTATTTCTCAATTTTTTTTTTTTGCTTTTCCTGTTTTTGCCTCTCCTTTATGGATCTTCATTACACAGACATTAGGCTGCATGAAGTTGTATACAGTTCACTTATGCTTTTGTATTTTTTTCCATTATTTTTCTCTGAGTGTTTTATTTTTGGAAATTTTATTGCTATGTCTTCAATTTCAATAAATTTTTCCTTTTCAATGTCAAATCTGCTGTTAATTTCATTCAAGTTATTTATCATCTTAAAATTTTTATTTGTTTCTCTTTTGTATGTCTTCTATATCTCTTCATAAGCATTTTGACATAATTATTTTTATCCTTTTCTACTAAATCTAACATCTAGATCAGTCCTCAGTTTTGATTAATTGATTTTTTCTCCTCATTATGAGTTATTATTGTCCTGAATCTTTGCATGCATGATCATCTTTAATCAGATGTCAAACATTACAGATTTTCACCTTGCTAGGTACTGAATACTATTTTTTTCTATAAATATTATTGAGCATTATCCTGAGATGCATGTAAGTTACTTTGAAACAGTTTGATCATTTTCTGCCCTGCTTTTTTTTTTTATCTGTGATTTTCTATTTATTAGAATCTTACTAAAAGGTACTGAAGTGAATTTTACAAAAATAAAAATTCAAATATATTTTATCTTCCCATTCCGGTAAAACGTTTTATCTCAAAGCTAGTTATCTCTAAAATGTTATGTATTTCTATTACATCTGGAATTAACATAACAAAAGTAGTTAAATGCAAAAGCAGAAAAAATGTAATACATTTATTTTCTTCTGCAAAAACATGTAACATGAATGATGATTGCTCTAGCTACCTCGTTTTATAATAATCCAAATATTTCTATATTGCACATCATAAATACTACCATCATTTGAAATATTTTGTAATACATGTAATCTCTTTGCCAAAAGGTTAAGAAAATCACCTCACACATAATTATCAGGACCTATTTACCGCCAACTGAACATAATTATTGAAATCACAAGAACACAGATTTGAGAGGAACCCCAACAGGTTATCTAGTTCATAGTCTAATTTCTTCAAGGGCATACTTTATTTATTGATTGATTGATTTTTAGATTTACTTCTTTCCAATATGTATGCCTTTAATTTGTTCTTCTGGTTTCATTGGCTAGAGCTTCCAGTATAATATGGACCAAAAGGGGAAAGTGCGGGCCATCCTTGCCTTCTTCTTTTAAATATATATTTTTTGTATTTCAATAGCTTTTGGGGAACTAGTGGTTTTTGGTTACCTGGATAAATTGTGTAGTGGTGAAGTCTGAGATTTGAGTGTACCCATCACCTAAGTATCATGTGTTGTTCCAAATAGGTTTTTTTCTCTCTGTCTCTCACCTGCTTTCCACCCTCTCCAGTTCCGCATCTTCAATGTCTATTATAGCACTTTGTATGCCTCTGCATATCCATAGCTTAGCTCTCACATATAAGTGAGAACATATGATATTTTGTTTTCTATTCCTGAGTTATCTCACTTAGAATAATGTGTGCCTTGCTTTTCTAAGGTTTGCTTGAACAAACCTTAAACACTGACAGAGCAGAGTTTAGCTTAAGGTGAACTATTCACCACGATGAAGGCAAGCCTTATCTCAGCACTCTGCTTAAAGCCCTGTGAATTATGAGATTTTCTAGTCTGGCTAGTGGGAACATGCACTATTCCTGGCCCCATAAGAGCATCGTGTATTCTTCCTCTAGTACTTTCATGTTTCTGTCCCTGCCTGTGCATAGTTTTCTCACATACATGCATTCATCTCTGTTGAATACCCCTGAAGATCTCTAAGAATATTTTGTGCAGCTCCAGCCTCTACTGTTCTTTGTCTTGTGAACTCTGGATGCTTTCATGTCCTGGGACTTTATCCCCATCGCCTCAATGCTGGGAGCCACATTAGGCTCTGTCTTCCTTCACACTTTCCATGTACTGTGGCCTGGAATCTGTCTCTCTCAAGACATTCAGTTGGGGAAATTGTGAGGTTCATCTCACTTATTTCCCATTTCCCAGTAAGCATTGTCCTTCATTGTTATTTTGTGTTTCAGACAAGGTAGTAGATATGGTCCCTGATACTCTATTTTGGGTAGAAGTGGAAGTCTTGTATATATATCAGTGAGTTTTTTTTTTCAACCTTTATTTTGAAATAATACATTCGCAGGAAGTTGCAAATAAATGTACAGGGACATTCAGTGTACCCTTCACCCAGCTTTCCACAGTGTTAACATCCTGCATAACTGTACAATACAAAACAAAAAAATTAGCAAGGATGCAATCCACAGAGTTTATTTACATTTCACCAGTTATATATGCATTCCTGTGTGTGTCTCTGTGTGTGTGTGTGTGTGTGTGTGTGTGTGTGTGCAGCTCTATGCAATTTTAGCACATGTGTATCTTGAAATAAGCATCATATGGCCAGGCGCGGTGGCTCACACCTATAATCCCAGCACTTTGGGCGGCAGAGACGGGTGCATCATCTGAGGTCAGGAGTTCAAGACCAACCTGGCCAACATAGTGAAATCCCGTCTCTAGTAAAAACCCAAAAATTATCTGTGTGTGGTGGTGCACGCCTATAGTCCAGCTACTCAGGAGGCTGAGGCTGAAGAATTGTTTGAACCCAGGAGGTGGAGGTTGCAGTAAGCCAAGATCTCACCACTGCACTCCAGCCTGGGCAACGGAGTGAGACTCCGTGTCAAAAAATAAAAAATAAAAAATAAAGCACCATCACAGTCAAGATATTTTACTGTACTATCACCACAAGACTCCACCATGCTTTTTTAGTTGAAACCACCCCTCCTCCATCCTTAACCCTTCGAATGCTCAATCTATACTCAATCTTTACAGGTATGTTATTTTGCAAATGTTATATAAATGTAATATGGGTATATGTCTATGTCCATTGAGATTGGCTATTTCATACAGCATAATTTTCTTGAGATTCATCCAAGTTGTGACTATTAATCATTTTTCCTTTTTATTATTGAAAGGTATTTTACAGTATGGATATACTACATTTTACTTAACCGTTCACCCAGTGAAGAATGTTTAGCAGTTATCCGGTTTGAGTTATCATACTAAAGCTATAATGAATATTCACATACAAGTTTCTGCATGAAAATAAGTCTTTATTTCTCTAGAATAAACGTGCAAATGGGAAACTGCTGGATCACATGGTAAATACATTTTTAGTTTCAAAAGGAACTGCCAAATTATTTTCTAGAGTTCTTCTAACATTTTTTATTCCCATAAGCAATGTGTGAGTGATTCCATTTCTCTGCATTCTTGTCAGCATTTGGTCTTATCCCTATTTTTTATTTTAGTCATCTGGTAGGTATGTAGTAATTTCTCATTGTGATTTTAATTTTGCTTTTACAAATGGCAAATGAAGAACATATCTTCAAATATTTATTTTCCACCTGAATAACCTCTTCAATGTAATATCTATGTATGTCTTTTGCCCACTGTCAAATTAAAATATTAGGATTTTTTAATGTTGACTTTTGAAAATTCTTTACATATTATAGATAAAAGTTGTTTGTCAGATATATGATTTGAAAATATTTTCTTCCCATCTGTAATTCGCTTTTATCCTTTTAACAGGATCTTTTGCAAAGTAAAAGTTTTTAATTTTGTTGAGGTCTAACATCAATATTTCCTTTTATGAATTGTGCTTTTGGTGTCATCTAGGAATTCTATGACCAGTCACAGGTCTCAAAGATTTTCTCTTTCTTCTGCTGCAAATTTTATATTTGTTCTTTTTACATTTAATTCCATGATTCATTTTGAATTAATTCTTATATGAGGTGTGAGGCTTACATTGAGGTTCATTTGTGTTTGTTTTGTTTTTACTATACATGCCCACTTATTCCAGCACAATTTATTGAAAAGTCTCTTTTCTTTTATTGAATTGTTTATGCACCTTTGTAAAAATCACTTGACTATATATTTGTGGTTACCTTCTGTGTTTTCTGTTAGATTCTATTGATGTATGTGTCTCTCCCTCTGCCAATATCACATTATCTTGACTACCATACCTACGTAGTAAACCTTAACTTCAGAGAGTGATTCTTCCCACTTTATTCTTCTTTTAAAAATTGTTTTAGCCATTCTAGAGCCTCTCTTTTAATATAAATGTATAATAAACTTGTCTATTTCTCCAAGATAACTTGCTAAGATTTTGATAGAAACTGCGTTGAGCCTATAGAACAACATAGGAAAATTAACATCTTTACTATGTTCAGTCTTCCAATCTCTAAATATATCAATTATCATTCCAAACACCTTTTTCCAAAGGCAGAAATTTATTTTATACTATAAAAATAAAACAAATTTCAGAGATCTAGTTAATACTCATAAGAGCATTTATATTTGTTTTCTTAAAGAGATTAAAATTCTAAACATGCTAGGCTATTTCTGTATAAATAAATATATTCACTTTTAGCTCAATGGCTTTATAATTTTGTGTCTTTTTTTACCTTAGTAATAAAGTGTTCAAACTGAAATTTTCTTTGAAGGTAATTTTTAGGGGTTTTTTTTTCAAATAGCAATTTGCTATGAGCAAGGTACTGCGGGAAGTTATACAGAATATCTCTTCATAATATGTCATCATATTATTATACCTAGCTCTGTCTTGATTGCTCTACTAAAATTTAGATATATCTTCAGTATAATGTAATTACACAGTTAATATAAATAGAACTGCTAATCTTAACATACTATAGCAGACATGGTAATGTTTCACATTGTTCAAATACATTTTTAAAAGCTCTTTTATAAAACATGAAAAAAGCACTTTAGAAAGGAAATGTGGCATATTTCTGAATATGTCTTAAATTGCTTAAGTGAAAATTAGCAGATATTGTATATTTTCTTGAAATACATAGAGAAATTTAATGGAATGTGAAAAAAGGTAAGCAGAAATTGAATAAGATCAGTAAAATAGATGGATCATATGGTTAGCTCTTAATATTCTTAAGGAGAAGGTTTGGATAACAACTATGTCATTGTCACTAAACTTTTTCTTACGCAGGCTTATAATATTAAGTATATTGAAATTTAATGTGATAAATGAACAACCTGTCCGAATGATTTTGACTAAAAAATGTAATATTATTAATCATACTTTTTGAAAGCCCAATATTTTTAATATAATTCCAATAAAATAATGTGAACCTTTCCCTTTGAGCTACATTTAACATCTATCACTTTTTATTTTAAAGTTAAATTATTTACAACTAAAATACAGAACAAAAATATTGTTCCTTTCGTTATCCTAGGCTGTTATTTTTTTCTCTAAAAAATGGGAAAATAATCTATGGGGCTAGAAAATAGCTATACTTATAGAGATAGGTATAAATATATTTCTAATTCAAAGTAGCAGCTTCTATTTATGTAGAATAATTACACAAAATAAGTGTGTTGATTATCTCTCTTCTTGGGCTTTTATAATTAAAAATGAGCTTACAAATCTGATATACTTGATACATCAAAAATATGATGTATTTGGTACTATAATAAGGGACTCTTTTTCTATTCTCTCAATGATTACCCCAGGATCTCTATGTTATGTTACTTTTTGTAAATCTTATTTATATAAACATTCATATTGAATGTATGCCGGACCCTGCCATCTCACCGTCACTGGTGTACAAGCATGTAAACCAATCCTGCTGCTTTGTTGACAGTGTGCATGTGTAAGTGTGGATCTCACAGCCACTGCACTGATGAAGCACTGTTGCTGGAATCCATCATTAGAGTATTGTTGCTAGCAGACTAGGAACACTTTGCTCCCTCATGGATAGCAGGTGTATACATTTGAGGAGTCAGAGAACAAAGTAATGGGCCTATGGGCCTAGTCCCAGTCCTGCAGAGCACTCCCAGGAGTGCTGAGCTGAGCCTTGCCCCCTTGAAATTATCCAGAAACCAAACCAGTTAATTAAAGCCAACTTATACTACAGTTAAACTGTCGGAGGCATCAAAGAATTAAGAACAACAAATCCCATCCAAAGAACAGCACCTTCAAAAATTGAAGGAACATTATCCCACACAGATGAGAAAGGGTGAGTGCAAGAACTCTGGCAACTCCGAAAGCCAGAGTTCTTATCTCCAAACAACCACAAAGCTCTCCAGCAATGGTTCTTAACCCAGCTGAAATGGCAGACACAGAATTCAGAATTTGGATGGCAACAAAGATAATCAAGATTCAGAAGAAAGTTGAAACCCAATCCTAAGAATCTAAGGGATCCAATAAAATGACACAAAAACTGAAAGACAAAATCACCAATTTAAGAAAGAACCAAACTGATCTTCTAGAGCTGAACAATTCACTACATAAACTTCATAATAAAATCAGAAGTATTAACAGCAGAATACACCAACCTGAGGAAAGAATCTCAGAGCTCAAAGACTGGTTTCTTGAATCAACTTAGACAAAAATACAGAATAAAAAAGAATGAACAAAATCCCTGAGAAATGTGGGATTATATACAGAAACCATACCTATGACTCATTGGTATTTCTGAAAGAGAGAGAGAAAGATCAAACAAAGTGGAAAACATATTCAAGAATATTATTCAAGAAAATTTTCCCAACCTTAATAGAGAGGTCAACATTCAAATTCAGGAAATTCAGACAACCCCTTTGAGATACAATATAAGATGACTATCTCCAAGGCATAAAGTCATCAGTGTCTCTAAGGTCAACATGAAAGAAAAAATATTAAAGGCAGCTAGACAGAAGAGGCAGATGACTTGCAAAGGGAACCCTATCAAGCTTATGGAGGACCTTTCAGCTGAAACCCTACAAGCAAGAAGATAATGGAGGCCTATATTCAGCATTCTTACAGAAAACAAATTTCAACCAAGAAGTTCATATTCAGCAAAACTAAGCTATATAGGTGGAGAAGAAATAAAATATTTTTCAGAAAAGCAAATGCAAAGGGAATTTGTTACCACCAGACCTCCTTATAAGAGAACCTTAAGGGAATACTAGACATGGAAATGAAAGACTGTTACCAGCCACCACAAAAACGCAATTAGGTACGGAGACCATTGACACTATAAAACAACTATATGATCAAATTTATATAACAACAAGCTAACAGTATGATGACAGGATCAAATCTAGATGTTTCAATATCAACCTTGAATTAAAATGGTCTAAATACCCTGCTTAAAATGCATGGAGTGGCAAGTTGAATAAAGAAGTATGGCAAGGCACAATGGCTCATGCCTGTAATCCCAGCACTTAGGGAGGCCAACATGGTTGGATCACCTGAGCTCAGGAGTTTGAGACCAGCCTGGCCATGATGGTGAAACCCTGTCTCTATGAAAAATACAAAAATTAGCCAGGCATGGTGGTGCACACCTGTAGTCCCAGCTACTCAGGGGGCTGAGGCATGAGAATCGCTTGAAAGTGGGAGGTGGAGGTTGCAGTGAACTAAGATAGTGACACTTCATCCAGGCTGGATGAAAGAGTGAAACTCTGTCTCCAAAAAAAATTTAAAAATTAAAAATAAAATAAAAAAGAAGGGAGACCCAACTGTGTGCTGTCTTTAGGAGACCCATCTCACATGAAATGGCATCCATAGGCTCAAAGTAAAGATATAGAGAAAAGTCTACCAAGACAAAGGAAAGCAAAATAGACCTGGTGTTGCTACTCTAATTGCAGACAATACAGACTTTACACCAGCTACGATAAAAAAAGAACATTACATAATAAAAAGGATTCATTCAACAAGAAGAATTAACTGTCCTAAATATATATGCACCCAATGCTAGAGCACTCAAATTCATAAAACAAGCTCTTGCAGACCTATGAAGAGACTTATATAATCATCCAATAATAATGGGAGACTTCACACCCCACTGAGAGTATTAGACAGACTATTGAGGCAAAAAACTAACAAAGATATTCAGGACCTAAAACTTGATGCTTGACCAAATGAAACTAATAGACATCTACAGAACACTCCATACAACAGGATATACATTCTTCTCATCTGTGCATGGCACATAATCTAACATTGACCACATGCTCAGCCATAAAATAATTCACAACAAATTTTAAAAAATAAAATCATACCAACCATTCTCTAGGACCACAGCACAATAAAAACAGAAATCAATAGTAAGAAGAGCTCTCAAAACCATATAATTACATGGAAATTAAACAACTGACTCCAGAATAACTTTTGGGTAAACAATAAAATTAAGGCAGAAATAAAGAAATTTTTTGAAACGAATGAAAACTAATGAATAGATAAAACATCAAAATCTCTGGGACACAGCTAATGCAATGTTAATAGGAAAGTTTATAGCACTAAACACCCACATCAAAAAGTTAGAAAGAACTCAAATTAATAACATAACATTATACCTAGAGGAACTAGACAATAAGATCCAGCCAACCCAAAAGCTAGTAGAATAAAAGGAATAACCAAAATCAGAGCTGAACTGAACTGAAAACGAGAGAAAATCCAAATAAACAGAATCAGAAATGACAAAATGAAGATAAACAATGACCCCAGAGAAATACAAAAATCCCTTAGAGACTTTTACCTTGATGCACCCCTCTATGCATACAAACTAGAAAATCTAGAAAAAAAATGGATAAATTCCTATAAACATCAACTTCCCTGGATTGAACCAGGAAGAAATTAAAACACTGAACAGACCAATAGTGAGTTCCAAAACTGAATAAGTAATAAAATTCTACTAACCAGAAAAAGTCCTGGACCAGATGGATTAACAGACAATTGCTATCAGACAAATGAAGAAGAGCTAGGACCAGTCCCATTGAGATTACTTCAAACAACTGAAAAAGAGAGATTCCTTCCTAATTCTATATATGAGATCAGCATCATCCTGAAACCCATACCTGGCATAAAAACAATGAAAAGAAAATAAAATCTCAGGCCAATATTCCTGCTGAACGCAGATGCAAAAATCTTCAACAAAATACTAACAAACAAAATCCAGAGGCACATCAAAGAGCTATTACAGCAAGGTCAAGTAGACTTTATTCCTGGAATGCAAGATTGGCCCAACATACTTAAATCAATAATGTAATTCATTACATAAACAGAACTAAAACAAAATTACCTTATCATTTCAATAGATTCAGAAAAGGCTTTCAATGAAATTTAACATACTTTCATGGTAAAAATCCTCAAAAATATAGGCATCAGAGAAACATACCTCAAAATAATAAGAGCCATCTGTGACAAACTTACAGCCAACAGCATACTGAATGAGCAAAAGCTGGAAGCATTTCCCCTGAGAACCAGAATAAAACATGGATGCTCACTATCATTACTCCTATTTAACATAGTACTGGAAGTCCTAGCTACAGTAATTAGATAAGATAAAGAAATAAAAGGCATTCAAATAGGAAGAGATGAAGTCAAACTGTCTCACTTGACAGATGATATAATACCATATCTAGAAAACCACAAAGTCTCAGCCCAAAAGCTCCTAGAACAGATAAACAACTTCAATAAAGAGTCAGGATACAAAACCAATGTACAAAATTAACATTTCTATACACCGATATTATCCAGGCTGAGAGCCAAATAAAAAAATGCAATCCCATTCAGAATAGCCACAAAAAGAATAAAATACCTAGGAATACAGCTAAGCAGGGATATGAAAGATATCTACAATGATAATTTAAAAACACTGCTGAAAGAAGTCAGAGATGATACAAAGAAATGGAAAAACATTTGATGTTCATGGATAGGAAAAATCAGTATTGTTAAAATTTCCATACAGCCCAAAGAAATTTACACATTCAATGTCATTCCTATCAAACCACCAATAACATTTTTCACAGAATTAGAAAAAGAACTATTCTAAAATTCAAATGGAACCAAAAAAGAGCACACATAGCCAAAAAAATCCTAAGCAAAAAAAATAAAAAATAAAATAAAATAAAATAATAAAAAACAAAGCTGAAGGTATCACACTACCTGACTTCAAACTATACTATTAGGCTACAGTATCCAAAACAGCATGGTACAGGTATAAAAACAGATCTGTAGACCAATGGAACAGATTAGATAACCCAGAAATAAATCCACACACCCACAACCATTTGATATTTGAGAAAGTCCACAAAAATAAGCGATGGAGAAAGAATCCACTATTCAATAAATAGTGCTGAGATAACTGGCTAACCACATGCAGAAGACTGAAACTGAACTCATTCCTTTCATCATATACAAAACTAACTCAAGATAAAGTCTTAAATATAAAATCTAGAAGTATAAAAACCATAGAAGAAAACCTAGGAAGTACGATTCTAAATATAGACCCTGGAAAGATTTCATGATGAAGACACTGAAATCCACTACAACAAAAACAAAAATTGACAAGTGGGACCTAATTAAACTAAAGAGCTTCTACACAGCAAAATAAGCCATCAACAGACTAAACAGCCTACAGAATGGGAGAAAATATTTGCAAAGGATGTATCTGACAATGGTCTAACTTCCAGAATCAATAAGGAACTTAAACAAATCAACAAGCAAAAAAAAAAACTTCATTAAAAAATGGTCAAAGACATTAACAGACAATTCTCAAAAGAAGACATACACGTGACCAACAAGCATATGACAACATGCTCAACATCACTAATCATTAGAGAAATGCAAACAAAAATCACAATGAGATACCATCTCACACCAGTCAGATTGCTATCATTAAAAAGTAAAAAAAACAGATGATGGCAAGGTTGTGAATAAAGAAGAGAATGCTTATACACTGCTGGTGAAAGTGTAGAATAGTTTAGTAACTGTGGAAAGCAGTTTAGAGGTTTCTCCAAGATCTAAAACAGAAATACCACTCAACTGAATAATTCCATTACTGGATATATATCCAAAGGAATATAAATCATTCTGCTATAAAGACACATGCACACATACATTCATTGCAGCACTATTAACAACAGCAAAAATATGAACAACATAGACACCCATCAATAGTGGACTGGATGCAGAAAATGTGAGACATACAGACCATGGAATACTACGCAGCCATAAAAAATAATGACATCATGTTCTTTGCAGCAACATGATAGAAGCAGAGACCATTATCTTAAGTGAATTAATGTGGAACAGAAAGCCAAATACCACATGTTCTCACTTATAAGTGGGAGCTAATCATTGATTACATGTGGACAAAAAGAAGGGAACAATAGATACTGGGGCCTACTTGAGGGTGCAGGGTGGGAGGAACGTGATAATTAGAAAACTACCTATCAAGTACTATGCTCATTGCCTTGGTGATGAAATAATCTGCACAACAAATGCCCACAGTGCACAATTTACCCATGTAACTAACCTGTACATTCACCCACTGAACCTAAAATAAAAGTTGGAAGGAAGAAAATAAAGTAAAATAAAAATTTAAAACAATCACTAGAAATCAGTGATATCAGCAAAACATATAACAGGCAACTTACACATGGACCCATGGTAGAAGCAGTATTTGGACTTTTTTACATAATATTTTAAATTGAATTATTTAAAAAATAGAAAAAAGGTGTAGGTATGAGTGTTCCCCTAGATGAATTATCAGTAATGAAATTATAATGATCACCCAAACAAAAAACAAATATTATAAAACCTCAGAGACTTCTCTTTCTGCTTTCCATCTTGCAGCCCGAGTGTAAGTACTCTCCTCACAATGGCCTATAATGCATGTAATACATGTGCCCTTTTTGTGTCAGGTTTCACTTAATATTATGTTTGTCAAATTCATTCAAGTCATTGTGCCTTAACGTGGTTTATTTTTACTATGGTAACAATAATAATATTCATTTCATTAAATGAATAGATCTCAATTTATTTTCACATTCTAGTATATTTGAGCACTGAAATTATTTCCTGGTTTCTACTATTAAAATAACACTACTATGAGAAATCTTGTGAAAGATTTTTTTGCGTATAGAGATTGTTCAAATCATATTAAATACAATAACAGGTATCCTTCCTTTCAATTAGGCATCATGAAGTATATCCATGGCACTCTATGGGGAAAAAAGTGTCAAGGCTAGGGAAAAGAAAGCTAGTAGAGAGAATGTAATGAAAGTTAGAAGAGTACACGGTTGAAAATGTCATTGTTCTTGTAGAAAATACTGTGAAAGCCATAAAGCCTAAAGCAATACATTTCTGGTGGAGAAAACTATGTCTAGATGTTGTGAATGATGACACAGGATATATGACAGAGCCAGTCAAGCAAATCATACAAATAATTGTGAATGTGGCAGAAAGTTAGGGGGTGAAGGATTTCAAAATATGGATCTAAGAGAAATTCAAGAACTAATAGATGCCACACCAGAGGAAGTAACAAAAGATGACTTGATGAAGATGTATGCTTCCAAACAGGTGCCAGACTATGAGGAAGAAGATGCAGAAAGAGCAGTGCCAGAAACCAAATAGACATTAACCAATCTGACAGAAGGCTTTCAATTTTTCAAGATTGCTTTTGACATTTTTATGACCAGCATTATTCTATATGAGCATTGAAACTAAAGCAAACAATGGGAAAAGGATTGGTACCATATAGAAACCCTTTTAGAGAAATGAAAAAGCAAAAAATTCAGACAGAAATTATGATGTGTTTCCCTAAAGTTATACCAAGTGTGCCTGCCTTTTCTGCCACTCCTGACACAGCAAGGTCAACCCCCTTTGACTTTCAACTCCCTCTGAATTTCCTTCTTCTCAGGTTATTTAATGTAAAGATGATGAAGATGAAGAACTTTATGATCACCCACTTCTACTTAATGAATAATAAATATATTTTATCTTCAATATGATTTCCTTAACAACATTCCCTTTTCTGTAACTTGCCTTATGGTAAAAATACAGCATACAGGCCGGGTACAGTAGCTCACACTTGTAATCCCAGCACTTTGGGAAGCCAAGACAAGCAGACAACTTGAGGTCAAGAGTTTGAGACCATCCTGGCCAACATGATGAAACCCCATCTCTACTAAAAATATGTAAAAAAAAAAAATTAGCGAGGGTTGGAGCCAAGACAGCTGAATAGGAACAGATCCAGTCTACAGCTCCCAGCATGAGCGATGCAGAAGATGGGTGATTTCTGCATTTCCAACTGAGGTACCAGGTTCATCTCACTGGGGAGTGTCAGACAGTGGGTGCAGGACATTGGGTGCAGGTCAGTGGGTGTAGCGCACCAAGCATGAGCCAAAGCAGGGTGAGGCATCGCCTCACCTGGGAAGTGCAAGGGGTCAAGGAATTCTCTTTCTTAGTCAAAGAAAGGGGTGACAGACAGCACCTGGAAAATCAGGTCACTCCCACCTTAATACTGCATTTTTCCAACGTTCTTAGCCAACAGCGCACCAGGAGGTTATATCCCGTGCATGGCTCAGAGGGTCCTATGTCCACAGAGCCTCACTCATTGCTAGCACAGCAGTCTGAGATCAATCTGAAAGGCAGCAGCGAGGCTGGGGGAGGGGCACCCACCATTGCCCCACGGCTTGAGTAGGTAAACAAAGCAGCCAGGAAGCTCGAACTGGGTGGAGCCCACCACAGCTCAAGGAGGCCTGCCTACCTATGTAGACTCCATCTCTGGGGGCAGGGCATAGACAAACAAAGGGCAGGAGAATCTCCTGCAGACTTAAATGTCCCATCTGACAGCTTTGAAGAGAGTAGTGGTTCTCCCAGCACACAGCTGGAGATCTGACAACAGACAGACTGCCTCCTCAAGTGGGTTCCTGACCCCCGAGTAGCCTAACTGGGAGGCACCCTCCAGTAAGGGAAGACTGACACCTCACATAGCTGGGTACTCCTCTGAGACAGAACTTCCAGAGGAACAATCAGGCAGCAACATCTGCTGTTCTGCAGCCACTGCTGCTGATACCCAGGCAAACAGGGTCTGGAGTGGACCTCCAGCAAACTCCAACAGACCTGCAGCTGAGGGTCCTGACTGTTAGAAGGAAAACTAACAAACAGAAAGGACATCCACACCAAAACCCTGTCCGTATGTCACCATCATCAAAGACCAAAGGTAGATAAAACCACAAAGATGGGGGAAAAACAGAGCAGAAAAACTGGAAACTCTAAAATTCAGAGCACCTCTCCTCCTCCAAAGGAAAGCAGCTCCTCACCAGCAATGGAACAAAGCTGGATGGAGAATGACTTTGACGAGATGAGAGAAGAAGGCTTCAGATGATCAAACTTCTAAGAGCTAAAGGAGGAAGTTCGAACCAATGGCAAAGAAGTTAAAAACCATGAAAAAAAAATTAGATGAATGGCTAACTAGAATAATCAATGCAGAGAAGTCCTTAAAGGACCTGATGGAGCTGAAAACCAAGGCACGAGAACTACGAGACAAATGCATAAGCCTCAGTAGCCGATTCAATCAGTGATGGAAGATGAAATGAATGAAGTGAAGTGAGAAGAGAAGTTTACAGAAAAAAGAATAAAAGGAAATGAATAAAGCCTCCAAGAAATATGGGACTATGTGAAAAGACCAAATCTACGTCTGATTGGTGTACCTGAAAGTGACAGGGAGAATGGAGCAAAGTTGGAAAACACTCTGCAGGATATTATCCAGGAGAACGTCCCCAATCTAGCAAGGCAAGCCAACATTCAAATTCAGAAAATACAGAGAATGTCACAAAGATACTCCTCGAGAAGAGCAACTCCAAGACACATAATTGTCAGATTCACCAAAGTTGAAATGAAGGAAAAAATGTTAAGGGCAGTCATAGAGAAAGTTCAGGTTACCCACAAAGGGAAGCCCATCAGAATAACAGCTGATTTCTAGGCAGAAACTCTACAAGCCAGAAGAGAGTGAAGGCCAATATTCAACATTCTTAAAGAAACGAGTTTTCAACCCGGAATTTCATATCCAGCCAAACTAATCTTCATAAGTGAAGGAGAAATAAAATCCTTTACAGACAAGCAAATGCTGAGAGATTTTGTCACCAGCAGGCCTGCCCTAAAAGAGCTCCTGAAGGAAGCGCTAAACATGGAAAGGAACAACCATTACCAGCCACTGCAAAAACATACCAAATTGTAAAGACCTCGAGGCTAGGAAGAAACTGCATCAACTAACGAGCAAAATAACCAGCTAACATCATAATGACAGGATCAAATTCACACATAACAATATTAACTTTAAATGTAAATGGGCTAAATGCTCCAATTAAAAGACACAGACTGGCAAATTGAATAAAGAGTCAAGACCCATCAGTGTGCTGTATTCAGGAAACCCATCTCATGTGCAGAGAAACACATAGGCTCAAAATAAAGGGATGGAGGAAGATCTACCAAGCAAATGGAAAACAAAAAAAGGCAAGGGTTGCAATCCTAGTCTCTGATAAAACAGACTTTAAACCAACAAAGATCAAAAGAGACAAAGAAGGCCATTACATAATGGTAAAGGGATCAATTCAACAAGAAGAGCTAACTATCCTAAATATATATGCACCCAATACACGAGCACCCAGATTCATAAAGCAAGTCCTTAGAGACCTACAAAGAGACTTATGCTCCCAAACAATAATAATGGGAGACTTTAACACCCCACTGTCAACATTAGACAGATCAACGAGACAGAAAGTTAACAAGGATATCCAGGAATTGAACTCAGCTCTGCACCAAGTGGACTTAATAGACATCTACAGAACTCTCCACCCCAAATCAACAGAATATACATTCTTTTCAGCACCACACCACACCTATTCCAAAATTGATCACATAGTTGGAAGTAAAGCACTCCTCAGCAAATGTAAAGGAACAGAAATTATAACAAACTATCTCTCAGACCACAGTGCAATCAAACTAGAACTCAGGATTAAGAAACTCATTCAAAACAGCTCAAATACATGGAAATTTAACAACCTGCTCCTGAATGACTACTGGGTACATAACGAAATGAAAGCAGAAATAAAGATGTTCTTTGAAACCAATGAGAACAAAGACACAACATACCAGAATCTCTGGGACACATTCAAAGCAGTATGTAGAGGGAAATTTATAGCATTAAATGCCCACAAGGGAAAGTAGGAGAGATCTAAAATTGACACCCTAACATCACAATTAAAAGAACTAGAGAAGCAAGAGCAAACACATTCAAAACCTAGCAGAAGGCAAGAAATAACTAAGATCAGCGCAGAACTGAAGGAAATAAGAGACACAAAAAACCCTTCAAAAAATCAATGAATCCAGGAGCTGGTTTTTTGAAAAGATCAACAAAATTGATAGACTGCTAGCAAGACTAATAAAGAATAAAAAAAGAGAGGAGAATCAAATAGATGCAATAAAAAATGATAAAGGGGATATCACCACCAATCCCACAGAAATACAAACTACCATCAGAAAATACTACAAAAAACTCTACACAAATAAACTGGAAGAAATGGGTAAATTGCTGAACACATACACCCTCCCAAGACTAAACCAGGAAGAAGTTGCATCTCTGAATAGACCAGTAACAGGCTCTGAAATTGAGGCAATAATTAATAGCTTACCAACCAAAAAAAGTCCAGGACCAGATGGATTCACAGCCGAATTCCACCAGAGGTACAAGGAGGAGCTGGTACCATTCCTTCTGAAACTATTCCAATCAATAGAAAAAGAGGGATTCCTCCCTAACTCATTTTATGAGGCCAGCATCATCCTGATACCAAAGCCTGGCAGAGACACACACACAAAAAAAAAGAATTTTAGACCAATATCCCTAATGAACATCGATGCAAAAATCTCCAATAAAATACTGGCAAACCGATTCCAGCACCACATCAAAAAACTTATCCACCATGATCAAGTGGGCTTCATCCCTGGGATGCAAGGCTGGTTCAACATACGCAAATCAATAAATGTAATCTAGCATATAAACAGAGCCAAAGACAAAAACCATATGATTATCTCAATAGATGCAGAAAAGTCCTTTGAAAAAATTCAACAACACTTCATGCTAAAAATTCTCAATAAATTAGGTATTATGGGACGTATCTCAAAATAATAAGAGCTATCTATGACAAACCCACAGCCAATATCATACTGAATGGGCAAAAACTGGAAGCATTCCCTTTGAAAACAGGCACAACACAGGGATGCCCTCTCTCACCACTCCTATTCAACATAGTGTTGGAAGTTCTGGCCAGGGCAATCAGGCAGGAGAAGGAAATAAAGGGTATTCAGTTAGGAAAAGAGGAAGTCAAATTGTCCCTGTTTGCAGATGACATGATTGTATATCTAGAAAACCCCATCATCTCAGCCCAAAATCTCCTTAAGCTGATAGGCAACTTCAGGAAAGTCTCAGGATACAAAATCAATGTGCAAAAATCACAAGCATTCTTATACACCAATCACAGACAAACAGAGAGCCAAATCATGAGTGAACTCCCATTCACAATTGCTTCAAAGAGAATAAAACACCTAGGAATCCAACTTACAAGGGATGTGAAGGACCTCTTCAAGGAGAACTACAAACCACTGCTCAATGAAATAAAAGAGGATACAAACAAATGGAAGAACATTCCATGCTCATGGGTAGGAAGAATCAATATCATGAAAATGGCCATACTGCCCAAGGTAATTTATAGATTCAATGTCATCCCCATCAAGCTACCAATGATTTTCTTCCCAGAATTGGAAAAAACTACTCTAAAGTTCATACAGAACCAAAAAAGAGCCCGCATTGCCAAGTCAATCCTAAGCCAAAAGAACAAAGCTGGAGGCATCACGCCACCTGACTTCAAACTATACCACAAGGCTGCAGTAACCAAAACAGCATGGTACTGGTACCAAAAGAGAAATATACACCAATGGAACAGAACAGAGGCCTCAGAAATAATGTCACATATCTACAACCATCTGATCTTTGACAAAGCTGACAAAACCAAGAAATGGGGAAAGGATTCTCTATTTAATAAATGGTGCTGGGAAAACTGGCTAGCCATATGTAGAAAGCTGAAACTGGATCCCTTCCTTACACCTTATACAAAAATTAATTCAAGATGGATTAAAGACTTAAATGTTAGACCTAAAACCGTAAAAACCCTAGAAGAAAACCTAGGCATTACCATTCAGGACATAGGCATGGGCAAGGACTTCATGTCTAAAACACCAAAAGCAATGGCAACAAAAGCCAAAATTGACAAATGGGATCCAATTAAACTAAAGAGCTTCTGCACAGCAAAAGAAACTACCATCAGAGTGAACAGGCAACCTACAGAATGGGAAAAAGTTTTTGCAATCTACTCATCTGACAAAGGGCTAATATTCAGAATCTACAATGAACTCAAACAAATTTACAAGAAAAAAACAAACAACCCCATCAAAAAGTGGGTAAAGGACATGAACAGACACTTCTCAAGAGAAGACATTTATGCAGCCAAACAACACATGAAAAAATGCTCATCATCACTGGCCATCAGAGAAATGCAAATCAAATCCACAGTGGGATACCATCTCACACCAGTTAGAATGGCAATCATTAAAAAGTCAGGAAACAACAGGTGCTGGGGAGGATGTGGAGAAATAGGAACACTTTTACACTGTTGGTGGGACTGTAAACTAGTTCAACTATTGTGGAAGTCAGTGTGGCTATTCCTCAGGGATCTAGAACTAGAAATACCATTTGACCCAGCCATCCCATTACTGGGTATATACCCAAAGGATTATAAATCATGCTGCTATAAAGACACATGCACACATATGTTCTTTGCTGCACTATTCACAATAGCAAAGACTTGGAACCAAGCCAAATGTCCAAAAATGATAGACTGGATTAAGAAAATGTGGCACATATACACCACGGAATCCTATGCAGCCATAAAAAAGGATGATTTCATGTCCTTTGTAGGACATGGATGAAGCTGGAAACCATCATTCTCAGCAAGCTATCGCAAGGACAAGAAACCAAACACTGCATGTTGTTACTCATAGTTGGGAATTGAACAGTGAGAGCACATGAACACAGAAAGGAGAACATCTCACACCAGGGCCTGTTGTGGGGTGAGGGGAGGGGGGATGGATAGCATTAGAAGATATACCTAACGTTAAATGAGGAGTTGATGGGTGCAGCACACCAACATGGCACATGAATACATATGTAATTAACCTGCATGTTGTGCACATGTACCCTAAAATTTAAAATATAATTTTTAAAAAATTAGCCAAGTGTGGTGGGGCATGTCTCTAATCCCAACTACTCAGGAGGCTGAGGCAGGAGAATTGCTTGAATCCAGGAGGCAGAGTTTGCAGTGAGGAAAGATCACACCACTGCACTCCAGCGTGGGCAGCAGAGCAAGCCTCTGTCTCAAAAAAAAAAAAAAAAAAAAATATATATATATATATATATAGTGTATAATACATATAATATACAAAACATGTGTTAATGATACAGTGTATAACACATATATAGAACATGTTAATTGACTATGTTATTAGTAAGGCTTTCAGTTAACGGTATTCTATTAATACTTAAGTTTTTGTGGAGTCAAAAGTTATATGCAGATTTTCAACTGTGAGGGGGTCAGCAGTTCTAACCACCTCATTATGTTATTCAGACGTCAACTCTGTGTGTGTGTGTGTGTGTGTGTGTGTGTGTGTGTGTGTGTGTGTGTGTTCGATTGTCCTTTGGCTTTCATCACACCTGTGGAAATGTCATTTGTCAGTTTACAGTTTTATTGTTGTTGCTTTGAAGTAAATGTTACCTTTTTTCTTTGTCTACTTTTACTTATTTTTTGTCTTTAATTTTTGGTGGCTTTAGCAAAATATACCGAGATGTAGTTTTTATTTGTATCGAGTCTTTCAATACTGTTTGAATATGTTTTAACTACTTTTTCCATGTGTCCCAATACTAACTGATTCAGTAACAATTTTGTCCCCACTTTTTATGTCCTCTACTTTGTGGCTCCATTAACATTAAGTCTCTTTCTGAGTCAGATTATTTTTTCTAACACTTTTCAATTTTTTTCTATGTTCCTAATTCTTTTTCCTAGGCATATGCTCAAATATTTTCCATTATCATATCATTTAGTTTGATAAGTCTATCTTCTACTCTAATCTGATTTTAAAGTCTTTTAGTAAGATACATATATTTTTAAGACATAGATATATCTCCTATTATTTGTATTTGATTATTTGTGTAGGCTTCAGTTATCTGGTGAACTTATTTTTTCATTTATTGCTGCAACTCTCTTGAACCAATTTACCATCATTATTGTAATGTTATTTTTTTACATAACACAAATATTTGTGCTATGTAGAGATATATTTATATTTTTTGTTTTCCTCTTGGTTTTTGTCCCAATTGTCCTCTTTTTGCCATGCATTTTAATTTCTTATTGAGTTATTGACATTGTGTTTCTAAAATATTGTAGAGAATCGTATGATATTTTCACATATGATTTTCTGTCTGGAGAATAATCATTCTTAATTTCACTGTACATAAAGAGTGGTGGTTGATCATTTTAATCCAATCAGAGATTGTAATAAATCAAAGCTCTACTGTAATTCTATTAAGGTCAATATACCATATTTGTAGTGCTTTTAAGCTTTTCATTTTGTTTTTGTTATTTTTATTTAATATGGGAACATATAGTTTTCATATTTATGTGGTACATGTGAAATTTTGATACCAACATAAATGTGTACTAAACAATTCAGGGTAAAAGTGAAACAAGCCAGGCACATAAAGACAAATATCACATATTTTCACTCACGTAGGAATGAAATTTTTTTTACAGTTCTTTGATTTTCTCTCTCTTTTCTCAGTAACCTTTTCTGGTCTTTGTAATAGAGTTTTAGCCTTCTCCATATGCCTATGTTTAGCAAATGCCCCCAAGTTATAAATGGTATAGAAACCATTTTTTGTCTATGATATTTTATGATTTTTTATATTATTTTACTCCAGTACCTCTCTACTTCCTTCACTTTGTCCCTATATTTTTTCTATATTTTATGTATTTTATTGTATGCATTTTATGTTTTATACCAGATGGGAATGCTGGTTTGCTGCTAACTACCATATCCCAGTCATAACTTAAAGTCTTCATCATAGAAATTATAAACACACATATAAGTTCAGAGTATACAAACTGAATTATTTTCTTTAATTGTCTTTAGAAAAAGGCATATTCTTTCCTAGCATTTTAGTTTGGTCCTGAATTTTTACCTCTTCATTTAAAACAATATTGTTATTGTTTTATACTGGCACTATTTGTCTAGATTCAACCATATTCACAGCACTTTCGATACATTACTATTGCATCTTGGACTTTTCTTCTGGGATCATGTTTATTTTCCTTATATGTATACTCTTTGGACAATAAACATTAATCAGAGTTAATCAAGTAAGTCTCCTGTAATTGCCTTAGTTTCCAGGTGCTACTCCGTTTCCATTTTGAAATCTAAATGAAAAATAATTCTTAAAAATAGTAATGAATGTAAGGTCCCAAAGATAGTTTTAGAACAAAGAAAAACTCATATTCAAAATTACACATAGCACTATTTGTTTACGCCCTTTGTCTGAAAGCTTTGGTATTATTTTGCAACACTGAGACTCAAATAAGTTAAAAGTCTGGTTTCTTTTCATCTTTTTGTAAAACAAAGGCTAATGGTTCTGTTCATTAAAGTGCTGCCTAATCTATATTATTAAAGTGTAGATTACTATGGAACCTATAATAAACATAAAGAAATTGATAGTGACTTGAATCACTGGCTTGTTAATTGTAAAGCTTTTACCATGAAAAGCAATAATTTTACAAACACATTTCACTAGTTGTGAAGTTTTATAAAAAGTAGTTGAATGGTTCCTATGCTATCTAGTGCAGGATGTAAAACATCATTGTTCTTACGGTGAAACTGTGATATTCAGATGTTGATAACTTGTAACCAGGTAATATTTGAAACTCACAATGTTTAACTTTTTCTTTCACGTTTTATATATTTGAATATTCTACTGACCAACAAGAATATATGAAAGAAGCTTTGTGATTAATAGAAACAAGTATTCAAATACTATCATCTCCTACAGAAAAAATTTACTTAAAAATTATAGATCAATTCTCCTGGCTTAAACATTTGAGAATCCCCTTTAATTAGAATAAATTTGATATTTTACTATTTTATATGAAGCTCCAATTTTGAATGCTCTCAGGATAAGAAATTCATCGACAAAACTTATTCCTTTAGTGTGAACTTTTATTAGGCCTTTTCAGGAAAATACGTTCTATTAAAGAAAAGTAATTGAGCAGGTAAAGGACATTTATTGACTCGTTTTTGTTTTCTAGACAGTACACTTAGTGCTTTTATATGCTATCTGATTTAATGCCTCTAATTCTATAAGATATACATTGTTCTTTTCATCTTCAGATGTAACAACTGCAAAAAAACAAAAGGTTAGTAACTAGCCACAAATCTCACAGCTAGTAGGTGCTGAAGCTTTAATTTGAAAAACAGGTGTCTCCAAATATTTTTCTCCTGAGTAGACATCATAAGTAAAGGTAACAGGGAAAAATGGGAGGTAGAATATTTGAAAGTACAAAAGAATGAGTGCCTAAAAACACTCTTATTATCTTCATAAACTTCTGGGAGGCAGCCTTATAGATCCCAGAAATCCAATTAGTCTTTGTTTATTTTTTCACATGTTTTGCTTCTGCTTTATGTATGGTTCACTTTACTGCTGGGAAATACATATTAAGAGAAAGTGAGGTGACAGCATGTAGGGGTAGGGGAATTTGGCCCAACTTGGATACATGTCCCCTTCTCCCTCTCTGATTTAAAGCAAATCAAGGCAGACCTGGGGAAGTTTTCAGATGATCCTGATAGGTACATAGATGTCCTACAGGGTCTAGGGCAAACCTTTGACCTCGCTTGGAGGGATGTCATGCTACTGTTAGATCAAACCCTTGCCTTTAAAGAAAAGAATGTGGCTTTAGCTGCAGCCTGAGAGTTTGGAGATACCTGGTATCTTAGTCAAGTAAATGATAGAATGACAGCCAAAGAAAGGGACAAATTCCCTACTGGTCAGCAAGCCATCCCCAGTATGGATCCCCACTGGGACCTTGACTCAGATAATGGCAACTGGAGTCATAAACATCTGTTAACCTGTGTTCTAGAAGGACTAAGGAGAATTAGAAAAAAGCCCATGAATTATTCAATGATGTCTACCATAACTAAGGGAAAGGAAGAAAATCCTTCTGCCTTCCTCGAGCGGCTATGGGAGGCCTTAAGAAAATATACTTCCCTGTCACCCGAATCACTCGAGGGTCAATTGATTCTAAAAGATAAGTTTATTACCCAGTCAGCTGCAGATATCAGGAGAAAGCTCAAGCAAGCACTGGGCCCTGAACAAAATCTAGAGGCATTATTAAACCTGGCAACCTTGGTGTTCTATAACAGGGACCAAGAGGAACAGGCCCAAAAGGAAAAGCGAGATCAGAGAAAGGCTGCAGCCTTAGTCATGGCCCTCAGACAATCAAACCTCGGTGGTTCAGAGAGGACAGAAAATAAAGCAGGCCAATCACCTGGTAGGGCTTGTTATCAGTGTGGTTTACTAGGACACTTTAAAAAAGATTGTCCAATGAGAAACAAGCTGCCCCCTCGTCCATGTCCACTATGCTGAGGCAATCACTGGAAGATGCACTGCCCTAGAGGACGAAGGTTCCCTGGGTCAGAAGCCCCCAACCAGATGATCCAACAACAGGACTGAGGGTGCCCAGGGCAAGTGCCAGCTCATGTAATCACCCTCACTGAGCCCCAGGTATGTTTAACTATTGAGGGCCAGGAAATTGACTTCCTCCTGGACACTGGTGTGGTCTTCTCAGTGTTAATCTCCTGTCCTGGACAACTGTCCTCAAGGTCTATTACCATCCAAGGAATCCTGGGACAGCCTGTAACCAGGTATTTCTCCCACCTCCTCAGTTGTAATTGGGAGACTTTGCTCTTTTCACGTGCCTTTCTTGTTATGCCTGAAAGTTCCACAACCTTATTAGGGAGGGATATATTAGCCAAGGCTAGAGCTATTATCTACATGAATATGGGGAACAAGTTACCCATTTGTTGTCCCCTACTTGAGGAGGGAACCAACCCTGAAGTCTGGGAATTGGAAGGACAATTTGGAAGGGCAAAAAATGCCCACCCATTCCAAATCAGGTTAAAAGATCCCACCACTTTTCCTTATCAAAGGCAATATCCCTTAAGCCCTGAAGCTCACAAAGGATTACAGAATATTGTTAAACATTTAACAGCTCAAGGCTTTGTAAGGAAATGCAGCAGTCCCTACAATTCCCCAATTCTAGGAGTACAAAAACCAAACGATCAGTGGAGACTAGTGCAAGATCTTAGACTAATCAGTGAGGCAGTAATTCCTCTATATCCAGTTGTACCCAACCCCTATAACCTGCTCTCTCATATACCAGAGGAAGCAGAATGGTTCACGGTTCTGGACCTCAAGGATGCCTTCTTCTGTATTCCCCTGCACTCTGACTCCCAGTTCCTCTTTGCCTTTGAGGATCCCACAGACCTCACATCCCAACTTACGTGGACGGTCTTGCCCCAAGGGTTTAGGGATAGCCCTCATCTATTTGGTCAGGCACGGGCCCAAGATCTAGGCCACTTCTCAAGTCTGGGCACTCTGGTCCTTCAATATGTGGATGATTTACTTTTGGCTACCAGTTCGGAAGCCTCATGCCAGCAGGCTACTCTGGATCTCTTGAACTTTCTAGCTAATCAAGGGTACAAGGTGTATAGGTTGAAGGCCCAGCTTCGCCTACAGCAGGTCAAATATCTAGGCCTAATCTTAGCCAGAGGGACCAGGGCCCTCAGCAAGGAATGAATACAGCCTATACTGGCTTATCTTCACCCTAAGACATTAAAACAGTTGAGGGGGTTCCTTGGAATTGCCGGCTTTTGCCAACTATGGATCCCCGGATACAGCAAGATAGCCAGGCCCCTCTATACTCTAAGTAAGGAAATCCAGAAGGCAAATACTCATCTAGTAGAATGGGAACCAGAGGCAGAAACAGCCTTCAAAACCTTAAAGCAGGCCCTAGTACAACCTCCAGCTTTAAGCCTTCCCACAGGACAAAACTTCTCTTTATACATGACAGAGAGAGCCGGGATAGCTCTTGGAGTCTTCACTTAGATTCGTGGGACAACCCTACAACCAGTGGCATACCTAAGTAAGGAAATTGATGTAATAGCAAAAGGCTGGCCTCACTGTTTAAGGGTAGTTGCAGCAGTGGCCATCTTAGTGTCAGAGGCTATCAAAATAATACAAGGAAAGGATGTCACTGTCTGGACTACTTATGATGTAAATGGCATACTAGGTGCCAAAGGAAGTTTATGGCTGTCAGACAACTGCCTACTTAGATACCAGGCACTACTCCTTAAGGGACTGGTGCTTCAAATATGCACATGCATGTCCCTCAACCCTGCCAATTTTTTCCCAGAGGATGGGGAACCAATCGAGCATGACTGCCAACAAATTATAGTCCAGACTTATGCCACCCGAGATGATCCCTTAGAAGCCCCTTAACTAATCCTGACCTTAACCTATATACCAATGGAAGTTCATTTGTGGAGAATGGGATACGAAGGGCAGGTTATGCCACAGTCAGTGATATAACCATACTTCAAAGTAAGCCTCTTCCCCCAGGGACCAGTGCCCAGTTAGCAGAACTAGTGGCAGTTACCCGAGCCTTAGAACTGGGAAAGTGAAAAAGAATAAATGGGTATACAGATAGCAAGTATGCTTATCTAATCCTACACGCCCATGCTGCAATATGGAAAGAGAGGGAGTTCCTAACCTCTAGAAGAACCCCCATTAAATACCACAAGGAAATTATAGAGTTATTGCACACAGTGCAAAAACCCAAGGAAGTGGCAGTCTTACACAGCCAAAGCCATCAGAAAGCTGAAGAGAGAAGGCAGAAGGAAACCATCAGGCAGATGCTGAGGCCGAGGTTGCTGCCAGGTGGAACACCCTGTTAGAAATACCTACAGAAGGACCCTTGGTATGGAACAACCCCCTCCAAGAGATTAAGACCCAGTATGACCTGACTGAAACAGAATGGGGACTTTCACGGGGGCATAGTTTTCTCCCTTCAGGGTGGTTGGTGACAGCAGAAGGAAAGGTACTTATACCTGAAGCCAGCCAGTGGAAAATACTTAAAACCCTCCACCAAACTTTTCACATGGGTATTGAAAACACTAATCAAATGGCCAAATCCCTATTTATGGGGCCAAATCTCCTCCAGACCATCCGACAGGTAGTCAAAGCCTGTGAGGTGTGCCAAAAGAATAATCCCTTGGTTCATCATAAGGCCCCTTTGGGGGAACAAAGAATAGGTCACTAACCCGGAGAGGACTCGCAATTAGACTTCATCCATATGCCTAAGTCAAAGAGATTTCAATACTTGTTGGTCTGTGTTGATACCTTTACAAATCGGATAGAAGCTTTTCCCTGCAAGACAGAGAAGGCTCAGGAAGTGATTAAAGTCCTAATTCATGAAATAATTCCTAGATTTGGGCTTCCCCAAAGCTTACAGAGTGATAGCGGTCCGGCTTTTAAAGCCACGATAACTCAGGGAATCTCCAGGGCCCTAGGGATACAATATCACCTTCACTGCTCCTGGAGGCCACAATCCTCAGGGAAGGTCGAGAAGGCAAATGAAACACTCAAGAGGCACTTAAGGAAACTAACACAAGAAACTCACCTCCCATGGCCTACTCTTTTGCCCATGGCCCTGTTGAGAATCCGAAATTCTCCCCACAAAATAGGGCTCAGTCCATATGAAATGCTGTATGGATGACCTTTTCTCACAAATGACCTCCTACTTGATCAGGAAATGGCCAACTTGGTCAAAGATATAACTTCTTTGGCAAAATATCAACAAAACCTTAAAAACCTACCTGAAGGATGTCACAGAGAAAAGGGAACAGAGTTGTTTCAACCAGGAGATCTAGTGTTGGTCAAATCTCTCCCCTCTACCTCCCCATCCATGGACTCTTTGTGGGAAGGACCATACTTGGTAATCCTCTCTACTCCCACTGCAGTTAAGCTGGCAGGAGTGGAATCTTGGATTCACCACACCAGAGTTAAACTTTGGACATCCCTTGAGGAACCTGTGGGATCATCAGCTCAGGAGTCCCAAGATCAGCCAGACCAGCCTTGATACACCTGCGAACCATTGGAGGACTTGCACCTCCTATTTTGGAAGGAAACATTCCAGACTAAAAAGGCTCCTACCACTGATCCTGAGGAAAGACCCCTTCCTCCTTAAAAAAGATAAATGAACACAGCATACTAACCATACTCTTTGTGATAGGACTATATACTCTAGCTCCTGCCAGAACGATAATCCTAATCACATCAACCTTCTATCTTCCTTCCTTTTGACAGTAATTTACTCCTACCTCTAACTCAGGCTAGATAAAATGATCTCGTTTTCCAGAGCACCCTCTTTACCTTCCTATTTGCTCTTCGCCTCTGTATCCCTCCTGCTTTCTTGGATACCTCATACCATCACCCCTCCCCTTTCACTAGCTCCTAATTACCTCTACAAGACTCTCAACTCAACTCACACTCTGTTAAACCAGTCCAATCCTTCCCTGGCAAATGACTGTTGGCTGTGTATCTCTCTATCAACCTCTGCCTAAGTTGCCACTCCCATTCCCGCAAAAAACTGGGTCTTTACCAACTTGACCTACCACCCTCGTTATGAAGGAAAAGACCCTTTCCAACTTCTAAATATACAATCATTAGCCGACTTCCCCATATCTGATAGGACCAAGAACATCCTAACAGGACGTGCAACCCAACTTTTACGTTCTTACATTTCCAACCTCACCTATTACACAAGCAATGAAAAGCCCATACACAGCCCTGTAACCACGAATACTATCTTAACTTTCCAAGCCCCTTTATGCATCCAATGCAACCTGTTATCAGGCCTGCCTCTGGGGCACCTACCACCGCATCAGTGTAATTACACCCTACAACTTCAAGCCCCAACTGATCATAGTAACTTTTGAGTCACCTAAACAGCTCCATTCAGATGGCTTGTCCACTTCTCAGGGCCCCCCAGAATCATCACCTCCTCCCTACTTAACAAACAGTCCAGGTTTTGTAATGGCAAACATACACCCTGCATGACCATTCACCCCTGGACTCCCTGCAGCAGTGCCCCCACCACTAGTGAATGCCTTCTCATCCTCTCTTTCAATCACTCTCTTGAATGGTTCCCTAGTGGATACAAAACATTTTTTTCTCCAATGGGAAAATAGAACACAGGAAGCCACTCAGTTTGCTCCCAACACCCCTTTCCAGCCGCTCACTGGAGCTACCTTGGCAAGTACTCTAGGAGTATGGGAAAATGAAAACAAAAAACTCACACACCTTTTTAACATACATAACCAGTTCTGTCTACCCAGCCAAGGCATATCCTTCTTATGTGGAATGTCGACCTATATCTGCCTCCCCACTAACTGGACAGCCACCTGCACCTTAGTCTTTCTAAGTCCCAACATTAACATTACCCCAGGAAATCAGACCTTATCAGTACCCCTCAAAGCTCAATTCCGTCAGCTCAGAGCCATACAACTAATACCCCTACTTATAGGGTTAGGAATGGCTACTGCTACAGGAACCGGAATAGCCGGTTTATCTACTTCATTATCCTACTACCACACACTCTCAAAGGATTTCTCAGACAGTTTGCAAGAAATAATGAAATCTATTCTTACTTCATAATCCCAAATAGATTCTTTGGCAGCAGTGACTCTCCAAAACTGCCAAAGCCTAGACCTCCTCACTGCTGAGAAAGGAGGACTCTGCACCTTCTTAGGGGAGGAGTGTTGTTTTTACACTAACCAGTAGGGGATAGTACGAGATGCCACCCGGCATTTACAGGAAAAGGCTTCTGAAAGCAGACAACGCCTTTCAAATTCTTATACCAACCTCTGGAGTTGGGCAACATGGCTTCTCCCCTTCCTAGGTCCCATGGCAGCCAGCTGCTACTCGCTTTTGGGCCCCTTATTTTTATCCTTCTTGTCAAATTTGTTTCCTCTAGAATCGAGGCCATCAAGCTACAGATGGTCTTACAAATGGAACCCCAAATGAGTTCAACTAACAACTTCTACCGAGGACCCCGGACGAACCCACTGGCACTTCCCCTGGCCTAAAGAGTTCCCCTCCGGAGGACGCTACAACTGCAGAGCCCCTTCTTTGCCCCTATCCAGCAGGAAGTAGCTAGAGCAGTCATCAGCCAAATTCCCAACAGCAGTTGGGTTGTCCTGTTTAGAGGGGGGATTGAGAGGTGACAGCGTGCTGGCAGCCCTCACAGCCCTCACTCGCTCTCGGCGCCTCCTCAGCCTTAGCGCCCACTCGGACTACACTTGAGGAGCCCTTCAGCCTGCTGCTGCACTGTGGGAGCCCCTTTCTGGACTGGCCAAGGTTGGAGCCGGCTCCCTCAGCTTGCGGGGAGGTGTGGAGGGAGAGGTGCGGGCGGGAACTGGGGCTGCACACGGCACTTGCAGGCCAGCATGAGTTCCGGGTGGGCGTGGGCTCGGCAGGCCTCGCACTCGGAGTGGCCAGCTGGCCCCGCCAGCCCCAGGCAGTGAGGGGCTTAGCACCTGGGCCAGCAGCTGCTGTGCTCAATTTCTCACTGGGCCTTAGTTGCCTTCCCACAGGGCAGGGCTCAGGACCTGCAGTCTGCCATGCCTGAGCCTCCCCCGCCCCTGTGGGCTCCTGTGCGGCGTGAGCCTCCCCGACGAGTGCCGCCCCTGCTCCATGGCGCCCAGTACCATTGACCACCCAAGGGCTGAGGAGTGCAGGCACATGGCGCGGAACTGGCAGGACAGCTCCACCTGCGGCCCTGGTGCAGGATCCACCAGGTGAAGCCAGCTGGGCTCCTGAGTCTGGTGGGGACTTGGAGAACCTTTATGTCTAGCTAAGGGATTGTAAATACACCAATCAGCACTCTGTATCTAGCTCAAGGTTTGTAAAAACAACAATCAGCACCCTGTGTCTAGCTCAGGGTTTGTGAATGCACCGATCGACACTCTGTATCTAGCTAATCTAGTGGGGACGTGGAGAACTTTTGTGTCTAGCTCAGGAATTGTAAACGCACCAATCAGCACCCTGTCAAAACGGACCAATCAGCTCTCTGTAAAATGGACCAATTGGCTCTCTGTAAAATGGACTAATCAGCAGGATGTGGCTCTGGCCAGATAAGAGAATAAAAAAAGGCTGCCTGAGCCAACAGTGGCAACCCTCTTGGGTAGCCTTCCACACTGTGGAAGCTTTGTTCTTTCGCTCTTTGCAATAAATCTTGCTGCTGCTCACTCTTTTGGTCCACACTGCCTTTATGAGCTGTAACACTCACCGCGAAGGTCTACAGCTTCACTCCTGAAGCCAGCAAGACCATGAACCACCAGGAGGAAAAAACAACTCCAGACGCACCGCCTTAAGAGCTGTAACACTCACCGCCAAAGTCCGCAGCTTCACTCCTGAGCCAGCGAGACCACAAACCCACCAGAAGGAAGAAACTCCGAACACATCCAAACATCAGAAGGAACAAACTCCAGACACGCCGCCTTTAAGAACTGTAACACTCACCGTGAGGGTCCACGGCTTCATTCTTGAAGTCAGTGAGTCCAAGAACCCACCAATTCTGGACACAAAAGGGGTGGAGAGAGAGCTAGAGAGAGAAAGAATGAGAGTGAGGAAGACCACTTTGGGTATAACTGGTGAAGTTCCAGTAACTACAATATATACCACCACTCCATTTAACAGCAAGAGTTAACTTTAGTCATTTTAGATGATTTGGAATTCTGTCACTAGCTAAGGTCCAATAGGCCACTTAATAAACATTTCAGGCCATAGTAAGGATTATTGACTTTAAGTGTAGAGAAACTGCTGGAGGAATGGCCAGTTTACATTTCACTTCTGTGAAATCTTCCCTGACCTACACAAGGAAAAAAAAACACAGAGGACAGACCAAAGAAAAGAGAAAAAGGGGATCTAAGTATATAAAAAGGGAAACAAAAGATGAGAAAAGAAAAAAGAGAAGAAAAGCTTTCCCCTAGAGTCACAAGCCTGTATACTTTTATAACACTAATGTGACATGGACCAATACTTAGAAAACTTTTTTTTTCCTCTCTGCTTTTTAAGGAGGTTTCCACCTAAAACTGCTGAGTTATTTGTGATAACAGTAATGAGCTTGCTTAGTTAGGGAGCAATTAAATTGATCTACAAAATTATACAAACAGAGAGGAGATAACATGAGCAAGTTGTAATTAGTGTTTAAAAGGAAAAAAAAACATATTTTTAAATGGAATCAGATAGATCAGTAGACTGGGGGCTTCTGTAATATTTAGGACTTCAGGGGCTCTAGCAAAGGTAAGTGGATTTTAGGGTATTTGGTCCTGAGATGTGTGATGCAATTTATTTTGATACATATTTGAGAAATTTTAGTAAAGATATAAATTGCTTTTCAATGTTCTATAGACTTTAAACTGATGATGCTTGAATGTAACTTGGTGCTGACGCATGTCTCATGACAGCTCATCTGCTATAGCAACGGTATAGATGCTGGGTCAGAATGAATTGAAGTGGGTCCACTGATGATGAATCTCTTGAGAATAGATGTCAGATGCTGTGTCACCTATTTTCTCAATTCTTCCTCCCCTATATTATAGGTGCCTCAGTTCCCTCTTGCAGGCTCTGGTATATTCATAGGTATAGCCCCAACTATGACTTCTTTCAATAGGAATTTAAGAGACTCCCAAGGAATTCTTTATACTACGTGAGAGAGCTGCATACCAGCATATAATCTGTTCTCTATCTAGAATTTGCAGTTGCTTATGTAACTCATTACATCTTCCTCCTTGTGCACCTAATGACCTTTATGTCATAGTATTCTTCTAAGGAACTAGTGAAACTGTTGGTTGCTAGTATGTATGAAACCATAAACTAGAATGCATACATACAATAGCTGCCACAAAAGTACTTTCTGCAAGTAGTATATAAGATTTTAATTAGTATATAGTGAATGTATGCATTAAATGAGTTCTGGGCTCTGTGTTCTATTCTTTAATTTCAAGTTCTCAATTCTTAAAGAAATATATATTGCATTAATAATGAAGCCACTCTCATTTCAAGACAGCAGTTAAATTATTGGTTGATACAGTTTATTTTTTTGGCAACCACATTAGTTGTTCATCTCTTTTATAGTTGTGTTCTGTGGGTAGTTTTATAAAAGCATTTCACTTCACCTGAGTCTTGTAACTTTAATTTTAGCATATAAGTATGAGGTCCAACTTTCAGTTTGAAAGTTGGAAGAAGATTATTCCATAACTAGGAGAAAGAAAAAAAGCTTCACTCTAAATACTTAGAGAATTATTCTTCACAAGTTGAGACAGCCACACTTATCCAGAGTCTGTTATCTTCATTTGCGACAATGGTGACTACTCTCTCCCATGCACTTCCCAATCTTCATTCAAGGCACATATATCTTAGAGGGATGGTTCTAGCAGCAGCAGCTAACACATCTGGCATGAGTTCCAGTGACCCAACAGCAGCAAAGAAGAAATCTAGAATGGTTCCTTCTGCCTCATGTATAAATATATCTAAAAGGAAACTATCTTTTTAAAGAGTGTCCCTGAAAATACTCTCATCTCTGTCTACCCACAGGGTGACCCTCTGCTTCACCAGCATAGCAGTTATACTACCAGGATAAGGAAGAAAGTCTTTCATCAATGTTTAATAATGTACTCTTAAATAGCTTATTCTCATGCACCAACAGAGGGCCGAGAATTTGACAGCCAGAATACCAGCATCCCTCTCTCTTGTATAACTTGTTATGCCATTCAAAACGTACTTTCATTGATTCTCACCTTATGGCCCATAACTCTCTTGAGGTATAAGAAAAAAATTATAAAAATGAGTGGATTACCAAAGGTCAAAAAGTTCTAGAGATCTGCTGTACAAAATTGTGCTTCTAGTTAACAATATTGTATCATACACTTAATATTTGTTAATATAGATTGCATGTTATGTAGTTTTTAAAATCACAATAAACAAAAATGAGTGGCTTGTACAAAATAATATAATTAGTGACAGTAAAAAAAATAGAATGGACTACCCTGTTTCCTGGAAATACTTTACTTTTTAATTTATTACTAAAATTATTATATTTCGACTTTTTAGGTTTGGGGTACATGTGAAGGTTTATTACATAGGTAAACGTGTGTTACGGGTTTTGTTGTACATATTATTTCATCACCTAGGTATTAAGCCTAGTACCCAATAGTTATCTTTTCTGCTCCTCTTTTTTTCCTTCATTTATTTTTCCCTCCTTTCTCTCTCTTACTCTAACTCTCCCTTCCTTCTTTCTTACTTTTTTTTCTGCCTTTCTTACTTCTGTACTTTATTCCTTCCTCTGACTTGAAGTATGGCAGGTATTATTGTACCTTTATTTTTTTCCTCTCTGCTTTGTAAGGAGGTTTCCAGCTAAAAATAAAAGGCATTATTGTACCTGCCATACTTCAAGTCATTAATATATTTTCTCTTTATTCCAAACATTATATTTTAGAAAAAGGAAAACAAGCTACCATTCTACTTTGTCTTTATTCTGCCCTATTTCTTTTTTTATTTTAACATTTTTCTTTCTAAATGTCAATGTTTATCAGTGGAAGAGTCATTATAAAGACCTATTTCTTTGAAGAAAATAACAACAATAAGATTATATAACATTGTATTTAATGCAATATTTAATATCAGATTTTTAAAATATTAATATCACTTTTTAAATATTTTTCTTTTCCTATCAGTTTTATGGAACTAGGAACTACTGTCATTTACATTCTACAGATAAGGGAGCTTAGGCACTAAGATGTTTAGTAACCAGCCCAACATCACAAATTGATACAATTAGGAGTAGCCTAACTTCAGAGTTTGAACTTATTATAACTACTACTTTATGTATAAAATCTATTATTATTATAATTACATTAATAATACATTCACTCCATAAGAAAAAAAATTAAAAAAAAATAAAATACTGATTTTTTTCCCCATTCCAGACCTCTATTTCATTTTCACAGGTAACTATTCTGAGCTTTCTTGTGTGTTCTTCCAAATATTTATCAGGTATACATGTACATTCAAATAAATACACTAACATATGACATTTTAGAAAAAGTTCTATGTTCGGTGTAGCTCTACCTTATTTTTGTACACATACAAGCATGCTTACTCTGATATCTTTCATTTTTAATTCAATTTATTATTGAGAGCGCTCTATATTAGCATCCATTTTAAAAGCTTCAAACTATTACTTTATTTCCTAATGTATATTTACATTGTATAAGAAATTTTGGTATAACTTGAAACGTATATATTTGTGTATATTTTAAAGTTATTGCAGAATAATTACTAAAGGTTATATTATCGGATGAAAGAGTATGTGTGTAAATTTACATGCCCATTAGTACATTTATAATCATTTTTCTGTGTTCTGGCTAACACTGTGTGATATTAAGATTCTTCACACAAAACACTACAAATGCTTAAAATATTTTATGCAATATTTTGGTGCTTAAATGCATCAAAATATTTAAAATGTACCGCTCCAAAAGTAAGAAAGTGTCATGTGGAAAATTACCTTGACACAAAAGTAGCCTCCAAGTAAACTAGCGTGCAAGCTATGCCAACAATTGGGGAGCAAAAAGGTTCACAGATCAAATTGAATGACTTGAATCAATTTAAAGCAGACAGTGTAAAGCAAAGTGAAACAGATAAAATGAATTCAGACTTAGGATATGACGTAATTAGTTGAAAAGACAACACTACACTACTTGATCCCTGGAGTATGTAATGTTCACGTTCTCTCTCTGCTATGTAGGCCTCCCCCACTACAGTATGGATACAAGGACAAAAGTTTACATTTGAGTGTATTTTGGGCAGAGGACTCACGGGGCCATAACGGGTGTCACCAAATGTTGACTGAATTAAGACTACATGAATATTGAGTGTCTCATGTATATTTAGTATGTCATGCATATTTAATGCCCCAGGTGTCTCATGTATATTTAGTGCCTCATGAATATTGGGGAGGTATCACTGCATTCTTGCGTCCCTTTCTATATGCACAAATATCTACTTTATCTTTCTAACAAGCACCACAGTATACTCACTTACCTCTGCTTAGCACGTGAGTTATCCTATTCATTTTCCTTTTCCAGGACAGAACTGGATATTCTCAAATATAGAGAATGCACTTGACAGCAAAAAATCCCGTGGCGACTAAATGCAAAAGATGCTGAAAATTGAAGGAAATAATAAATAAGCAAAGGTCCAAGGTACTTTTATACACTGCTGGAGATCATATAAACGGACAGACTTTCTTAGAAAGTAACTTGGAAATGGCCGGGAGCGGTGGCTCATGCCTGTAATCCCAGCACTTTGGGAGGCCGAGGCAGGTGGATCACGAGGTCAGGAGATCGAGACGCTAATGCGGTGAAACCCCGTCTCTACTAAAAATACAAAACAATAGCCGGGCGTGGTGGCGGGGGCCTGTAGTCCCAGCTACTCCGGAAGCTGAGGCAGGAGAATGGCGTGAACCCGGGAGGTGGAGCTTGCAGTGAGACAAGATCACGCCACTGCACTCCAGCCCGGGTGAAAGAGAGAGACTCCGTCTCAAAAAAAAAAAAAAAAGAAAAAAGAAAGTAACTTGGAAATATGTATCAAAGTATTGAAACAATGCATATCAATTGAGATAAAATTTTTTATTCTAGAATTTTAGCTTATATGTAATATTCTATGAAAAAGATGAATAACACAAATATATCATTTCTAATAAAATTGAAAAAACAATGTGTGAGTACAGAATGGTAATTCTGTATTAAATATTGAATGTTACATTCAGTAAAATGAGGCAATTTAAAATGATATTAAAAATATTGATATATTAGCATCAAATCATAATTCTAACTTTAAAATTACATATAAGTTTTATAATTTTATTTTTGAAAGAATTTTTCAAATGATAAAAATGAAAGAGTAATTATATTCACGCTAAATACTAAACACTATAAAAATCAGCAATATATATTAAATAGATAATTAGATAAAAACCTTAAAATTTCTTACTGTCCTCATTCAATAAAAACAACAATTTGTAAACTTACATGAAGTTATTAAATGCTTCATGGCAAAAAGATGCAACAATTTCACAAGACTGAGGGGTGGGGGTGTGTGTGTGTTTGTCTCGAAGGAATAATTCAAAAGAGGAATAATTGTCCTATGTATTATTTCTACCTTTTCTTTCAAATTCATTACAAATTGAAAACTTCTAAGTTGCACACTTAAGCTTTTTAAAATATTCCAATGAAATCATAAAAAAATACTCTAGGGGGTGTAAGATTTCTTACCAAAAGTCAACTTGGACTAGACATTAAAGCAAATGTGAACTTTATATTCTTAAAAATTAGAAACACAATGATTGAAACTTTGCTAAATAATTCTGATTCAATTTAGTATGCTGTCAAAACAATAGGCCTCATAGGAAAAAAATCAAATAACTTTATGTGCTTAAACATATCTTCACTTAAAACCAATCCATTCAAGCTTCTAAAGCAAATTATTTGTATAAATTTACTTGTAATCAACTGGAATATATGCATAATAGTACAAAAATATCAGCATTTCTCTTTTTGTACAAAAATGTAACTGAAATTATTTTAATATTACTTTAAAAACTGTAGGAATTTAAACTAACTTACATTTTGATATAATTTTGACTGCTGTAAATTTGAAACATTACAAAAAATCATATATTCTACATTTGTGGAGTTGAGCAAAGATGTGGAAAAAAGACATAATTTTCCTGTAGTTTCTCTAAATTTAGTAATAATTAAATAATTATGTCAGAAAAAATAAACGATGCAATAATCTAAAATGTTATTTTGTGTTATTTTATTTATTTATTTATTTGAGGCAGGCTCTAGCTCTGTCACTCAGGCTGGAGTATATTGATGTAATCTTGGTTTTTTGCAGCCTCTGCCTCCTGAGCTCAAGGGATCCTCCCAACTCAGCCTCTTGAGTAGCTGGGACTACAAGCATGGGCCACTGTGCCCTGCTGAATTTTGTATTTTTTGGGGAGATAAAGTTTCACCATGTTGCCCAGGCTGGTCTCAGTCTCCTGGGCTCAAGGGATCCCCCCGTGTAGGCCTCTCAAAATTCTGGGATTACAAGAGTGAACCATCACACCTGGTCATGTTTTTAGTTATTTTAGTTTTTTTAATAAAACATACTAAGTCTATATAGTGTCATGTAAATGGATACAGAAAAACATATTTTTGTAACAGGACTTTGATAAATATTGACAAATTGTTTTAATGTAAAGTTATACGAATATGTACACTCCCAGCAGAATATGAGGATGTCAACGTCACTATCCTGGGGTTTGCACTGAACATTAGCCACCCCTAGAATCTTCTTGATGTTTTTAGAAAATCAATTTAGTTAGGAGAGGACCCAAACAATATTTCTATGTTCATTTTTTTTTGTATTTTCTCATTTTGTCATTTAGTCATTTTCATATAGAGTTGCTGTTTTCATTTTCCTTTATGATTTATGAGACAATTTAAATGTTAGGGATATCATATTTGAACACTTTATATAAAAGAAATATGCTCTGGAACTTCACACATTTTATTTATTTTATGTCAAAAATCAACTATTTAAATGTTTACATTTCTACTCATCTTTATATTACTTTTAATACTTTATACTTTTCCATTTTGTTATTAATACACGCAATTACAAAAAAGTAATTTTTTATTATCTCCTGTGCAAAGGTAAACCTGTTATAGTGTATTTTTGAATATTTTGAAACATTTCTAAGGATATAATAAACTGTAAATTAGAAGAATTTCTTACAGGTACATTGTGAGGTGTTTCAATAATTAAAATATATTACACAGTAATTGTCAAATGCTTCTGTAAATACAGTGCCACATTATCCCTTTAGTAAGATACACTCAATTATTAAATATGTCGCAGTCAATTTTTAAAAGTCCCCCCAAAATAACATTAACAAATGCTGAGAAAAGTATAGGGCATTTTAATATAAGGACTGTCTTACAAAATGGGCATTTTCTATCACAATGCTAGGGGCTTTCAGGGCCAAATTACAATTTCTGAATCTACTTTACACAAGTTTCTATTCTCTACTTGAATTAATTTAAAAATGTATTCCTTTCAACAAATGTTTTTGAGTACTCACTGTGTCCTTACACTGTGCATGTTGATGCGTCCTGCACCATAATTGATTTTAAGATATCATGGAAAAAAACACATGTGTCAAAGATTTACTTTTGCACATATTATTTATAGAATTATTGTAAAGCCTGACTAAATCTACAATAGGACAAAACAATTATGAACTGGAGAAATATCTCATGAGTTAAGGGACAGTTACAAAATAGCCTAATGTCATTAACTACTAATAACACAGACAATCAGAAAGGAGAAAGGAGGCTGTATGGCTGGAGTCCACTACAGATGTTTAGGGAAGAATGGGAAAGTAAGTGGAGTTACTAAGCACTGGAGTTACTCTATGAATGAAAGGGATTATTGGTCATGAGAATATTAAAACACCTATATTTTTAAAAATTATATGAGCAGGTTCATTGCAGGGTGCCAAACTGAAATAACGTTTAACCCAAAATTTGAAATAAAGATAATTTAAAAAGTCACTGTCTGAAATATTCACAAAATAAATGACAGTTGGTTATATTAATCATCTGTATAAATCTTCTCAGACATGTATACTTAAGAGATAATAACTGTCCGGGCACGGTGGCTCACGTCTATAATCCCAGCACTTTGAGAAGCCGAGGCAGGTGGATCATGTGAGGTCAGGAGTTCGAGACCATCCTGGCCAGCATGGTGAAACCCCATCTCTACTAAAAATACCAAAAAAATTAGCCGGGTGTGGTGGCACATGCCTGTAGTGCCAGCTACCTTGGAGGCTGAGGCAGGAGAATTTCTTGAACCCGGGATGCGGAGGTTACAGTGCGCCAAGATCATGCTGCTGTACTCCAGCCTGGGCAACAGAGCAAGACTCCATCTCAAAAAATAATAATAAAAACTAAGTAGCAGAGGATAATGGGGCTACCTAATCTTCATCACAATTTCTTAGTGCTTCTCTTAAAATTAAGACATTATAATGTCTTCAAGAATAAATACTTATAAGTTTTCATAACAAGAATATTAAAGAAATTTCTGCTAAAATAACCATTTAACTCCATTTAGAAGCTGTATCCTTGTCTTTGTCTACTTTCTATTGCTTATAATGGAATACCTGAAACTGTGTAATTTATAAAGAAAGGAAAATTGGGGTAATTCTGTGGGTTGATAGTAACGTCCTCTTTGACTTGATCGTGTAGTTGCTTTATAATATCACTGGTTTACATACTTAAGTTGTTTTTGTAGTGGCTGGTAACAGTCTTTTGTTTCCATGATTAGCACTTCCTTAAGGACCTCTTGTAAGTCAGGTCTCGTGGTACGGAAAACTCCTAGCATTTGCTTATCTGAAAAGGATTTTATTTCTCCTTTGCTTATGCAGCTTAGTTTGGCTGGATATGAAATTCTTAGTTGAAATTTTTTTTCCTTAATAATGCTGGATATAATTCTCCATTCTTTTCTGGCTTCTGGAGTTTCTCCTGCAAGATCTGCTGTTAGCTTTATAGAGTTCCCTTCCTACGTCACCTGCCTCTTCTTTCTGGCTGCTTTTAATATTTTTAAATTTTGTACTGATTTTTTAATTTTGTACGTATCATGGGGATGGTAGTCCTGTATAGAATGTCATAGAGATTCTCTGAATTTCCTGAATTTGAATGTCAGCCTCTTTAATGAGGTTGGGGGAATTATTGTGGACAATATAATCAAATATAGTTTCCAAGTTGCTTGCCCTCTCTCCTTCTCAGGGAGGCCAATAAGTCATAGGTTTGGTCTCTTTACATAATCCCATATTTCTCAGAGGTTTTGTTCATTTTTTAAGTTTTTTCTTCCTTATTGTCTGACTGTGTTGATTTGAACAACCAGCCTTTGAGCTCTGGGATTCATTCCTCTGCTTTCTCTATTCTGCTGTTAACACTTCTGATGGTATTTTGTAGTTCTTGTAGTGAGTTGTTCAGCTCTATCAGATCAGTTTGATTCTTTCTTAAAATGGCTATTTTGTCTTTCATGTATCATTTTACTGGATTGTTTAGATTGAGTTTCAATTTTCTCCTAAAACTTTATGAACACCATTACTATTCAGATTCTGAATTTAATGTCATTTCAGCCATTTCTGACTGGTTAAGAACCATTGCTGGGTGGCTAGTGTGATCATTTGGAAGAAAGAAGACACTCAGGATTTTTGAATTGCAGGAATTCTTGCACTGGTTCTTTCTCATTTATGTAGGCTAATATTTCTTTAATCTTTTGAAGTTTCTGTATTTTGGACGGGGCTTTTTACTTTTACAGTCTTTGATGCCCTTGAGGGTATCAAAGTTACCTTCAATAGTATAAGATAGGTTCAGTTAACTGGCTTTGTTTCTGGCACTTTCAGGGGGCCAAGGCTCAGCTCTCCACTCCTAGGCTGTGTGCTATAACCCTGGGGGACTGGGACAAGGCCCATGGCTTTTTCTCTTGCCCCTCAAGATTAAGCATCTGCTGCACTGGAGGGGCCAAGCTATTCCCAGTCCGCTGGCAACAACCCTTTGATGGGGAGTGCTAGTAAAAGCCTTTTGTTGGAGTCATGGCAGCAGTATCCATGCTTACCTGCATGTGCCAGCTACACCAGGATATCAGTGTGACAGTGTTTGTGCACACCAGTGGTGGTGACATGGTACAGTGCACATGCTTGCATGTGCTGGCATCTGTAGGGCAGAGACTTTGCCTGGTCCACAGGCATGCATGTGCAAGCATATTCAAATGTTTTGAGGACAGTATGTCAAAGAGATATCTATACTCCCATTTCCTTGAAGATTTATTCACCAATTTCTGGAATTAGCTTACCCAGCTCTGAATGGATAAAGAAAATGTGCTATATAAAAACAATGGAATACTACTATTCAGCCTTTAAAAAAAAAAAGAAATTTTGTCACTTGTGAATACAGGCATGAACCTGGAGGACATTATGTTAAGTGAAATAAGCCAGGCATAGAAAAACAAATACTACATGATCTCACTCATATGTGAAATGTAAAAAAAGTCAACCTCATAAACATACAGAGCAGAACATTGTTTCCCAAAGGGTGGTAGGCGGGTGAGGGGAAGATATTGGTCAAAGGACACAGAGCTTTAAACAGAAGGAATAAGATTGAGATCTAACGCACAGCATGTTGAGTATAGTTAAAAACAGTATATTGTATATTTCAAAATTGCTAAGATAGTAAATTTCAAATGTTTGTTATCATCACAAAAATAAGTGTTCATAGTATTAGGTAAGTTAATTAGCTTGATTTAATAATTCCACTTTGTATTCATCTGTCATAACAGCATGTTGTATGCACAAAATATATACAATTATAATTTGACAGTTTTCAACTCATAAAAATGTATTGGGAATGGATAGTAATGTTTCATATTAATGTCTCAACCATAATGAGAAGAAAAAGAAGGAACAGCAGAGAAACCTGAAGAGCACTAAGAGGCAGAGAATGAAAATAATTAAGAGAGATTGTCACTACAAATATGTATATGTGTGTGTGTATGTATATATATGTGTATATGTATATATGTATATATATGTGTATATGTGTATATGTATATATATGTATATGTATATATATGTATACATATATACATATATATACACACACACACACACACATATATATATTTTCCAAAAAGAGTCACTCTGAGAGTAAAAGGAAAAACTGAGTAACTACAGCAAGGTCATGGGCATAAATGGGTTTTATCCCAGTCTAGTCAGCAGTACATAAGGCTACTATTCTCTGAAGACACTAAGAAATTAAAATTAAAAAGGCAAAGAGAAAACCAACAGAAAATTTTAACATGCAATTTAGTAGCATCTGTAATATTATTGTAATATTGTAACAGGCGTGTGTGTGTATGTGTGCGTGTGTGTGCGTAACACAGAACAACCAGCAAGATCTGCGAGTTGGTTGCCGTTAGTTCTACCTGTTTTCTTTGTTTCTACCTCACCCTGAATAGTCCAGCCATGCTATTAATTCCAGCGTTTCCCATGAGGTGAGACTAGAGTATGCTTTCTGGGAAGCACCTTGGAATGCTAGAGAAGTCGGACATCTACCTCCAGTTCTCTTTTCCTACTCTAGAGTGGGCAGAGAATCTACTCTGTCTGTTGCTTTGCCAAATTGAGGGAGGAGCGACATGGTCTAAATGAGGCCGTTCCTCTTACCCTTCTAATGCAGTTTCTATTCGCCTCTGTGTTCCACATGTTGTCTCAGGCTCATTCCTAATTTTGTGGGTTTTCAAAAAGACATTCTTGCCTGTAGATACTTCCTAGTTAAATTTTCTGTGGGGGAGGGAGGACAGCCTGGGACCTCCTATTTCACCATGTTGCAGATGTCATCCCCAATCCCGAGACTTTGACTTTCTTCTATGCGCATCTGTCTCCCTAAATTATTATCTTATTCAGAGTTGTACCCTGAACTCTGTAATGTTATATTCATCTGCCTACTGGATGTAGCTACATGAAGGTTCCACAGAGGCCTCTTGAACTCAATTTCTCCAACTGAATATAAGATTTTCTTTCCTTCCTAAGCCAATCCTCATATTATATTCATTTATGTCAGTGAAAAGCATGATAATGCACCTTGAATTTCAGGCATCATCTTGGTCCTCCCTATCTCTTTTGCCATGTAATCAATCATAAGTCCTGTCAATTCTACCTTCTATGTAGCTTCCTAGTTTGCTGCTTTATTTATTTATTCATATTGGTCAAAGTAACTCACAAGGCAACACTATAAGCAGCTGAGTCAGAGATGTGGAATTGAATCCCTGTTCTACTGTTTACTAATTATATGAAGCACCTAATTACTCTGAGGTTCAGGTTTTCTGTTTTGTTCATATAGGATAGCAATAGTTCATACCTCACTCATGGGTGAGGTATGATCTGTTACTATACAAAGTGCTTGTAAAGCACTCCTCTTGGCATAGGCTTATTCAGCAAATGTTAACTATTCCTTTTACTATTGTTAAGTATTACTAATGCAAACCACTATCATCTTATGACTAGATCACTGCCACCATCCTTTAATAATGATTTTCCTAATTCCATTATTTTATTCACGTAGCCATTCTTTAGATTACAGAAAGAATAATATTTTAAAGACACAAATGTGAGCACATCAGTTCGCTGCCCAATGGCTACTCGTTAACTCGAGCATAACTTTCAAATCTCTTATCACTATGCCTAAGCACTTCTTAATACGTCTCCTGTTTATCATACTAGCTTTTTCTCCTGATTCTTTCTTTACCAAAAAGTTGAACTTGAATATACCTAAGAATTGCTAAAAGTATATTAAAACTGATCGAAGAATGCACCCACATATTTTAATTTAATAAACCTAGGTTGGCGATCGGAACTTTATATTTTAAGTTAATTCCAATCTCTCCATAGCCAACACCCAGAAGATTCTGCATAGGGAACATAACTTCAAAACCTTGATTTATGTTGCATTAAATTCACATTTTTTGGCCTCATGTTAATAGTCACTGTTTTTCCAAACCAAAAAAAAAGCAGTGGCCCGTTAACTTTCTTTTATCATAATCCAATGCAGAAAAGCAAACTTCAGATATTTATTTGGTCTTTTACATAGGTGTTACTACTGAGAAGATAATTCACTAAGAAGTCGAAAGTTACTTACATTCCTCACTCTGTATTAATACATCACCACACTAGCATATCAGTTTCTTATTAATTTTATTAGCATGAGTAAAACTTCCCTGAAATATGACTACTACCAGATGTAGTAATAAAACTGAGATAATTAGTATTTACAAATGAAGAGTAGATTCTGAAATAGAATATATCTCATGAAGTATAGCCTAAAAAGAGAATAAAACAAGTCTCTGGCAAGCTTGGCTTATTTTCAGCAACATCTTACATAAAATATAACCATTTCCTCTCCACATCCAGTGGTTTTCTAACTTTTATAATAAAAATGACATTTCTTTTTACTACAATACTCAGCCATTTAAGACATAAAGTTAAGAGAATTAATCTTGTTATTTTTATTCCTTTTACAAGAGTAATTCCTTGTGTGCTCTTGAGTTTCTTTTTTTTTTTTAATGTTTGTGGTCATTATCCCTCACGTCATAAGTAACTTGATAGCCAGGGGTGTGTATGTGTCTGTATTTATGTATGAGAGAGAGAGAGAAAGAGAGAGAGGGAAAATGTGTGTGTGATTACAAAAAAAAAACTCTTCTCAGTAAAATCAGTATGATTTTGCTTTTTCCCCCTATATTTGACAGGTATAAACATGAAGATAAGAATCATGATAGGCTATTGAATAGTTTATCTGTTTGTAGTTTCGCTTCAAATATATGACTCTAAATTCAGAATAGATACATCACTTGGTGTAGTTCAGATAATTGATTCATAAGCCAGCTACATCAGGCAGGTTTTTATGGTATCTTTATAAATAGGCCAGAGCTTTCAAATGCCTGATGGTATCTCTCATGCTGACATGAAAGGCATTTAGAGGTTGGAATATGCTACCAGTACAATTTGTATTCTAGATACAGTGCATGAGACCTATTAACTTTCTATAGTACAAGTAACAAAATATCACTGAAATAAATTGAATGGTATATAAGAAATGATTTGGCCGGGCTTGGTGGCTCACACTTGTAATCTCAGCACTTTGGGAGACCGAGGTGAGTGGATCACGAGGCCAGGAGATGGAGACCATCCTGGCCAACATGGTGAAACCTCGTCTCTACTAAAAATACAAAAATTAGCTGGGTGTGGTGGCGCATGCCTGTAATCTCAGCTACTCGAGAGGCTGAGGCACAGGAATCACTTGAACCCAGTAGGCGGAGGCTGCAGTGAGCCAAGGTCTCACCACTGCACTTCAGCCTGGTGACAGAGTGAGGCTTCGTCTCAAAAAAAAAAAAAAAAAAAAAAAAAAACTTTTATAATTGTATTTTAAAGAAACAATATGGAGTACTGACTTTTATGATAGGTGTTTAGAAATGAAGAGACAAGCAATTTTCAGATGCTTAAAACAAAAACGGAATAATAATAAAAAGGAGGATTAGAAAGGCCAGAAACATATCCACTGGTATGTATTGCTGAAGATCATTTCTCATCCAAGATAAGATGCAGATCTTATACTGCTAAAGGTGGTTTTCAATCGAGCCTCCCTTTGCAAAGCACATTCACTCAGTCTATGTTCATAATTCCAGATGCGCATGCACACACATCTTTTATTTGTAAAATTAGGTAAAGGATTAGGAATTTACATAGAGAGATATTTATTAAGCAGCTGTGATATACAAGATTCTGGGACAGAAGTAGTATATTAAACAAATTCATTTGGTAATTCTTACTAGGTCCTCTGAATCATTTGACTGTGAATATTTTTATATTGTTTACAACTACTGAGGCACAGGCACTTTCTAATACACACTATGCCACCATCTTCCCCATCACCTGTTGTCATATACATAAAGAACGTTTTAGCTCGCCTTGAAATATTTCTTTCTAGGTGTTTATCCCTAACTCCACTCTCTACAACAAAAGCATACACATAATCTCTATATCCTAGAAGATACCTATATCTATTTATTTATTAACTTCTCAGCAAATATTTATTGAGCACCTACTCTATGCTGAGTACTGAGGACATAGTGATGAGCAAGACAGACAATCTCATCCCAAGGCCTTCTAGTTTCTAGTGAAAATGACTGACATACTCCTACAGTTAAGAAATATGATGCTAGGGTGATGTCAGCAAGATGGCAGAATAAAAGGTCCTTATTGTCCCCCGCCCCCCAGCCCTCACAGAATGCCAATTTAACAACTATATACAGACCAGAATACTTCTGTGAGAACCACAGAATACAATTAAGAAGTTGCAGCAGCCCCAGAAATCACTGAACAGAGAATGCCTATGTTGAGATGAATAGGAGTAGTAGTTTGATTTTGTCTATGATGCCTCCTCCCCCGAGTCAGCATAGCTCAGTACCAAGAGAGGTGCTGTTGTTTCTTCATTTCCTCTCTGAAGAAAGGAGAGCACAAGGAGTATAGCCAATGTCATCAGCCTTTTGGGACACTTCCAGAGAGACCTCTTCTTGTCTTGTCTACCCCAGTATACTGAGGAATTTGTCATAGTTGGAACACCCAAGGGCAGCTAAAATGAAGAGGAGGAACAGGTGACTCTCAGCACCCTCTTTGTCTCCAGGAGTTGGCAAAGTCCCCGGCATCTACCCAGCTTCTAGCAGCTGCAGGATTTTCAGCAATCATTAAGATCACCAGCAATTCTCATGGCCTCCAACAGTCAAATGGCTCCCAAGAGCTGGCATGGATTGCAGCTGCTCTGTGCAGATTGCAGCTTTCCACACAGATCACAACTGATAAAAGGCCTGTAGCAAAAGGTGCAGCACCCAGAACCCAGCACAGATTATTGTTGTCTGTGTGGATCACAACAGCTGTGTGGCCCCAGAAACCAGGATGGCACCAGGCACTCTTTGCTGAATAAAGTAGAAGGCATAATTCCTAGGAGAAGGTACAAATCTTGGCAGATGGCACCAATCTTGGCAGACAGTGCAGGTCTGAAAAGCCAGCATGGCTCTGTGGGATTGGGACAAAGAAAACAATTCTGGTACTTTTATTTCACTATGGAAAGAAAATAGTGGAGCTTGCGCCTAATGTCCCAGCATTCCAACGCACAGTCCTTGGGAAAATGCAAGAGTGGCCCTCAATAACCAGCATGGCTCTGTGGGATGGGTAGAAGGTGCAAAATTTTAAGATTTTTTTCCACAAGGAAGGAAATGAGTGTAACATGCGCACATATAAAAAAAAATTGAGGCATTCCCAGAATCTGTAGTAAGGCTAATTAGTGAAGGTCTTTCCCTGCCAAAGCCAGTCTGCAAAGACCAGAAGAGGTGGCTGCTTTTTCACATGAGGAGACATGTAAAGCTACAAGAAACAAGAAAATACAAGGAAATATAATGCTACCAAATGAACAAAATAAATCTGCAGTAACCCTAAAGAAATGGAAAAATCCAAATTACCTGGAAAAAAAATCAGAATAATTGTCATAATATGTCCAGTGAGCTAAAGAAGACAGACAACTGAACAAAAATCAAGAAAAATATATAAAGGAAAAATTAGAATATCAGCAAAGAGATAGGAACCACAAAAAAGAACCAATAGAAATTCTGAAGCTGAAAATACAATGGCAGAACTGCAAAGTCCAATAGAGGCCTTCAAGAGCAGACTCAATGAAATAAAAAAAAAAATCAGCAAAATCAAAGATAGGTTATTCAAAATTATCCAGTCAGTGGAACAAATTGAGTGAAGAAAGCCTATGAGACTTATGGCACATCATCAAGTGAACCAATATATTCATTATGGAAGTCTGAGAAGGAGAATAGAAAGCAAAAAGGACAAAGAGCTTATTTCCAGATATATGATTGACATCTTCATAATTCTGGAAATGGGACATTCAGATTCAGATTCATAAGCCTCCAAAATTCAAATAAGATAAATTAATGGAGTCTATACTGGGTCATAAGATAACTAAATTGTCAAAAGTCAGAGTCTAAGAGAAAATTTTTAAAGAGCAAGATAAAAACACTTTGTCTGGTGCAAGAGAGTCCACCATAAGACTATCGGGAATTTCTCAAGGAAAAACCTTATAGGACGGAATGGAACAGGAAAACATTTAGGAAATTGAAAGAAAAAAAAATTGCTAACCCAGAATTCTGTAACTAGAAAAATTATCTTTTAAAAATGAAAGAGAAGTAAAAATCGTTCCTGGCAAATAAAAACTAAAAGAGTTGGTCACGATCAGACCTGCGTTATAAGAAATGATAGTGAATTTTTTGACTTGAAATGAAAGGACCCTAAATGACAAATAAACATGTATAAAAGTATAAAACTCAATAAAGAAATTTAAAGTAGAGAATGCTGTACATCTGTAATGATGGTATGCACGCCACTATTCATTTTAGTGTAAAAGTAAAAAAGACATTAAGGATAACCATAACTACAAAAAGTGTTAATGTATGCATAATATAAATAGATTTAAATTGTGACATTGACAACAAGAAGTGTGGGGAGAGGAAATATAAAAATGTAAGGTTTTGTATGTGATTGAAATTATCATCAGTTTAAGATAGACTATTATAACGAAGGGATGTTTTTGTAAGTCTCACAGTAATAAAACAACAACAACAAAATAGAAGATATAAAAGTCAAAAAGAGAAAAAATCAAAGAAATGTCTCTACAAAAAAATAATGAAATACAAAGGAAAGAGAGGAAAAAAGGAATAAAAAAACTACACAACAAAATAAAACACCGCTCCAGAGAAACCAGTGAATTGATGAATAAATCAAAATAGAAATCAAATAATATATTGAGAGAAATGAAAATAAAAACATGACATACTAAAACTTATATGATACAGCAAAACCAGTTGTAAGAGGGAAGTTTATTAATATCTACATTAAAAAAGAAGAAATAAAATAAACAACCTAGCTCTAGACATCAAGGAACTAGAAAACGAAGAACAAATTATACTCAACATTAGTGGAAGGATGGAAATAATAAAGGTAAGAGTAGAAGTAAATGAAATAGAGACTATAAAAACAAAATAAAAAATCAACAAAAGTGAAGGCTAATTTTTGAAAAAGATTAAATTAACAAATCTTTAGCTAAGCTAAGAAAAAAAGAGAGAAGACTCAAATAAAATCAGAAATAAAAGAGGAGACATTACACCTGATGCCAAAGAAATAAAAAAAATCAGAGATTACTAAGAACAAATATATGCCAACAAATTTGGTAACCTAAATGAAATGGATGAACTCATAGCTACCTACAATTTACTTAAACAAAGCTATGAAAAAATAGAAAATCTGAACAGACCAATAAGAAGTAAGGAGATTGCATTAGTAATTAACAAAATTACAACAAAGAAAAGCCCAGGACCTGTGGCCTCACTGCTGAATTTCCCCAAATATTTGAAGAATAATTAAAAAGAATTATCTTCAAACTCATTCAAAAAATTAAAGTGGTGGGAGCACTTTAAAACTTCACTTTTATTAGGGCAATGTTATCCTGATACCAAAGCCAAACAAGTTCACTTATAAAAAAGTAAAATTACAGTTCAATATTTCTGATGAACATAGGTACCTAAGTCTTTAAAATACTTCTACATCAAATTCAACAGCACTTTAAAAAGATCATATCACAATCAAGTGAGATTTATGCCTGGGATGCAAGGATGGTTCAGCTTATGCAAATCAATAAATGTGATACATCACATTAATAGAATGAAGGATAAACATATCATCATCTCAATAGAGGCAGAAAAAGCACTTGACATAATTTAACACCCTTTCACGTTAAATAAATTAGACTCTGAAAGGAATGTACCTGAACACTAAGAAGTCCACTTTTGAAAATCTCACAGCTAATGTTATACTCAGTGGTGAAAAGGCAAAAGCTTTTTCTTTAAGATAAGAAACAAGACAAGGATGCTCTCTCTCACCAATTATATTCATCATAGTAGTGGAAGTCCTAGTCAGAGCAATTTGGAACAAAGAAAAAAGAAATAAAAGGAATCTAAATTCAAATTAGAAAGAAATAAAATTATTAATGACATGATTGTATAAATAAGAATGAGGTGACTGTATACATAGGAAAGATGACATGATCATATACATAGAAAGATATATGATTATAGATGACATTATAGCATACATAAGAAACCCTAAAGACTGCACCCACACCAAGACACACACAGACACACACATACAAACTGCAAGAACTACTAAATTCAGTAAAGTTGCAAGACACAAAATCAACATACAAAAGTCAGTCGTGTTTCTGTATACTAACAATGAACTACCTGAAACAGAATTTAAGAAACAATTCTGTTTGCAATAGCATGAAAAATAACAAAATATTAATAAACTTAACCAAGGAGGTGAAAGTCTTATGCACTAAAAACTACAATACATTGATGGAAGAAATTACAAACACACACAAATAAGTGAAAAGTCTTCCAGTGTTTACTGACTGGAGAATTTAGTCTTATTTAAAAACATCCATACCACTGAAAGTAATCTGCAGATTGAAGGTTGTTCCCAAAAAAATCCCAATGGCATTTCTTACAGATATGGAAAAAAAAAAATCTAGGCTGGGTGTGGTGCCTCATGCCTGTAATCCCAGCACTTTAGGGGGCCGAGACAGGCAGATCACTTGAGGTCAGGAGTTCAGGACCAGTCTGGCCAACATGGTGAAACCTCTGTCTCTACTAAAAATACAAAACAGCTGGGTATGATGGAGGGTGCCTGTAATCCCAACTACTTAGGAAGCTGAGACAGGAAAATCGCTTGAGCCTGGGAGGAGGATGTTGCAGTGAGCTGAGATGGTGCCAATGCATTCCAGTCCAGGCCACAGAGAGAGATGCTGAAAAAAAAGGGGAGAGAGAGAGAAAAAAGAAAGAAAGAAAGAAAGAAAGAAAGAAAGAAAGAAAGAAAGAAAGAAAGAAAGAAAGAATTCTAAAATTCATATGGAACAACAAGAGACCCAGAATCACAAAGTGATCATGAGGGAAAAGAACAAAGCTACAGACATCACATTTCCTGATTTCACAATATATTACAAAGCTACACTAATTAAAACAGTGTGGTACTGAAATAAAAGCAGGGATATAGAATAAAAGCAGTGGAACATAATAGACAGCAGAGAAATAAAACCAGGTATTATACGGTCAACTTCAACAAGGGCACCAAGAATAAACAATAGGGAAAATACAGTTTCTTCAATAAACGGTCATGTAAAAACTGGATATCCACATTAAAATTCACAAAATTGAAGCCCTGTCTTGCATTATACACAAAAATTAACTTAAAGTGAATTAACGACAAATGTAAGAATTTATGTAAAATTCCTAGAAGAGGGCATAGGTGATACAATATGCTTTCATTATATTGGTCTCACTAATGGTTTCATGGATATGACATCAAAATCACCAGCAACAAAATAAAAATGGACAAGTAGGACTATACCAATCTAAGAAGTTTCTACACAGCAAAGAAAACATTCAACAGAATGAGAAGGCAACCCACAGAATAGAAGAAAATATTTGCCAATTATTTATCTGATACGGAGTTAATTTACAAAATACATAAGGAACTCCTACAATTCAATAGCAAATCAAACAAGGAAATAACTTTCTTTAAAATGGACAAAAGACTTGAAAAGACGTGTTTTCAAAGAAGATATTCGAATGACCAACAACTACATGAAAAGGTACTCAACATTCCCAATCATCAGGGACATGAAAACCAAACTACATTGAGATATCACCTCCTGCCTGTTAGGAGAGCTATTATTTTTTAAAAGACAACTCTTGGTGAGAATTTGGGCAAAATGAAATGCTTGTACACTCTTGGCTTGAATGTAAAATGGTTGAATCCCTATGAAGTTTCCTCAAAAATTAAGAATAGAATCACCATATTGTCATGCCACACCACTTCTGGGTATATATCCAAAAAAATTGAAATGTGAATCTCAAAGAGATATCTGCACTCCCATATCAGGGGGACCCACCCCCAATAATTCAACATGAGTCCTTTTCTATTTTCCCTAAGTGTCCCAGCCAGTCTGAGAAATAAAGGGAAAGAGTAAAAAGAGAGAAATTTTTAAAGCTGGGTTTCCGGGGGAGACATCACAAGTCGGCAGGTTCTGTGATGCCCCCCAAGCCGCAAAACCAGCAAGTTTTTATTAGTGATTTTCAAAAGGGGAGGGAGTGTACAAATAAGGTGTGGGTCACAGAGATCACATGCTTCACATGGTAATAAAATATTACAAGGCAAATGGAGGCAGGGTGAGATCACAGGACCGGGGCAAAATTAAAATTGCTAATGAAGTTTAAGGCATGCATTGTCATTGATAACATCTTATCAGGAGACAGGGTTTGAGAGCAGACAACCGGTCTGACCAAAATTTATTAGGTGGGAATTTCCTTGTCCTAATAGGCCTGGGAGCACTACAGAAGACCAGGGCTTATTTCATCCCTTATCTACAACCATAAAAGACAGACGTCCCCAGAGCAGCCATTTTAGGGGTCTCCCCCTAGGAACACATTCTCTTTCTCCGGGATGTTCCTTGCTGAGAAAAAGAATTCAGTGATATTTCTCCTATTTGCTTTTGAAAGAAGAGAAATATGGCTCTGTTCCACCCAGCTCTTAGGCAGTCAGACCTAATGGTTATCTCCCTTGTTCCCTGAACATCACTGTTATCCTGTCCTTTTATCAAGGTGCCCAGATTTCATATTGTTTAAACAATTTGTGAAGTTAACGTAATCATCACAGGGTCCTGAGGCGACATACCCTCAGCTTATGAAGATGACAGGATTAAGAGATTAAAGACAGGCATAGGAAATCACAAGAATACTGACTGGGGAAGTGATAAGTGTCCATGAAATCTTCTCAATTTATGTTTGGAGATTGCAGTAAAGACAGGCGTAAGAAATTATTAAAGTATTAATTTGGGGAACTAATAAATGTCCATGACATCTTCACAATTTATATTCTTCTGCCATGGCTTCAGCCAGTCCCTCCATTCAGGGTCCCTGACTTCCCACAACACTCCCATATTCATTGGAGCACTACTCAAAATAGCCAAGATACAGAAACAAACCAATCCATCAGCAGACAAATGGGTAAAGAAAATATGGTATGTATACACATTTTAAGACTGAATATCATTCAGTCTTAAAAAAAGAAAATGTTTTTTATTTGTGACAACATGGATGGATCTTGAAGACATTATGCTATGTAAGATAAGTCAGTCACAGAGGGAAAAATATGGCATAATTTCACTTATATGAGGTAACTAAACTAGCCAAACTTATAGAAGGAGAAAAAGGAACGGTGTTGCCAGGGGATGGGAGGAGAGGGAAATGGGTTCAGTGGGCATCAAGTTACAGTTTAATGAGATGAAAAATCTCTACCGTAAAACAAAGTACCTATAGTTAACACTAAAGTGTGATGTACTTAAAAACATATTAAGAGGGTAGTTCTCATGTTAAGTCTATTTGCATTTTCATTTAAGCTGTTATTTTATGTGCTGACAATTAATTGAAAAACTCTACTACTTTTCTTCTTTTCATGTCATTATCAGTGTGCCCCACTGGGCATGTTTCTATTTCTTCTTCAAAGTTTTGCTTTACAAAGTTTTAATCACTCAAGAAAATTATTTTTTCTGATCTCCTGCAATTTAATCCAACTTTAAGAACCCATCTCAAATTACATATGAAATAATTATATGCATATTTCACTAAATTATTTAATGGTAAATTCAATTTCCTAAGATAATTGTAGAAGATAAAATATTGCAAACTGTTTTCAACTCTTTCAATTTTTCTACAATGGAAACACCAGACCACACAGAAAATAGACACTTTGATAAATATTTATTTATTCACTCTTCTCGCAACAAATGGTTTAAGTATTTTTGTGTGCCAAAAACTATTCTAGAAAAAGAAATATATAGTTAGATAATAATTTAAAAAACCTCTTTCATCATAGATTTTATATCTTTGTGGGAAGAGACAAACAAGAGATCCATAAATATTTTAATAAATAAACTAGATGTCAGGTAGTGATAAGCAAGACATTATACAACAAATAATGATGAACAGTGATTCTTGAGAAAAGAACAAATGAGCTAAGCCATAAGCATAGCCCAGTTTACTGTCTATAGAAAATTTCCAGACTTTGGCACATGCAGGGGAAATCCAGACACAATTTGGAAGTCTCCCTGAATGAAGGAGATGGAGCTGAGACATGGCTGGTGTTTGTAGAGTAGCAATGTAAAGAAGAGATAGCTGTAATGAAAGAGAATTCTAGAGAACTTCACAGAGTAATCTCAGAGTCCAGTTGAATACTAATCAGGGCATGGATATGAAGAAACTCTCTGAAACCAGAAAAAGTGCAACCCGAAAGGATTAGGCAGACCAGCTCTACATGTTTGGGAATAGTGCCTTTCCCAATAGGAAGAATAGAAAACCTCCTAATTCACTGGGCATCAACTAATGTCATCCCTCAGTAGTGCAGAAAATTAACTCTTAACTAAATGCTATTCTGGACTTGCCTAACAAAGTTAAAAGCAATAACCAAAATGATCAAACTGATTCTATGTACATAGTTGCTTATTGTTCTGTGGATTTTTTTTTTCAAATATCTTGAACACTTCACTCCTGACTTCCTTCACATCTTTGCTCACAAGTTATCATGTCAAAAGGCTCTACCTAACTTGTGTTTAAAGCAGCCATACCTCTCTCTCCCACTCCTACCATGCCTATCCTTCTTGCATGATTAATTTTCCTCTATAATCCCTAGACACTCATCATTTTCTAACATCCTGTGTAATTCACATGTTTTGTTTATCATTGTGTCTTTCCACTAAAATATAAACTTTATGGGAGTATGGAGTTTTACATGTTGTTTACTTCTCTCTCCTCGAATTTTAGAATAAAGCCCTGATCTATAATAGACTGTCAATAAACATCATTGCTTGATTTGATTTTGAAGTATGTGTTCTATGTTTACAAGAGGAAAGATAGATAAAAATAAAAAGAACACACCACACTAATAATATTCAATACCCTGGGAATCATTTGAAGATGATGTAAGTTCTTTATTTTTGTCCTTTATAACTTTTATATTATTTTCCAACACTTATTAACAGCATGTATCTCTGTGATAACATTATAATAAAACTATTTATTAAAGATAATAATACAGTGTCTGTGGTATAATATACACTTTCATGTTATTCAATAAGTATACTACTGGCTCCAACTATGTGCCAGACACTGTGCTAAGGTCCCTGAGAGATGGCATTGAACAAAAATCAAAGATACACTGGTTTTTTGGAGGTTGGAGTAATATAATATGGATATACTCACCGCATAATAATTGCAATATTTTTTATTGTTTATACCCAATACTTTAAATGTTACATTTGTGTTTATTAAAGAAAATGTCAAACTGACTTTCAAATTACCTGGAAGGGGCACAAAGAAGTTTCTGGGATGTTAGAAATGTTCTATTTCATGATTTGTTGACTGTTTTATAGGTTTAGACATTTGTTAAAACTTACAAAACAGTACACTTAAAATATACATATTGTCGTATGTAGGTGATCTTAATGAAAAATACAAAGCTATATATTCTTTCCTCAATTATAACACATGCTATTCTAGAAAATTTGAATGAAGAAATCCATTTTTTAAATAAATAATTAACAAAGCCTGTTAATGAGATTTAGGATTTGATTTAGATTGGAAGATAAAGATTTAAAAGATCTTAATAAACATAAGTTTGGAAGTAATTTTTATAATTCATGTAAGATTCTTGAGCATACAATTCAGCATAATAAACACATTTATAAATAGGAAGTAATTGTTATTATCCTTTGATTACAAAAATATTTCATGATCATGTACAGAAAATTTTGGAAAGCACAGAAAGAAAATCATCTAAAGGCTAATAATCTTTTGGCATATTCCTTTGCAAAGATTTTTCTAGATACATTTATGCATAAATGAAATCACATGGCCTATATTTTTGTATCATGTTTTCATGTTTATAATTATAAATAAAACAGGCATATTCCCATGTGTTGGAAAAAGCTGAATGTTGGGAGGGAAACTGAGGCAAGGCTTGCATACTGTCCTCTGAAATGTGTCTAGACTTGCTGGCTCCTTGCTTCTAGCCCTCCTAGGCTCCTATTTCCATTACCTCAAGTAGCAAAACATGTTCCATATAAATGCTAAACCGTCACAGCTGTAAATCATGTGCTTAATGCAACCTGCCCTTTTGACCTCCACATTCTCAGCACCTGTTTCTTTGTTGGATTACCAATAGAGCATGGGCTCCCAGAGCTCGGGGCCTTCGCAGCCTCTGTACAATAGTGATGGCCCCCTAATGTCCCACCTTTTTTCTCTCTTTTTCTCAATCCTTTGACTCTGCCCAACTTTGTCACCCCCACGACCTGGTGTTGGGTCTGATCACCCCAACATTCCTGGCTGCCCAATGTGGGGCGACAAAGACCCCAGTGAAGGAACACTAGAGCATGTGAAAGCAGAGGACGCATCGTCAAATGAGATAAGTCAGTCACATAGAGGAAAAATATGACACAATTTCACTTATATGAGGTATCTAAAATAGACAAACTTGGAGAAAAAGGAACCATATTGTCATGCCACACCACTCCTGGGTATATACCCAAAAAAATTGAAACATGAATCTCGGAAATATCTTCACTCCTGAAAGAAGCTCAGCAGGAAAGCTAAGCACTTGAAGAACCAGGGTAACAATGGGACAAAGTGAAAGCAGACATTCTACTTAACTTAAATTTAAGGCATTTATTATGAAGAGGGGGAGTGAAAGTACTCAAAACTTATCACTCTTCAGTGCAGTAAAGCAGTTTTGTCCATGGTTCCCAGAACAAGGGACTATGGAGTTGGATGAATGGGAGAGAATTGGCAGACATTTTTTAAAAAAGCATATAAAGATGGGGCAAAAATTCCAGTCTGGGTTTGGTCAATGTGGGTGCTAATAAAAGTAGCTCTTGAGCCATTTCAAACAGATGACGAGGCAGATTTAGATGAGGAAGAGGACGAGTGTAAAAAACTACAGATTCTGAATGTGACGAACAGGAAACTCAAAGAAAGGGAAATAAAGTATGTTTTAACTAGCCTGTCGGCTCCACCTGCTGAATTAAGTGAAACCCCACCTCCTCTCTCTCCCCTTAATGGGCAAGAAGATGAATTAGCCACAAAACATACTGCTCCCGTAGTTGCAACATTAAAACCTGGAGCAATTGGTGGTCCTATACAAAATTCTATTCAAAAGGCTAGAGCGAAGGAAGACTTTGAAGCATGGCAATTTCCCCTAACTATAATCCAACAGGGAGGACAGCAAACGTCCTTCCGCTGTCTTTCCAAAATCCATCTACAAAGGAGAAAGTGATATACAAGTCATTGAAGAAAAAAGTTTACCTTATTCCTTTAAAAGACAGGGTAAATTTAAAACCTATAACTGATAATTGAAGGTCTTCTCCATGACCCTATAAACACTCCAATACTACCTTGTTAGTGTAAACAAGGGCGTAGCCTGAAAGCACTGAGACCACTGACAACCAGTAGCCTTCCTATCAAAAATCCTTAACCCCATAACCTGCGGATGGCCCAAATGCATTCATCGGTAGCAGCAACTGCTTTGATAATAGAAGTAGAAAAATAACTTTTAGAAGAAACCTCACTGTGAGCACACCTCACTAGTTCAGAGCTATCCTAAGTAAAAAAGCAAAAAGTTAGCTTACTAACTCAAAGTATGAGGCTATTCTGTTAGGAAATGGTGATTTAACATTAACCACTGAAAATTCCCTTAACCCAGCAGGTTTCCTAATGAGGGATTTAAATCGTAATTACCATGCAAATGTCCACCAGACCTAGGAGGAACTCCCTTCAGGACAGGACAGATGGTTCCTCCCAAGTGATTCAGGGGAAAAACACAATGGGTATTCAGTAATTGATAGAGAGACTTGTAGAAGCAGAGTTAGAAAAATTGCTTAATAGTTGGTCTACTCAAATGTTCGAGCTGTTTGCACTCAGCCTAAGCCTTAAAGTACTTACAGAATCAAAAAACTGTATCTCAATCCTAACTCAAATGTTACCTGCACCCTCTCTGAAACGTATTTGCATAAGAACTGTTTACAGGAATGCATCTTGATAGGGCAGCTGGGTTGTTATGAAATACTTAGGAACCCAGCCCAGCTCTAGAACTCACCCCTGAGCGCAAAGGCAATGTCAGACACGCTGGTAAAGGACCACTAGAATCCAGCAGCCCAGACCCCTTTCTTTGTGGTCCAGAAATGCAGGAAAACGGGTGCAGGACTGCTACAGCGGTGAGCATAACTAATCCGATAAGCAGAGGTCCATGGGTGGTTACGCACCCTGGAAAGGAATAAGCGTTAGGACCCTCGAGGACACTCTAGGACTAATGCTCATCGGAAAATGACTAGGGGTGCTGGCATCCCTATGTTATTCTTTTCAGATTGGAAACATTCCCCCCAAGGCAAAAACGCCCCTAAGATGTATTCTGGAGAATTCGGCCCTGTCAGAGTGTATGTACCTTTTTCCCTCTCAGACTTGAAGCAAATTAAAATAGACCCAGGCAAATTCTCAGATAACCCTGATGGATATACTGATGTTTTATAAGGGTTAGGACAATCTTTTGATCTGACATGGAGACATAGAATGTTACTGCTAGATCAGACACTCCAAATGAAAGAAGTGCTGCCATAACTGCAGCCCCAGAATTTGGCAATCTCTGGTATCTCAGTCAGGTCAATGATAGGATGACAACAGAGGAAAGAGAACAATTCCCCACAGGCCAGCAAGCAATTCCCAGTGTAGACACTCATTGGGATGCAGAATCAGAACCGGGAGATTGGTGCCGCAGACATTTGCTAACTTGTGTGCTAGAAGGACTAAGGAAAACTAGAAAGAAGCCTATAAATTATTCAATGATGTCCACTATAACACAGGAAAGGAGGAAAATCCTACTGTCTTTCTGGAGAGACAAAGGGAGGCATTGAGGAAGCATACCTCTGTTACTTGCCTCTATTGAAGGCCAGCTAATCTTAAAGTTTATCACTGGGTCAGCTGCAGACATTAGAAAAAGCTTCAAAAGTCCACCTTAGGCCCAGAGCAAAACTTAGAAACCCTATTGAACTTGGCAACCTCAGTTTTTTACAATAGAGATCAGGAGAAACAGGCAAAATGGGACAAATGGGGGGAAAAAAAGCCACCGCTTTAGTCATGACCCTCAGGCAAGTGGACTTGGGAGGCTCTGGAAAAGGGAAAGGCTGGGAAAATCGAATACCTAAAAGGGCTTAGCTTCCAGTGCGGTCTGCAAGGACAATTTAAAAATGATTTTCTGAATAGAAATAAGCCACCCCCTTGTCCATGCCCTTCATGTCAAGGGAATCACTGGAAGGCCCACTGCCCCAGGGGGGCAAAAGTCCTCTAAGTCAGAAACCACTAACCAGATGATCCAGCAGCAGGACTGAGGGTGCCCAGGGCAAACACCAGCCCATGCCGTCACTCTCCCAGAGCCCCGGGTATGCTTGACCATTGAGGCCAGGAGGTTAACTGTCTCCTGGACACTGGTGCGGGCTTCTCAGTCTTACTCTCCTGTCCCGGATAACTGTCCTCCAGATCTGTCACTATCTGAGGGTTCCTGGGACAGGCAGTCACTAGATACTTCTCCCAGCCACTAAGTTGTGACTGGGGAACTTTAGTCTTTTCACATGCCTTTCTAATTATGCCTGAAAGCCCCACTCCTTGGTTAGGGAGAGACATCCTAGCAAAAGCAGGGGCCATTATACACTAGAATTAGGAGAAGGAAAAAGGGTAAATATATATACAGACTCTAAGTATGCTTACCTAGTCCTCCATGCCCACGCAGCAATATGGAGAGAAAGGGAATTCCTAACTTCCGAGGGAACACCTATCAAACATCAGGAAGCCATTAGGCCCCAAAATTCTCCTTGCCTCTGAGTCTACTTCCTCCAATTGCTGCCTAAAGCTAATTTTATCGGGAAGAGGATTTGCTTGTGTCTCTTCAGGTGACAATCAGGTGCCTGTGTGGGTGCCCACCACATCTGAAGATCACGAGCCATAGCATCTAGTGGACCCACCTGTACAGTGTGAATTGAAGGTTTGAAAAGCCTCAATTTGCTTTCTCTGTGCCTTCTGTTAATCAGAAAAGGCCGGTTTCTCATTATCAGTGACCTCTCAGCTACAACCACAAAAGTTTTTGCTTCTGTTTCAGTAGTAGATTTACAAACATGGGGGTGTGAGGGTACGCTTTTGTTTTTGCAGGAGATGAACAAACTGTATGAATGCCCTCAAGATGTGTATCAACCATGGAACGGGAGACTGGAGGGACCCATGGATCCCAACCATGGACCGGGTTCCCCCAGTACGAGCCATGAGCCAGCTGAATCTGAATGCGAAGATGGAACAAGGACCGACTGGAGTCACGATGCTTAACAGACCAGTGCTTTCTGACTCAGCTCCTCTCTAACCTGAATAAAGAGACCCTAATAGTTAGGCAGGAATATCATTGCCCCTATTCAGCATGAAGAAGTTACAGAAGATGGACCTTCATCCTTCTGCAACCCCTAGGATTAAGGGTTCTCTTGTAAAGGGAAAGGGGAGGTATGTGGGAAGCATTCAAACCAGAGGGACTCCTGTTTGAATAAGGGCTAAGAAAAATGAAGCTGGGTCACCAACCGGCAATTAAGGGCTGCACAGCCTGCAATCGCCTTGCTTATGATAGCTAGTAATGATAGTAATAATGATACCTTCTCTTTTACAAAAAGAAGGCAGGGGCATGTTGGGAAAAAGCTGAGTGTTGGGAGGGAGACTGAAGCAGGGCTTGCATAATGTCCTCGGGAAATGTGTCTAGACTTGCTTCTTGCTTCTAGCCCTCCTAGGCTCCTAGGCTCCTATTTCCATTATCTCAAGTAGCAGAACATGTTACATATAATGCTAAACCATCACAGTTGTAAATCATGTGCTTAATGCAACCTGCCCTTTTGACCTCCACATTCTCACCACCTGTTTCTTTGTTGGATTACCAATAAATAGTGTGGGCTCCCAGAGCTCGGTGCCTTCGCAGCCCTACGTACGCTAGTAATGGCCCCTGGTGTCCCACCTTTTTCTTTCTCTCAATCCAATCCTTTGACTCCACTGGACTTTGTCACCCCCATGACCTGGTGCTGGGTCTGATCACCCCAACACCATAAAATCTCCAAAAACACCTGTAGAAGTGATTTTAATTTTGTATATACTTTTCAGTAGCATTGAAGTATGATGTGGGGACAGCCATTTAGAGCCTGTTATATTTATGACTCTCAGCTAAGAGTCTGAGTCTGTATTCTGGAGAATTCGGCCCTGTCAATAACTGACCTTTGACCTAGATTAACCCTTTCATCTATATTGAGATATGTAAATGATTAAACTATGTAAAATAACAGCAATATCACCTTTGCAGGGTGCTTGTGTGTATTTATATAAAATATATTTAAGTCAGTGCTTTTCTGATTAGCCATAACCTAGATTTCTAGAAGTGTCAGGATCACTGCTGATAGTATCACACATATTATTCTATATATACAACTGAAACAGGAAAAGTGCCCTTGTCCCTCTCACAGGGCATGAGACAGGGGGAGTGGCTTGCTTCTTCAGTGCCATGCTGCTAAACCTCCAGGGGGACCCTACAGACAGGCAGGTTGTGGGGCTCTGACACCAGGGCAGCATCTAGGGGAGAATGTTTACAGCTCCTGAAGCCCCAGCAGGCGTGTGTTACCATGTGATCTTTTAGTTTTGCCATCTGTAGGTGGCTTGTGTTAACCAGCTCAACTAGACTCTCTGCCTTATCGCAAGGACAAAGGGCTTTCCGTATCCCAGGGTTCTTGCCTTGGTGTGCCTGAAGAATTGGATGACACGTGGGCTTGGAGAATGAGTGCAAAGTTTTTTACTGAATGGTGGAAGTAGCTCTTAGCAAATGGATGGGGAGCCAGAAGGGGAGTGGAAGGATATCCCCTGGAATTGGGCCACTCAGCAGCCAGACTCTCCTCCGACCACCCCCATCAAACTTCATGTGGTTTCTCTGGTGGATGGCTTGCTGGGGTCAGCTGGTGCCTGTCCGTGTGCTCTTATGCTAGTGCGTTCCTCTACACGTCCGGTCACTTGCATCTTCTTCCGCTGGTGTATCCCTCTCAGCGTCCAGCCGCTTGTGTGGTTTTTATAGGTGCAGGATGGGGGTGTGGTAGGCCAGAGTGATCTTGGGAAATGCAACATTTGGGCACGAGGGCAAGTCCCTGTCCTCACCTAAGTCCGTGTGCACAGGCCCGGGGTACAGCCCTCGCTAGGGACCCGCCCTTCTCCTCACAGCACTTCCCTGACCCGCTTCCGTACCACAACCAAGCTTATCACTATTTCTTTTACATTATAGCCTTCTAGTTTCTAAATGATTAATTTATTTTTGGGTTTGGATCTTTAAAAATCTTAGCAAAAGTAATTGAGTATATTTTTTTCAGAGCACTTGGACATCTACACGTATTTTCTTCATTTTTCAAACAGAATTTATCTGTCTTTATAACTAGAGTTTTACAAAAGTTTCCCTTGAAACACTTTAGACTTTCCTTAACTTCTTATATAGTTTGCCAAGAAAATAAAGCCATTTTTGAATTATTTCCATTGTTTTTTAACCTACTTCTTCCGAGAGAATATTATTTTTTGTGTGTGAAACACATTGAATTGTATTTGATATGTAGAAGTTTATCTTCCTTCCTCCCAGAATAGAAATTGTTTCTGCTGTGGATTTTTGAGTTCTATATTCCAGAAACATGAAGTATTATAGATTAGATTCTAATATTTACACCTATAATATTTATGTATATCCATGGTATGCTTTTTGTACATGTTTTTCATTAATTTGTCCTTTGTGTTCTTAAAAATCTTCTCAGGTTTTACACCTATATCTTTTACCAATTGGTAGTGTCAGTTCAATTCTTCACTGCCTAAAATGCAAATTCTAAAGTCTGATCTGGACTTTCTATTATATCTTCTATTTTAAAAATTAGGTATGTAATTTCTCATTTTATATTAATATTTATGTTCTTTTTCCTGAGGAATATTTTTGAACCCATTCCTATTTATGCATGTGTGTGTAAAGGATTTGTTTATGTTTCTTGATCTTCTTTAAAGGAAAGATATTCTATGGTCTGGTTTGCTGACACATGGTACACCTATTTTATCTGTATCTTCATTATTCTTTCAATCATTATTTTTGGAAGGGGATAATGTAGCTCTGTCTAATCTCATACTACAAATCTGTTTGCTGTACCTGTTTCAGCATAATCTCTATGTGTAACCAGAATTGAATTACTTTGTTAGTGTTTTATTGAGGTGGAAGGTGGTTCCCAAATTGACCATCCTCTCGTTAGTGGAAAGAAAAGACACAGATTGCGGGTTTCCTTTTCTTTTTTTACTCAAGTGCTTTACATGAGTGATTATAACAAAAGCTGTTTGAGATCCTGCCCCAACATTTCCAACAACTGAATCTACATTTCCTGTGTTTGCCTTTAGTCATGAGCACTACACAGGCTAAGATAATTTGCCACTCCCACTTCTTGTATTCCTTTAGCCATGAATGTTTGAAGAAAGATAGAGTTGCTAGTGGTGGGTCCTGAGTGATAGAAGAGTTTTAAAAACTATACCCGTGTAGGGGAAGGACATCTGGCCAGTTTTCTGGTTGTGCAAAGCTTGTGTGCAAGCTGGGACTTAAGAATAAGTTAAAATATTGTAGCTACCTGTTACCAGATGAATTATGCATTTTCAGTTTGAAGGTGGCACAAACATAGGCTATGATTTTATTTATCATTTTAATTCTCAATAGTAAAACATTGAATTTCTGTTAACATGATTTCTGTTACATGAACTTTCATTCCAATTGTAAATTGTCATTATTCAAATTAAAAACTAGAATTTTAACAGAAAATTATAAAATGGTGGATTCCATTCTCATAACTAGTCACTGTCTCAATTAAGCCCCTGTGATTAAAAAAATACTACTATGTATACAATATTGATTTTTAGTGGATATCAGTTACTAGTGGATGTGTAAATATAAAATAAATTTATTGAAGCCATTTTTATGCTTTCCTTACAGAAGAAATTCTATTTATTTGAAGATATTCAATGAGAGCATCATTGATCAAAGATCACTACTATTTTTTTAAATCATTTTTTGTCAACACAGTTTTGTGAAGGTTCTCTAGTAGGGGACTGACACAGAAGTGTTACTCAAAGAAAAATAATAATAAAGTAATATACACAATTACGGCTCTATACCTGACAGTTTACAATATTGAATAACACAAACTATTGTATTTATGTTTTAAAATGAAAAATGTAGAAGTTATTTTTTCAAAAATCATTTTCTCATTTTTAGTAGTTTCTTAGTTACATGCTATTCACTGTTATAAGATGCCCAAAGAGTTGAAAAGACCCTTGAGTTATTTTCTTTCCCATCTCCACATCTCCACATGCATTCACACAGCTATCAGAAAAGGAAGCCCACAGTCATCTTAAATTCCACCTCACTGCACTATAGTCCTCACTTTCAGGAATATTTTTCTTAAAATAATCTGAATTTCACAAGTCACAATTTAAGCCCATTTTATGCAGTCTATAGTGAATATACATCTATTTTTGAAGATGGTTTTATCAAATTGTTTTTCCTTTTGACACAAAATCCTCCATTTATAAACCTTTATTCACGTTTACTTTTCTAACATTTCATACATGACTACTAATTCTTCTCGCAATTCTGATGTTTGCTGAGAACAACAGGAAAATTACCTCATAATATTTCAATTATATTCCTCTTTCTTCTAAACTATTCACTCACATGTTTCGGTCATGCCCACTCAAGTAATTATCATGCTAAATTACTGAGCTCCTACTCATTTTTTTGTAATTTCAAATCAATTGCTATAATATTTGTATATATCCACTTATTCCCCATTTTATAATTGCACTTTTTTCTTTCTGTCCTAAAGGAACCCATCTGGGAATTTACCTTTTTCCAAGTTTATGATTTTGAATGTAACATTTCTCACATCTGATCATACTTCTTTCTTCTCTTATTTTGCTATCTCTGTTCTTTCTCTGCCTTTAATTCACTTCATATTTTGTATTCTTTCTGAGAGATTAAGTTCATATAAAGAACCACTATTTTACCTAAGAATATGTGTACACATGTTTCTGTCTTAGTCTGCAAACAAATAACTGTAATAATATGTTTATTTAAAAATTACTTCATTAATAATGATCTAATTCCATAATGCTATACTATTTTTAAGCAGGTTAATGAGCTATGTACTGTGGAAAACAAACTTTGCATGACATACAGACTTATTTCACTGAAGGCTTCAAAATCTTCTGATCAAATCAAACAACTGGTTTTTCATTACAGTTATAGTTACTGTTTGAGTTAATTAAACATACTACCCATGACTCAATCAAAAAAAAGTTAACCTTTGAACGTGTTTTTATATAGAAATACCTCTAAGTTTTATGAACTTAAATATTATATTACCTTGAAATTTACAGTTGAAAAAGCATATATCAGCTTGATTTTACATATGTGTTTTTACAAGTTTTCATGTGTCTAGTTGTTAAATGCTCATGTTGAGTCCCATGAAACAGTCAAAAATCATACAGGCAACTCATGGTTACACTTTCTTTCATGTAATGTCAAGTGATTCCATCACTCACATTTTTCTTAATTCATTATGCCTTAGCTGCTCCAGGACCACTAAAATGTTGGTCAAGTTTTACATTGACACTGATACTTTATAGTCTGCAAATTTGCTTCTTAGAGTAATTTATATTTCCATTATTAAACATAAACTTGTGTTACATCTATATCCAAAAGGAAGAAAAATAATGTTTGGTGGTTTATATATTTGAAAATTATGATGAATTTTTTTCTTTTCTTATGAAATAATATCTTGTCACTATAGACTATATTTCAAATTTATGGTGTGCCTCTATTTCTTTGGGAATTTAAAATACTTTAAATAATTTTTGGGCTTTGCCTGATTCCCCAGAATTGTAGAGTATGACTGATAACTGCCTTTAGAATCCTTAATAGCTAAATTACAATTATTATGCAAAGCCCTACAATAGACAGTTATATGGATTGTTAAATGACTTTGCCTTTTTTGCAAACTATAATCATTTTCCTTTATTAGCTGAAGGATTTTATAATTTAAGGAAGATGAGAAACCTATAAGTCACGCTTTCAAATAAGGAACATGGATATTGCAAACATTAAATTGCCCCATAAAAATGTTAAGGCATCATTAAACTAGGTTCAGATTAATACAATTCAGTCAACTCTAGATAGATATCTCCCATAATAAGCTGAAACAATACCTAGTGATCTAAGATGTAAAACATTTTACTACAGCCAATTTATAAACCTATAAAACATACAGGTATCATTCAACCTCTTTATTAATAGTGCATGCCTTGTATTAAATCAAAACCACTTTAAAGACCCCTCCCCTTTGGCATTCCCTTCCTCAGCTGTTGCCCCTCATTATATGTCATCTCACTGAAGCTTATCCAAAATGAATGACAGCATCTTTCTTACTAGAAGCAGCATAGGCAATTCCCAGCCTAGTGATACAGCTTGGCTAGCTCTGAGATTTACAGACACACTTGCTGTCCTCAAACTACAACATTCTATTGCTTAGTGTTGATGTATTTGTTTCTCTGTAGGTATATGTGGTTTTTGCTCACTTTAGAAAAATGCAACTTATTATTTTTAAGGTTTTTCAAGTTGTTTTACAAGTGAATTATGTTCACAAGAAAACTGATATTGGGACAATATCATGTTCTAAACAATTTTGAATCTGGTTGGAGAATTCCTTTTAACACCTCATTTTTCCCTAGTAAGAAAGCCAAATATTTCATATTGGCTGAGTTGCTGAGGGTTTTAATGAATTATTTTTTCTGGTTATCTATTGCCATGCGACAATTCCAAAATAAAAACAATATTTACTATGCTCACAAATCTGTAGTTTGGGTAGAGTTCTGTGGCAGTCACCTATCTCTGTTTCACTTGCCATCAGCTGGAGTAGCCCAAAGGTTGTAGGCTGGCATCACCCAAAGATTTGCTTGTATATCTATCTGGTGGTTGTGTGGTCATTAACTCTATGTGCTATCTCCAGCCTGGCACCTTCCAGGTAGCTGGATTCATACATGTTGACTCATAGCTTCCAAAGCAGAGTTAACATGGGAGAGAGAAACAGATGGGAGCTGTGTCTCCTTTTCTAACCTGGCTTCGTAAGTCATACACGTTACTTCTGCCTCAATCTGTTTGTTAAGACGAGTCCGTAAAACTGATCTACATCAGTAGGAAGGGAATTGGAACAATCTTTTGATGGGAGAAGTATCAAAAAATGTGTTTATGTGTTTTAAAATTGTCACATTATCAAAGGTGGAATTAATCTAATAATTTCAAATATCACTCTGAAAAAATAATTAGCTGTTCGTTTCTAAAATTACTGCATCAAAAAAATCTTAATATAAATTCTTGTTCTTGTTACTACATTCCATATATTCCTTATGACAAGGTGTGTCATCCAAGGTCAATTTTCTAAAACATCAGCGTCTAATTAAAAATTTTAAACATATGGAAATATAAGTGGTATCTTTGACAGAAAAATTTTGATCTCTGACTTATCACAGGTACATATGCCTGAATTAAACTATTAAAAATTACCATTTAACATTAGAGTTCTTACATTTAACATAGATAAATATGTTATTTTTAAGGCAAAATTGTCCCCAAATCTTTCTTTAACTGGAAAAATGATTCTAAGGAATGAAAACCAAATCTCTAAAAATGAGATGATCCAGAAGAAAAACAAAACAAACAAAAACCATATTCAAGTATAACTACTTGTACTTATAAATATATATGTATATATAGCCAATATTAAAACTATCAAAGATTAATACAATTTTTATAAACAGTTGACAGTAAGAGTGTATCATTAAATTTGCTAAGATAACTTTGTACAATAGAAGTTTATTTTTCACTCACATAGCTATCTAATATAAATGTTCCTAGTTGATGGGAAGCTGTCCTCACTTAAACATGATATATTAGTGCCAGCCAGAAGAAGCCTGTGTGTCATTACAGTCTTACAGAGATGACCATGAAGTTTATTAACAGAAAGAAATTATCTCAGTTGGCAGAATTTCAAGAAATACACTTTGTTGTCTACAAAAGACTAGGAAAGCAAAATATATCACTATTTCATTAAATTATATATGATATTTGTGACTCACCATTGAAAACATTTGTATGTATCCTTCCTCATTTACCCTTTTCAATAATTTAATAAACTAGACTAAAAAAGACCTTAGTAACATTTTTAAAAGTTCACCACTTTAAAAATGTAGGGTAAGAAAAGTAGCATGTAATACACTATTTCTAGGCAGTGATTAATAGTTTTTCCAGTTGGTCAGAAGTATGTAAAAGGTTAAGCTGGAATACCCATGACAATAAGTTTTAAAGGAAAAGTATGTGAAAGGATAACTCTCAGAGGAATCATAAAATACACAGATCTTTGTGTATCATGTTAATGCCCAGCAGAGATATAACTTTACAACGAGCTGGACAGGATGACTTGGCCACCAGATATCCACCTGACTCTTTTTTCTGGCCATCTCTCCTTATGTAACTGACCCACGATAACAGTGGCCATGGTGGCAGAGATGGAAGCAATGCATGGGTCTACAATATGGACTTTTCCTCAATGTGGCTGATTGAGGACATCACTTCTAAGTATCCAACCAGTCAGTTTCTGAAGTAAAACCTCCACCCCGGGCGTGGCACCATTTCTTAGGTTGCTGGGAGAGTAGATAACAAGCTGCAGGTTAAATGCTAGCATCCAGATTTTGCTGTTCCAGGATCCTATGATCTGCATTGATATGGGGCAGCACAGTTCAGTGGTAGCACCCACTGATGTAAAACAACGGAGTGGATCTACTGTTAACTCTGACCCATAGAGCAGAGTCACCACTAAGCTTCTCAGAGCTGTCTGTGCCTACTCATCAGTGCATCCCTACTTCCTGAGTAAACGAAGTTCCCCTGAATTCTCCCAGGGATCATAGTCAAACACTGGGTTCTTGGGACTAGTTTAATATATTAACCCTAAATTCCTCCTTCATGTCCTTATAAACATTCTAAACCAATTTTGTACACTACCACATTAATTTCCGTTTTCCCACTACTTTTACGTTAGTTATATTGTCAAGGTCAGACTTCTAGGGAACAGCAAATCTATTTAGACCAGCTGTAGGTGTCACTCTTACAATGTTGCATTGTGACTCATGGTGAATGATCTCATGTCAGTAAATTTTCTCCTATCGAGCTTAATATTCTGTTTCACCCCTCTCCAAGGCCACTCTAACACTCTCTATTAAAGATCTTCATCACATTGGTCCCCAGGGTCTTGACAATACTTATTAACCAAGTGTGTACATGTGGCATTGCTTGTTGTCGTAATTTCCTGTGCCTGAGACCTAACTTTGTCAGCAATTTGGCCAAAATTAAGCCTTGGGTCTCAACTTGAAACACATCTTGCGTCAAAGGTCCACAGGGGCTGTGGGAGTGGTACTGTGGTCTACGAGGTGGATGCTTCTCTTTGGAAAGAAACAGTAATTAGAGTAACCTGAGAAGAACCAAAATGTTTGTACCTAATCCACAAATACTTATTTCAGGGCAAAAAAGCCTTTAAGGTTATAAATTCCCCGATAAGTTTTTACTTCTTTCCATCCTATGATGTATGAGTTTCTAAATCTTTTGATCTAAAAAGGACCTTAGCTCTATAAAATAATATGTGATAATGATCCTTGCTAACATAGCGTGATACATGGAAATGGGGAAGAGTAGACTTTTTCATCATCACGTCAACTACAGAATATATATACTGTTGGGGAAGGAATTTGCTTAGGGGCCTAAGTTATATGCATAATATTATGTAAGCTACTGAATTATTGTAAAGACATGATTAAAATAAATGCATGCAATTCTATTAAATAAATGAAGAACTTTCATAGATTGATAAACTAAGCTCTGTGACCTATTAACTGTATGAATATAAATACCCATTTCATTCCAAATAACTATATAAAATAAAGGTAAACCACAAACTATGGCATGGTCGTTTAATAAATTCACATAAACAGAGTTTATTTGGCAAGGCAAACTGGGATCGCTGTCCGCCAGTAGGTTAGGGTGAGTGTGATGTTGTACAATAAATGAAAGGTTCTGTGTGAAGGAGAGTGAGCAGGGTACAACAACCAAAAAGGCAAACTACATATTTGAAAACACAGCTGTGGTTCATACTCAATCATTTCATATCTCCAAGAGAATTCTTTTTACCAAAAAAAAATTGCATACAAAGGTTAGTTTAATTATCATGTGAATGTTTGAAACTCTCTGATATAGGAAATCTCCCAGGATTACCTGTCTACTAAACAGATTTCCTTCTCTTTCCAAATACATTATTGATCAATTTGGCCATTGATTTAGATCCACTGGGACGTCTCTTTTCTTTGAGTTTGAAGTTTATCAGGATGTCCTTGATAATTCTGATAAACATCATTTCCACCTCCAGAGACTGCTCTGCTGCAGACAGTTCACAGAATTGGCATCGGTTTTCCAGTGCCAGCTTTTGCCCTTCTTCCCAGCCAACCTCTCGCACATGACAAAGATCTCGTTTGTTGCCAACCAAAAACACTGCTGATTCCACAGCTCTGAAATAGAGATACACAATTTTTAGCAAGATTGTTTTAACAACTCTTTTTTTTAAAAAAAAAAAAAAAACAGATTTATAACCAAAGGATTATAAATCAAAAAAGAAAAAATATTGTGTGTATGTTACTTATGGTCATGTGTGTATACAGTTACACATAGCCCCAATTACTTAAAATCATTTTAGATAAAATGTAGTAAATGGCACAGAAGCAACAAGTCTCTTAAAGCACAGGAATTGAAGTAACATGGACCTATTATTGAATTCTGGTGCTGTCTACTAACCAAGTATGATTGTTACCTTTTCCACTTTCAGTTTCTTTTAATGTAAAAATGAGGTACATATTCATCATGGAATACTATGTAGCCATAAAAAAGAATGAGAGTGGCTGGGTGCGGTGGCTCACGCCTGTAATCTCAGCACTTTGGGAGGCCAAGGCGGGCAGATCATGAGGTCAGGAGATCGAGACCATCCTGGCTAACACGGTGAAACTTCATCTCTACTAAAAGTACAAAAAATTAGCCTGGCGTGGTTGCACGCACTTGTAGTCCCAGCTACTCAGGAGGCTGAGGCAGGAGAATCACTTGAATCCAGGAGTCAGAGGTTGCCGTGAGCCAAGATTGTGCCACTGCACTCCAGCCTGGGTAACAGAGCAAGACTTTGTCTCAACCAAAAAAAAAAAAAAAAGAATGAGAGCATGCCCTTTGCGGGGACATGGATGGAGCTGGAGGCCATTATCTTTAGTAAACTGATGCAAGAACAGAAAACCAAATACTGCATGTTCTCACTCATAAGTGAGACCTAAATGATGAGAACATATGGACACATAGAGGGGAACAACACACAATGGTGCCTATTGGAAGGTCGAGGGTGGGAGGAGGAAGAGGATCAGGAAAAATTAACTAACGGGTTCTAGGCTTCATACCTGGGTGATGAAATAATCTGTACAACAAACCTCCATGACACACGTTTACTTGTGTAAAAAACCTGCACATGTACCCTGAACCTAAATTCAAAGTTTTAAAAATGGTAAAATAATCCTCCTCACACAGAATTCTCACAGAGGTTAAAGCTCATGGAGATTGTATACATTAAATGATGTACATAAAAATACCTAACACAGGCCCAGGCAATGAAAGATGCTTACTAAGTATTGTTTTTCATGTTCCTTATCAATTGCAAGGGAAGAGCTAGCAAATGTCTCTTTACTTATACAGTTACTATAATTGAACAATTTAGACAATATTTTCATAAGCAAAAATATTATTCAATATTTATTGCTGTTTTTGCTCTGCTAATATCCATTATAGCATGCTCTAGAGAAAATTGTATAATCTCATGGACTTGTCCAACTCTCCTGTTTAAGAAATGTGTCTTTGTTAAGATAAAATGTCTCTGAAAATATCAGTATGTCTTCCTTGGTTATAAAGAAACAATATAAAAATAGAGTTTGAGTTGAAGAATATATTAAAATCACTAGGCTTTAAATGGCATAGAACACTGCAAATGTATCTACTATAAGGAAAAAAATGGGTGCACACAGTCAGTCTTCAACTCTTATTGGCCCTGATTCCACTAAAAGTTGGTTTCATTCAAATGACAATGTGTGGTGAACTTTTAAAAATGTTGCTAAGGTCTTTTTTTAGTCTAGTTTATAAAATTATTGAAAAGGGTAAATGAGGAAGGATATATACATGTATTTTCAAGGGTGGGACACAAATATCAGATATAATTTAATGAAATAGTGATATATTTTGCTTTCCTAGTCTTTTTACAGATTGAGAGCTGGGAATATTCAAAGGATTATCTAGTCAATAAACTAGAAATATTTCCTGAAAAATGTCCAATACAAATGTTTATACTTTCAGTATGTTTTTAAGTGTTCTTGAGTGATTACTCTGATTTGAAGAAATGTCAGAATTTTTTAGTCCTGTCCCTTACCTACACCATGATGCTTAAATATAAGATATTTAATGATTGAAACAATGGAGTTCTAAAATATCAGTAATATTATAGGAAGTAAGAGCTATGAGGCACCTTAGTAAAATCACATCTGTTTCTCCTATCCTGCTTCCACCAGTTAAATAATTAGAAAAATGAGCTCTAGAGATTAAAGTGGCTTACTTAAGGCAAATCAAAGGAAAGCAAGAATGTACATCATCTAACTCCAGGGAAATACACTTTATCAATTATTATCCATGATTTCTTTATAGTGGGCATTTAAAATAGTTATTAAAAGTACACATACCAATTCTCAGTAATAATATTGTGCTTTTCTTACTTACCAGATTAGAATACTATTTAGATTCTAAGGGCAAAACTGGTTAAAAGCACAAAGACTCTTTTACAATCAGCATGTTGAGCAAAAATAAATACTTTCAATGGAAAAGGCCAAAATGACTGAAAAATAGGGAAAACTAAAATGGAAAACTCAGATGCTTAAACTTTGATCTACTAATGAAACAGTAGCTTAAGGTACAATCATGTCTTCCTTCATAGTTCCTTGTGTCAAGACAATTAAGAAAAAGGAATTGTTGATCAGCCCTTTAGGAGGTAAAATGGAGAAAAATGTATTCTCATATTTAGAATTTGTAAACAGTTTGATTACTCAGTCTATTTTGCTTTGATAGATTGAACAACTCAGTGACTAGGAATTGGATTTCATGTGGTGCCAAACGTAATAAATCTGAATTTATTTAGTATCCTTAACATTTTTGTGAGAATGAAAAGAAAAGGTTGGAAAGATAACTATCTTATATACAAAGGACCATTATTTTGCAAGGGAGTGTCATGTTAACAATAGAAGCTGTCTTGTAAAATAGCCATTTACTCGGGGCAAGTAACTGTTTATGTCAGCGAGGATATAAAGCATTCTCATCTTATTCTTTTTACTACATGTGTAACTCCTGTGGAATAGGAAGGTGAATTGTTCAGGGCTGTTAAATTTTGTAATTGGAAGGCTGTATTAAACTCTTCCTAATGATGCTTACAGCTATATGATGATTTACTAAAAAGAAAGGAGAAAGGAATGAAAAATACCTTACCTTTTACAATGACTAGTTTGTGGCTCCCGGATTCTGTAGATCAGCGCTTTTGCAAAAGCAAATGAAGACCTATCACTGATGTCATACACAATAACAAACCCATCTGCCCAGTGAAGCTCACTTGTGAGGGAGAATTTTGCTTTCTGTGTCTGAAAATAAACCAAGTGCATTAAAAGTGGTGGGATCTAATACCTGTGTTTTTATACTTTAAACAGTTAACTAATGGAGACCCACTTCCGCTGGAAGATACATCAATGTGTTAAATATTGATATTTTCTAAAATATAGTTCTGTTTCTCTCTTATTGCTTTGTCCTTAATTAAAAGTGACTAAATGTAAAACAGAACTATAATAAAGTTATATCTATCTAATTTTATAACTTTTCCGGAAGAAAACATCTCCACTTTTTCAGAAAATTTGATGAGCTACAATAATTGTCTTTTGAATAATATCCACATATTTGTTGTGAAAATATATCATTTATCTGTTAGTAAATGGAATATCTATTGATTTTTGGTACTAGATTTAAATCAATAAAAATCAAAAATATTATAAGGGTTTAGCTAAAATATTTAAGATACATTTTGATTTACCTAAAATGATCTGTCTCATACAGTTGTTTTGAAACCCTGAATAAATGGCCACTTTTCTCTTACGTGTATAATCCCATTTTAACTGTTTTCCCATATGAATAGACAAGGAGGTTTGTACTTAAAATCTATTTTATTTATTATGTTCTATTGACAACTGGTTAGTTATAAGTGCAATTAGTGAAAATAAGAAGTGAATTGATAAGTCACTTATTAACTTCTGACAGTGACACTGTAACCTGATAGAAATATAGAAACAGCCTAATGTTGCAATTTTAAAGATATTTGTGATATGATCATTTTCGACATGAACTTACAGACGTGCTAGATGATGGAACTGACAACACTAGAAAGTAATCTCTTAAATTTTTGATAATTAAAATGAGAAGAAACTTCGGTTTTAACACCGCAACTTTTCACTTTTTTCACTTACCCCCATATAATCTTCAAATCATAATTGCTAAAAAATCAATCAATAAATAAATCAATAAAAAAGGTGTTTTGTTTTACTTACTTGAGAACAAGGGTCATATATTTCTAGATTTAGTTGTTTCCTTTCCAAACACAAGTGCTTCTTATAGATAGATTCTGCAAAAATATGCATATCCACTGTCAGTATGAAAATACTCCAAACGTGAACTGATAAATTCAACCACTCACATTTTAGTGGAATCGTATTGTGCTCTTTTTATATTGCTGGTGACTGAAAGCATGTATTTGTTGTATTTACTCAGATATGTTTCTTTTTTTTTTTTTTTTTTTTTGAGCCACAGCCACAGTCTGTCTCTGTCACCTGGGCTGGAGTGCAGTGGCGCGATCTCGGCTCACCGCAAGCTCCGCCTCCTGGGTTCACGCCGTTCTCCTGCCTCAGCCTCCCGAGTAGCTGGGACTACAGGGGCTCGCCACCACGCCTGGCCAATTTTTTTTTTTTTTTTTTTTTTGTATTTTTAGTAGAGACGGGGTTTCACCGTGTTAGCCAGGATGGTCTCAATCTCCTGACCTCGTAATCCACCTGCCTCGGCCTCCCAAAGTGCTGGGACTACAGGCGTGAGCCACCGCGCCCAGCCAATATGTTTCTTACAAATGAATCTCACCACTATCTATATTCACCTACATACCTTTTTGCTCATATACTTATATTCCATCCTATTACTGTGGATGGAACATCTGTGTTTCCATCTAAAGTAAATCCATTCACTCTCAGCTAGTGATGATTTCCCCTCACCCACTGAAAGACATGGCTTCAGCAATTCTACTTCCCTCTTATATATCATAATTTTTTCCTCTTTACCATACAATTAGCAACATCTTACAAACATGAAAAATTTCTTCTAACTTAAATGTATTATGACTTAATGGTTAATTCTGTATCTTGATTTTATTCGCCTTATTGGTAGCATTAATGTAGTTGATCATTCCTACCTCCTTAAAGTATTTCCTTTACGTGACCTTCAAGGCAACACTGTCTCCAGTTTTTGTTTTTGTTTTTTAATTCCTTGTTGCTCCGTCTTAATCTTTTTTTGTTCACCTCTCCCCGCCCCCACTGACTTCTCACATTTCAAACATGGATCAAGTTCATAGGTTTCTTCTCTTCTTACATTCCTTTTCAGATCTCTTCTAGTCCCAGGCCTTTACATGCCAATTATTTCTGATGAACCCAACTTATGTCTGAAGCCCAGACCTCATCCCTGAACTCCGGACACAAATAACTTACTAATGAACATCTCCATTTAGATACTTGATAGCTATCTCAACCTTAACACACTTCAAGCTGAACCCCTGATATCCCTGCAAAGGCTGCACCTTCTACAATTTTCCATTTTGTTAAATGGCATATCCATAACTCCAGCTTCTCAGGCAAAAAACCCTAGGATTATCCTTGATTATTTATTTGTCTTATGTCACATATTTATTCTAAAATTCCTTTTTAGTCTACCTTCAAAATATATTTTGAATTTGTCTGTATCTCACCATCTCCATTGCTAACACTCTAGTCTCGACCACCATCATTACTTGCCTAATTTATCACAAAGCCTCCTAAGTCATCTTTCTGTTTCCATCCTTCCTCTAACACCCTTCCTGTTTCTGGTGTATTCTCAACACAGAAGTAAAAGTGAACCTTGTGGCCAGATCACATCACTTATCTGATCAAATTTCTTCAATGACTCCCCATCTCTCAGAGGATTAGGGTTGACTTCTTAACTCCTACCAGGTTATATTTAAGGAAATTTGTTACAGTTTCTTGAAACCTTAAATTATGTTTTCAGCCAGTTTCTTCTAAACTTTATAGGTTTATTCTTGACTCCAAACCACACTATTTCCTTCTAGCCAATTAAAACTATCCACTCTCAAATCTCAAAAACTGCCAGCAAGTGTCATCAATTCTCACATTTTTAGAATTGTATTATTTCCCCTTCTAGTTTTAATATACAAAGTGGAGTCATTTTTGCTAGTTTGCCCTCATAGAGTTAATGAGCTTTTGATCATTTGATTAGCTTTTCAAAAATGCCTCTAGGTCTTTTATTTTTCATCGAGAGGTAACAGCCAGAAATATGTAAACATTTCATTAATTTATACAACTATATTATATCAAAGTTTAAGTTGAGGGCTTTTGTTGTTATTTGGATAGCATATCGTTCTGTGTTTGTTTTATTTTTTAGTTCTGGGACATTTTCTCATGCCCGAGTCCTAACTTGTATGTTATGTTGACCTTTTTGACTGATGTCGTTGCCTTCACAAATGAAACAACAGGAATTTTTCTTTTTACGTTTTCAACTTTCTATAATCAGCTTTCAAGCTCTTGCCCTAAAATGTTCATAATGTCATAGGGACTGAAATACTATGTTGAATTCATGTAGGGAAAAACACAATGTAATATATTAAAGCTATTTTCTGAGATACTCCAATTATGCTACTTCATGATTGAATGCTAAAGATTTTTGTTTCTCATGGAAAAATACACTTGCAATCATAAATTCCTCTTAGTCTAAATAACTAATAATCAACAAAAACATTCTCCTTTCTCTCAATTTTTGTATTTTCTGTAATCTGCCATTCTTATTTTTTAAAAAAGAAAAAAATTCATCTCCTCATTTCATTTCTTCAATTGGGTAAGATATTAGCACCATTATATTGTTTAATTGGTGAGCCAAAAATATGCTCAAAATTATGGCAAAATTTCTCACTTTTTGTGTTGTACTATTTCCCATATATTATGCTAATTCTAGTCAAAAAACAGAAATTTATAGAAGAGTTCGAGAAATAATCTTAAAATTATATCAAAATGCCCCAGCATGTGTTTTAGAATTTTTCTACATTTATATAAATGACTTAGATAATGATAGGATATTTAATCAAGGCATAATTTTCCTATTATTTTCTTATGGTTTTACAATAAAAATAAACTTTACTCCTTTGTTAGTTGTGGTTTTAGTATTAATTTTCTCTTATTTTTTAAAGAATGTTGAATTTCAAAGTTGTTTTATACCTTACAAGAAATATTCAGTTACATCTTCTACAATATTTTGAAGAGAGGATCTTAGTTTTAATGTTTTTCCAGTTCCAGACTTTGAAACCAACTGTCTTACTTAACATCAAATTGGGTGAATTTTACCATAAAAGAACATTTAATTCAAGTACCTATTTTGGCAGTTCTAATCAGAATATGTGAATAAATAAATTGTTTCATATGCATAAAAATGGTATAGTCTATCAAAATGCATCTCTGTACTTAAGTGGGATTTAATTACGATGTTAAAAGTTTTAAGGTAAAAATGTCTAGAGTAGTGACTTACCAAAATTAGAAGCATATTCTCCAATGAATCGCTTAGTAAGAAACCTCACTGTAAGGGCTGCAAAGCAAACAATCTAGATTTAGGGCTGTTATATTTTAGGAAACAGCTAATTTGGTTATGTGCATAAGGCTTTAGTTCTTAAACCAAAAATATTCAAGAATTAATAAAGACTTTAAAATTAGACCAAATTCTGTTCTAAATAGTAGTTAACAATATTTCCATGGTACAAACAAATGATTAGAAAGTTAGAAAGGAAGTGATCTTAAAGTGCTTCACATCTAAATCACTATGCAGTTAATTCATTACCACAAAAACATAAGGCCACTTACCTTTTGTAACAGAAACAGATTTCTCATTATATTTGAGATGCAAGAAGTTTGACATCTGTTTATTTTCTCTGTCAAACTCAGTCTGGCTTCAAGGTACTATGTGTAATAGTCACAAAGACACTACCAAGTATTTGCAGTTATTTAAGGATGTAGGGACCTACAAATCCAGGAAATAGAAAAAGAACCTCTGGTATCCATTCATCATGTCACAGCTCCTGGGTTTGGCCAGTTAAGATGCTATGATTCTTTAGGCTCAAGTGACCCTATTGGTAGCATGTCACCATTATAATGTGACCGAAACCAAAGCAAAACACAGCAAAACAAAAGCATGACTTCCAAAGTTAGAGCACATTATTGCTCAGTTCCAGAACATCCACCAAGCCATGCGCCCCACAAAGTTCCTTCATCTTAGTAATGCTACATTTAAAATACAATCCACAAACCTCCAAACATCTCCCTACCCCAGTTTCAGAGCAGATGAGTTCTATCAAGGCCATTGTTTGGGAACTAGTGGGTATAAGGCAAGTGTGTTGAAGTGAGAAGTAGGTGGGATAGTGATGCAGAAATTTCCTGTTATTCCTATGAATTGTAAACATCAGTAGAACAATATACAAATTAACATTTCAGATATTTATCTTGCTATGCCTGCCTATATATTCTATAAACATACAGTTACTTACCTATAAAAATGAAAACTCCTAATGAAAGATAATGTGCCTATCATCCCAGTGAGATAATGTTATTATAGATATATTTTCATATATATGAAATATATATGAAATACGTGGTTAATGGTTAACATGTCAATGTTTCTCACTCTTTCTACACTCTATGATAACAGAGAAGATGTCACCACTCACCAGATTTGCCTGTTCCTTCACCACCCAAGACAGCAAGCTTCACATCATTCATCTTGCTTTTCTGCTTCTTGGTCAGTCCTATTTTCTGGAACTACACTGCCCTGTGACAAGCTTTTTTTTAACTTCCTTTTTATTGCTGCTCTCATTTCTCAACTCCGCCCCATATTCCTGCCAGCCAACAATAACTTTAAAAATGTTTTCCTAGAGTAGTTTTCAACTCAGTTTTCATATAACATTTAAAAAAAAAACTGGAGTTACTGTTTAGACACAAAGGCTTATGAAGAAAATATGTATATATTTATAACAGAACCTTAGTTTACAAGTCTCTATTTTTGTGTACCTGGAATCTACCTTCTCCTAGGACCTAAAAAAAAGTATAATCTCTTTTCATTTAGAAAATTTTTAGAGGATGGGTAAACATCTCTGTAAATTTACTTTGATTGGATTGGTTTCTTTGTTTTATTAGTATCTGAGCCTATATCTGCTAGGGTTTCTTCTGTGAAAAAAAAGGGAAATCCATTCATTCAATCATAAAAAGAGCACAACTATCTAGGATTTAGAAGTTTAGGTTGGATACCAATGCAAATAAATATCTAGACCATGTTTGTGAATCATATGAGATTCTCAAGAAGCAAAAATGGGCAGTACAGAGTTTTAACTTATCCAATGTCTTATTTAATAAGTAATTTCTCCTTTAAAAATGTTTTGTCAATAGAAAACAGCAATATTTCTGGAGAAAAATAAAGCAATCAATGTCATTTGTTAGAAAAATAAATATAAACCTGTCATATTTCCTTCTGTAGTACATTGAAATTAGAAAAGAGAAATGATAAAGGAAAGAAAATTTGGAAGGGGTATTCTGGCATGATTCATTCCTGCTTTATAATAAAGAGATAAATTTAGTATGCAAAATGATGAGTTTTTCATATTTCTTTTTGTCAGATTTCCCTACTGCCCCATTACTGTCTTTCTCTTTTATCTCCCAATTTAGATATGTAGAAATTCTACAACAAATACAATAAGTCTACATGTGTGTACTAAATTTTGAGGCCCAAGTGAAAAAGTTTCATTTCCAGACTAAGTTGATCACAGGAGTAATCATTTACATTTCTTTTCTTTTTTATTTTACTTTAAGTTTTAGGGTACATGTGCACAACGTGCAGGTTAGTTACATATGTGTACATGTGCCATGTTGGTGTGCTGCACTCATTAACTTGTCATTTAACATTAGGTATATCTCCTAATGCTAGCCCTCCCCCTCCCCCCACCCCACAACAGGCCCTGGTGTGTGATGTTCCCCTTCCCATGTCCATGTGTTCTCATTGTTCAATTCCCACCTATGAGTGAGAACATGCAGTGTTTGGTTTTTTGTCCTTGCGATAGTTTGCTGAGAATGATGGTTTCCAGCTTCAACCATGTCCCTACAAAGGACATGAACTCATCATTTTTTATGGCTGCATAGTATTCCATGGTATATATGTGCCACATTTTCTTAATCCAGTCTATCGTTGTTGGACATTTGGGCTGGTTCCAAGTCTTTGCTATTGTGAATAGTGCCGCAATACACATACATGTGCATGTATCTTTATAGCAGCATGATTTATAATCCTTTGGGTATATACCTAGTAATGGGATGGCTGGGTCACATGGTATTTCTAGTTCTAGATCCCTGAGGAATCGCCACACTGACTTCCACAATGGTTGAACTAGTTTACAGTCCCACCAACAGTGTAAAAGTGTTCCTATTTCTCCACATCCTCTCCAGCACCTGTTGTTTCCTGACTTTTTAATGATCGCCATTCTAACTGGTTTGAGATGGTATCTCATTGTGGATTTGATTTGCATTTCTCTGATGGCCAGTGATGATGAGCATTTTTTCATGTGTGTTCCAGCTGCATAAATGCCTTCTTTTGAGAAGTGTCTGTTCATATCCTCGCCCACTTTTTGATGGGGTTGTTTTTTTCTTGTAAATTTGTTTAAGTTCTTTGTAGATTCTGGATATTAGCCCTTTGTCAGATGAGTAGATTGCAAAAATTTTTTCCCACTCTGTAGGTTGCCTGTTCACTCTGACGGTAGTTTCTTTTGCTGTGCAGAAGCTCTTTAGTTTAATTAGATCCCATTCGTCAATTTTGGCTTTTGTTGTCATTGCTTTTGGTGTTTTAGACATGAAGCCCTTGCCCATGCTTATGTCCTGAATGGTATTGCTTAGGTTTCCTTCTAGGGTTTTTATGGTTTTAGGTCTAACATTTAAGTCTTTAATCCATCTTGAATTAATTTTTGTATAAGGTGTAAGGAAGGGATCCAGTTTCAGCTTTCTACATATGGCTAGCCAGTTTTCCTAGCACCATTTATTAAATAGGGAATCCTTTCTCCATTTCTTGTTTTTGTCACATATCCAGCCAAACTAAGCTTCATAAGTGAAGGAGAAATAAAATACTTTACAGACAAGCAAATGCTGAGAGACTTTGTCACCACTAGGCCTGCCCTAAAAGAGCTCCTGAAGGAAGCACTCAACATGGGAAGGAACAACTGGTACCAGCCATTGCAAAAACATACCAAATTGTAAAGACCATTGAGGCTAGGAAGAAACTGCATCAACTAATGAGCAAAATAACCAGCTAACATCATAATGACAGGATCAAATTCACACATAACCATATTAACCTTAAATGTAAATGGACTAAATGCTCCAATTAAAAGACACAGACTGGCAAATTGGATAAAGAGTCAAGACCCATCAGTGTGCTGTATTCAAGAAACCCACCTCACATGCAGAGACACACATAGGCTCAAAATAAAGGGATGGAGGAAGATCTACCAAGCAAATGGAAAACAAAAAAAGGCAGGGGTTGCAATCCTAGTCTCTGATAAAACAGACTTTAAACCAACAAAGATCAAAAGAGATAAAGAAGGGCATTACATAATGGTAAACGGATCAATTCAACAAGAAGAACTAACTATCCTAAATATATATGCACCCAATACAGGAGCACCCAGATTCATAAAGCAAGTCCTTAGAGACTTACAGAGAGACTTAGACTCCCAAACAATAATAATGGGAGGCTTTAACACCCCACTGTCAACATTAGACAGATCAACGAGACAGAAAGTTAACAAGAATATCCAGGAGTTGAACTCAGCTCTGCACCAAGCAGAACTAATAGACATCTACAGAACCCTGCACCCCAAATCAACAGAATATACATTCTTCTCAGCACCACACCACACCTATTCCAAAATTGACCACATACTTGGAAGTAAAGCACTCCTCAGCAAATGTAAAAGGACAGAAGTTATAACAAGCTGTCTCTCAGACCACAGTGCAATCAAACTAGAACTCAGGATTAAGAAACTCACTCAAAACCGCTCAACTCCATGGAACCTGAACAACCTGCTCCTGAATGACTACTGGGTACATAATGAAATGAAGGCAGAAATAAAGATGTTCTTTGAAACCAACGAGAACAAAGACACAACATACCAGAATCTCTGGGACACATTCAAAGCAGTGTGTAGAGGGAAATTTATGGCACTAAACGCTCACAAGAGAAAGCAGGAAAGATCTAAAATGGACACCCTAACATCACAATTAAAAGAACTAGAGAAGCAAGAGCAAACACATTCAAAAGCTAGCAGAAGGCAAGAAATAACTAAGATCAGAGCAGAACTGAAGGAGATAGAGACACAAAAAACCCTTCAAAAAATCAATGAATCCAGGAACTGGCTTTTTGAAAAGATCAACAAAATTGATAGACCGCTAGCAAGACCAATAAAGAAGAAAAGAGAGAAGAATCAAATAGACGCAATAAAAAATGATGAAGGGGATATCACCACCAATCCCACAGAAATAGAAACTACCATCAGAGAATACTGTAAACACCTCTATGCAAATAAACTAGAAAATCTAGAAGAAATGGATAAATTCCTCAACACATACACCCTTCCAAGACTAAACCAGGAAGAAGTTGAATCTCTGAATAGACCAATAACAGGTTCTGAAATTGAGGCAATAATTAATAGCCTACCAACCAAAAAAAGTCCAGGACCAAATGGATTCACAGCTGAATTCTACCAGAGGTACAAGGAGGAGCTGGTACCATTCCTTCTGAAACCCGTTCCAATCAATAGAAAAAGAGGGAATCCTCCCTAACTCATTTTATGAAGCCAGCATCATCTTGATACCAAAGCCTGGCAAAGGCACAACAAAAAAAGAGAATTTTAGACCATTTACTTTTTTAAAAGTGCATTTATTTAACCAACATTTTATAGCAAGTATATTTTAAAACTATGTTAGGTTTAATGACTCACTATTGTTAAATCATGAATTTCCTGCCGATAAAGTCTACACTCTACTAAGAGAAAATGGAAACAATTGAAATTACAGTAAATAGAGTTGTTGCTAAAATAGGACCGGGGAAAGCAGAACATGTGGATATAAAGGTCTTCAAAAAGTAGATAAGTCTTTAAACATAGAGAGAAGGAGGAAAAAGTGACTAGTGATTAAGGAGATGTGTCTATTCCAAAAGAAGAAACAGACTCCATAAAGGAAAAGGGACAAGAGAGAGTATGACAGTTTGTGAGATCAGCAAGGTAACTGCTGAACCAAATTGCATTTTTTCTTTATTACAAATTTGAAAGAAATAGATATGATCTCTTTAATTTCTGCAACTGTATAAATAGTAACAAGAATGAATTTTTTAAAAGGAAATTTGCCAGCCGACTTATTATACCATGGAATTAGATGTTTTTTCTCTATTTGGAGAAATGTTATTTTTGTCTTCTTAAGAAACTTCTGATGTTTTTAGAGGTTGAGTTCCTCACCCTTGCCTTAGGTTTAGAGCCAATTAAAATTAGGTTGAGCTCCTCTCAACCTAAGGCAAGATTTAACTTCATAAAATAGAGGATATTGAAAACAACATATAAATTTTTGTTATCAATATACAGGCGTTCTTTTCTCATGTCCTCTTCCTCCGTACTTTCACTTGGATTCCAAAAGAGGCTCTAACAAGAAAGCAGCCTGGCACTGAAATAGAGTGAAGTTGTAAACCTGAACTGAAAGAAAAAAAGCATGTACATATTTTCTTAAGAACCAGAAGTGCCATTTTTTTTTTTTTGCTTCAGATGATGGGTGCTAAATATTAATATTCTATTAGCCACATTGTTATACTACTTAAATTTTTCTTACAGCTCTCTAAAGAAATACTCATTCACATCCAAAACCAAATCATTTTATTCCTTTATTTATGAGGTAGGTCCCGTTACTAACTTATAATATGATAGAAATATAGTCCTTTTCAGGAAGGAAGGAAGGAAGGAAAGAAGGAAGGAAGGAAGATGGGGGACCCAGGGAGATAAGAATGCAAAGAATATAACTGAAATTGAATGTACGGTTAATTTTTAATATAAAGGATTCTCTAATGCCTACTGCTGATTATAAAATAAATATTGAAGTCTGAGTTTTTAGTGTATTACTGAATCGTAATACATTGTACCCAATAGGTAATTTTTCATCCCTCACCCCTCTCCTGCCCTCCACCATTTGGGGATCCTGATATCCTCTACTTCACTCTGTATTTCCATGTGTACACATTATTTAGCTCCCACTTATAAGTGAGAACATGCAGTATTTGACTTACTGTTTCTAAATTATTTCACTTAAGATAATGGCCTACAGCTACATGCATGTTACTTCAAAAGACATGATTTCATTCCTTTTTATGGCTTAATATTCAATGGTGTGTGTGTGTGTGTGTGTATATATATGTGTGTGTGTGTGTATATATATGTGTGTGTGTGTATAGTATAGTACTATATATACTATACTCTACATAGTATATATACATTATATATATACCATATATACATAGTATATGTATAGTATACTATATATGGTATACTATATATATACTATACTATACCATATATACTATATATACATATATTGTGTGTATATATATACTATATATACACACTATATACTACATAGTATACCATATACACTATATATACTATATACGATATATATACTATATATACTATATACTATACATACTATATACTATATAGACTATATATTACATATAGTATATATACCATATATGTAGTATATATACACTATATATAGTATATATATTATAAACAGTATATATGTATAGCATATATGTATATATGCAGTAAATATATACATATATGTAGTATATATATGTATACACACATATACATATATGTATATACACGTATACATATACATATATACATGCATACATATATACGTATATACATGTATATACACGTATACATGTATGCATACATGCGTGTATGCATGTGTGCATACATGTGTGCATGTATAAATGTGTGTTCATGCGTGTATGCAAACGTGTGTATGCATGTGTGTATGTATACATGTGTGTATGCATGTGTGTATGCATGTGTATGTACACATGTGTGTATACATGTGTGTGTACATGTGTGTATGCATGCATGAGTGCATGTGTGCATGCATGTATGCACGTATGTATGCACTTATGTACGTATCTGCACGTATGCGTGCATGTATGTACGTATCTGCACGTATGCGTGCATGTATGCACGTATGTATGCATGTATGTGGGCATGTATGTATACATGCATGTAGGCATGTATGTATACATGCATGTAGGCATGTATGCGTGTATGTATGCCTCCATGTATGCATGTGTGTATACATGTATGTATGTATGCATGTGTATGCATGTGTGTATGCATGTGTATGCATGTATGTATGTATGCAGGTGTGTATCCATGTGTTTATACTAGTATGTATGCATGTATGCATGTATACGTGTATGTATGCATGTATGCATGTATACGTGTATGTATGCATGTATGCATGTATACGTGTATGTATGCATGTATGCATGTATACGTGTATGTATGCATGTATGCATGTATACGTGTATGTATGCATGTATGCATGTATACGTGTATGTATGCATGTACGTATACATGTGCATGCCTGTGTACATGTATGTATACATGTGTGCATGCATGTATGTATGTGTGTATGCATGTGTGTATGCATGCATGTATGCATGCATGTATGTGTGCATGCATGTGTGTATACATGTGTGTATACGTGTCTGTGTACATGTATGTATGTATGCACGTGTGTATGTATACATGTAAGTATACATGTGTGTATATGTATGTGTGTATTTATACGTGTATAAACACATATATACATACATATATACGTATATACCATATACTACATATACTATATACTACATATACTGTATATACTATATACTACATATACTATATATCCTATATACTATATACTACATATACTATATATCCTATATACTACATATACTATATATACTATATACTATATATCCTATATAGGATATACTATACTATACTACACTGTATACTATATACTATACTATATATACTATATACTATAAACTATATATACTATATATACTGTATACTATATACTATATATACGATATATACTATATATACTATATATACTATAATATGTATGTACTACATATACTTTATATATACTGTATAGTATGTGTATACTTTATATATACTGTAGAGTATGTGTATACTTTATATATACTGTGTACAGTATGTGTATACTTTATATATACTGTGTACAGTATGTGTATCCTTTATATATACTGTGTACAGTATGTGTATACTATATACTATATATACTGTGTACAGTATGTGTATACTATATACTATATATACTGTGTACAGTATGTGTATACTATATACTATATATACTGTGTATAGTATGTGTATACTATATACTATATATACTGTGTATAGTATGTGTATACTATATATACTGTGTATAGTATGTGTATACTATATATACTGTGTATAGTATATGTATACTATATACTATATATACTATGTATAGTATATGTATACTATATACTATATATACTATGTATAGTATATATATACTATATACTATGTATACTATGTATAGTATATATATACTATATACTATATATATACTATGTATAGTATATATAGTATATAGTATATATACTATGTATGGTATATATACTATATACTATATACACTATGTATAGTATATATATACTATATAGTATATATACTATACTATTTATATATACACTATAGAAAAAGTGTATATATACTATATATAGTGTATATATAGTATATATAATATATACAGTATAGTATATATAGTATATATAATATATACAGTATAGTATATATAGTATATATAGTATAGTATATATAGCATATATGATATATAGCATATAGTATATATACTATGTATAGCATATAGTATATATACTATGTATAGCACATAGTATATATACTATGTATAGCACATAGTATATATATATACCATATATAAGGTATATATATAGCATATAAACCATATATAATTACATATATAAGTATATATGTGTACACATATATATGTACACATATATTTGTAAATATATATACATATATGGTATATATATATGGCGTATATATATGATATATATGGCATATATATGGGGTATATATGGGATATATATATGGTATGTAGAGATATATGGTATGTGTATACCATATATATGTGTGTGTATATATACACACACATATATATACTATAATACATATATATACCCACATATGCAATGTGTATATATAAAATATATGTATATATAAAAATATGTGTATATATAAAATTTTCTATATATAAAATATAGAAAATATTGTGTGTGTGTATATATATGGTGTGTATATAATAATATGTGTGTATATGTACATATACAGCATATTTTCTTTACCCAGTAATCATAATTAAACTGCATTGGTTATGTTAGTCTCATGGGAGTAGTTATCAAAGTATATTTATTTGCATGTTTATTCACAACAAAATGAAAACTTATACGCAAATAGATGATTATAAATCTGAATTATTTGTTTCACCTCTAATCCAAGTTACTAAAGGAATTCAGCTAGAGGTATCACAAATCCTCCAATATCTCTTCCAGATAAATTATTCACATCTGGACATTTACCTAACCAAATGATGAAGCTATTATAATAATGGCTACTAAAATACAAAAGGTTCTCTTAACCCACAACCCAGTATTATTTTGGCTACAATATGTGTTTCATAAAACTAATAATTGCTTATTTCAACAATGTCCTAACAGTTCAACATCAGTTTAAACTATACATGCAACATCAGATTGCCCACGTAGAATACTTTTTTATGTGATTAGTTTTGATGGATTGTTTTTTCATCTGAACATGTGAAACTGATCATTTTGGAACAAGTGTACTTCCCACATTATTTGTTCTGGGAAGAATGTTTTTAGGGTCTATCCTATTCGTGGTATTAGATTTGGCTTACAGCTACTTGGAAGTCCTACTTCAAATGTGATAAATCATATCTGAATACTGAACACCACTCTACTATGAAAACTGCTACTGATCTTTCTTTTCTTTTCTCTCTCCTCCCCTCCCCATCACCCTCTTTTCCTTCCTTCCCCTTTCCTTCTTTCTGTGACTATTTCTATCTCTGTGTCTTTACTCCTCTCTCTCTGTCTCTTCTTTCTTTATCTCTCTCTGTCTTTTTTCTCCTTATCTTCTTTCCCTTTCGTCATTTTATTCTGGGTTCTTTTAGGAGTTTTTCTGTATCAGTGGTATTCTAAAATTTCACAATGTTATTCCTTGTCGCAAGTCGCTTTTTTCATTAATTGTGCCAGTGTTCACTTCGCCTCTTAAATGTGGAGATTCCTGTTTTTCAGTTCTGGGAAATTTTATTGTATTATCCCCTTAACAATTTATCCAAATCTATCTTCTGTGTTCTGCCTGTCCAAAACTCTTACATCAGTTGAACCTACAAGATTGATTCCCAATGACTCTGACTCTTTCTCTCCTATTGCCCTACTCTATATCTTTAACTTCACCTTTGTAGTATATATATACTTATGGGATATATATATATATATAATACATGCATATATTTTAATGTATTTTATATATTTTAATATTTTATATTATACAATATACAAATACAAAATATAAAGTATTTTATACAAATATATAAAAATGCATGTATATATCACATATATACATGTATATGTATCAAGTATATATCACTATATATGTGATATATACTTGTATTTTTACGTTTTTTATATATGTGTATAGCTGTATATACTATATAAGTATATGTGTGTGACATATAGAGATTATCACACATATAACGTATGTGTGATACATATGTATGTATATACTATATATACTGTATATGTGATATGTGTATATACATATGTTATATATGTGATGTATGTATTACATTTATAATACATATCAATTTAAGAGTGTTTTCTTGTGTGCTGCTATTGTATTGAAATACTGTATATGTTAATTTGTTTCGAGGAAAAGTTAATTAATAACATCTGCAGTAAAATTTTGAACTGTACATAATTCCCATATTTAAATTCACTTTCACAAACCAGAATTGTTCTGTGTTACACTTCAATATACCATGTATGATTTTTGTGATATAATACATATCTGTGTCTGTGTATAAATTTCATGTGAAGAGGATAGAGATGTTTCTATCATTCCCAAGCAAGTTAAAAACTGTCATCATTAATAGAATTAACCTACAGAAGTATGTCTTCATAACTCTAAATACTTTTAGAACATGCTTTGAAAGATAATCTTTCATTTAGGTATCATATTTGAAGAAATATCATTTTTGATATGTAATGTTAGTAATTAACTAAAGTACACGGGCCTATTTTTTTGAAAAATAAAATGATGAATACCTCAGCAGGTAATGATTTGGTATTTACTTTACTCTTTTAAATTATTCTTGAGGTGTTTATTGTTCCTTAAGGTTTTAGTTTTCCAATATTTTATAATACCTTTAAAATTATCACTAACAGTAATTACGACTCAGCTATTCATCCTTTTTGCCTTCTGTAAAAATTATGTTAGTCTTTCTGTAGACACTAAGTGATTTTCTTCTAAGCTAATATAGTTTTTCTCAAAAATAGGCTACTATTCTAGTTAGCTCCTTCTTAATCACTTGTGGTTGGTCAATACTACAGAAGTTACTTTGATCTTTAAAAACGCTCTTCCTTCTGTAGTGCAGCTGCTGGAACAGGAAGTTTGAGGGAGCAACACTTCAGTGCGTGCAAGTTATGCAGAAACATGATTTTTAAAAGGCTGAACAATGCAAATGTGGTAAGGATATGTTACTCTTATTTTTCTGCTCATTTTATTACTCTAGAAATAAATATTTCAAAATAAACTCAGTATTCAAGCTTATTTCTACAATTACATAGGATAGAATGTATAAAGAAGTTTGATTTTTTGGAAGCCTTTTAAATAGACCTTAATGTATGCAATGGTTCATAAAGAAGATAGGCATATTTCTTGCTCACATAAAATTTTATATAGATGTTTCTGATAAGTGGACATCTCTCTCAAAGTCTTCAGTGTCTGGCTTCTGAACACTCTTCATCACAGTGGTAGAAGGGGAAGAGCATGACAAATCATGTGCAGGAGGTTTGGTGGGCTAGCCTGGAAGAGGTTTATTTTGTTCACAAGCTGTTGGTTAGAACTTAACCTTATGGCAATACTAAATGGTAGGGAGGATGAAAAGCGAGGACTGGTTTTATTGGAGATGTGACATTCATTCTTTGTGACAAGAGATAAATGCTCAGTCTTTAAAGCGCATTTAAAGGTTAAAGGTTGCTTGTCTCAAAACCTGTCCACTTCAAATTGACTTGGCCACAGAGCACCCAGATACCTGATCAATCATTATTCTGGGTGGGCCTATGAGGGTGTTTTTGGATAATATAAATGTTTTCATTGTTAGACCTAGTAAAGCATATGGTCCTTCCTCATGTGAGTGGGCCTCATCAAATCAGCTGAAGGGACTGAACAGAACAAAAGGCTGACCACCTCCTGCAAGTAACAGGGAATTTCCTTCTGTGTGGCTTCATTAAGCTGGATCATCAGTCTTTTCATGCCTTCAGACTTGAACTGAAACATTGCCTCTTCTGGTGTCTCAAGCCTGCTGTATTAGTCCATTTTCACATCCTATAAAGAACTACCTAAGACTGGGTAATTTATAAACAAAAGACGTTTAATTGACTCAGCGTTCTGCATGGCTGGGGAGGCCTCGGGAAACTTACAATCATGGTGGAAGGAGAAGGGAAAACAAGGCATGTCTTATATGGCATTGGAAGAGAGCAAGGTGAGGGAACCACCATATACTTTTAAATCATCAGAGCTTGTGAGAACTCACTCACCCTCACGAGAACAGCATAGGGAAAATCACTCCCATGGTCCAATCACCTCTCACCAAGTCTCTCCCTCAATGCATAAGGATTACAATTACAGATGAGATTTGGGTGGGGACACAGAGTCCAACCATAACATTTTGCCACAGCCCCAACAAAATACCACATCCTTTACACATTTAAAAACCAAACATGCCTTAACAACAGTCCCTCAAAGTCTTAACTCAATCAAGCATTAACACAAAATTCCAAGTACAAAATCTCATCTGAGACATGGCAAATCCCTTCTGCCTCTGAGCCTGCAAAATCTAAAGCAAGTTAATTACTTCCACGATACAGTGGGGTACAGGCATTGGGTAAACCATTCCACATGGGAGAAATTGGCCAACACAAAAGGGCTACAGGCCCCATGCAAGTCCAAAACCCAGCAGGGTAGTCATTAAATCTTAAAGCTGCAAAATAATGTCTTTTGACACAATGTCTCACATACAGGGCATGCTGATGCAAGAGGTGGGCTCCCAAAGCCTTCAGCAGCTCCATCCCTATGGCTCTGCAGGGTAGAGCCCCTGCAACTGCTTTCACAGGCTGACATTGAGTGCCTGCACCTTTTCCAAGCACGTGATACAAGCTGTCGGTGGAACTTCCATTCTGGGTTCTGGAGGACAGTGGCCCTCTTCTTACAGTGATACTAAGCAGTGCCCCAGTAGAGACTGTGTGGGGGCTCCAACCCCACATTTCTCCTCTGCTTGCTTTAGTAGAGGTTTTCCGTGAGGGATTTGCCCCTGCAGCAAACTTCTGCCTCGACATCCAGGCATTTCCACATATCCTTTGAAATCTAGGCAGAGGTTCCCAAACCTCAACTATTGTCTTCTGTATATCTGCAGGCCCAACACTATGTGGAATCTCCCAAGGGACTTGCATCCTCTGAAGCCATGGTCCTGAACTGTGTCTTGGCCCCTTTTAATTATGGTGGGAGCTGGGGCAACTGGGACACAGGGCACTATGTCCTGAGGCTGCACAGAGCAGCTGGGTGCTGGGCCTGGCCCAGGAAACTATTTTTTCCCCCTGAGCCTCCAGGCCTGTGATGGGAGGGGCTGCTGTGAAATCTCTAAATGCCCTGGAGACATGTACCTCATTGTCTTGGCCATTAACACTGGGCTCCTCATTACTTATGCAAATGTCTGCAGTGGCTTGGGCTTCAATTTCTCCCCAGAAAATGAGTTTTTCTTTTCTACCGCATGGACAGGCTGCAAATTTTCCAAATGTTTATGCTCTGCTTCCCTTTTAAACATAAGTTGCAATTGCAGATCATCTCTTTGTGAACACATATGACTGTACGGTTTCAGAAAAAGCCAGGTCATATCTTGAATGCTTTGCTGCTTAGAAATTTCTTCTGCCAGGCACTCTAAATCAACTTCTCTCAAGTCCAAAGTTCCACAGATTTCCAGGACAGGGGCAAAATGCTGCCAGTCTCTTTGCTAAAGCATAGCAAGAGTAACCTTTGCTCCAGTTCCCAATAAGCTCATCTCCATTTGAGACCACCTTAGTCTGAACTTAATTGTCCATATCACTATTAGCATTGTGGTGATTCAACAGATATCTAGGAAGTTCCAAACTTCTCCACATCTTCCTGTCATCTGCTGAGCCCTCCAAACTGTTCCAACCTCTGTCCATTACCCAGTTCCAAAGTCGCTTCCACATTTTAAAGTATTTTTATAGCAGTGCCCTAAACTTCCAGCACCAATTTTCTGTATTAGTCCATTTCCACACTGCTGTAAAGAACTACCTGAGACTACGTAATTTATAAATAAAAGAGGTTCAATAGACTTACAGTTCCACACGGCTGGGGAGGCCCCAGGAAACTCACAATTATGATGGAAGGAGAAGGGGAAGCAAGGTACGTCTAACATGGTGGTGAGAGAGAGAGAGAGGAGAGAACCACCACATGCTTTTAAACCACCAGAGCTCATAAGAATTCACTCACTCTCATGAGAAGAACATGGAAGAAACCACCCCCATGATCCAATCACCTCCCACCAGGTCCCTTTCTCAACATGTGGGGATTACAATTCCAGATGAGATTTAGGTGGGGACACAGAGCAAAACCACATCACCTGCCCACCTTCATATTGAAACTATACCATTAGCTTTGGTTCTCAGGCCTTCAGAATTGAACTGGAACTACACCATTGGCTTTTCTGGATCTCCAGCTTGCCAACTTCAAACCTTGGGAGTTCCCAGCCTCTATAACTGCATAATCCAACTTCCTATTACAAATCTCTGTAGATAGATGGGTAAATAAATGGATATACATACATATATATGTCTCTAGGGTTTACTGGAGAACACTGAGAAATAAAATTTCTAAAGAGATTTATCACTAATCAAATATTTCAAAATGCAATTTCCTCAAGATTACTCAAATAGTAAATATAGAAGCCAAATTAATACAAGCCCAGTCTTTCCACTATAACACACTGCCAGCCACCATTTTTGGCTTATCATTTTTATATAAAACATTTATTTTTCCTTCTTTGACATTTTTTGTAAAATTATAATCACCTGTGCTTTAGCCGCAAAGACATTATTCTAAAAGGTTTGCAGTATATATTTATATTTGTTTTATTTCTTACCATCTTCTTGACTATTTTTCCAAAAATTGAGCCCTTTAGGGAGCTCTCTATTTATATTCATAAGCATAAAGCCGTGTTTTTTTAGGTTTCCTTCTATTTTTTCTTATTGGAAGTAAAAGCAATTGAATTGTTGGTTTTGCTTTATATGAAGCATTTTCTTCTATAATTTTTACTACTCTAATTTTCTGCAGTAACTCCCTTACATTTCCACCAAATCTACATCACAGACTGTTGTGTCCTGGATTAGTTTGTTATTGCTGCATAATCCCTTAACACAACTGAGTGACTTAAAGTAACACACATTATTATCTCACACTTTCTACAGGCCAAAAGTCCAGGGAGCACAGCTAAAGAGGGTTTTGTGATTCTGAGTTGCAGCCTGGAAGAGCCTTACCAGGCTGCAACCCAAGGGTGAGGTGGGCCTATGATCTTCTCTGAGGACCAACTGGTAAAACAGCCACTTCCCCTCCTTTTGTGATTGTAGGATTCTGACTACTGTTTTCTTGCTGGCTGTTGGCCCGCAGCCTGGTTCAGCTCCTGGAGGATTCCTACAGTTCCTTGCCGCTTGGCCTTGTTCATATGCCCTTGCACAATGTGACAGCTTACTGCTTCAAAGCCAGTAACGAAGGGGAATCTCTCTCATGCATGTTAGCAAGCACAAGAAAGATAGGATGGATAGATGGATGGATAGATAGATAGACAGATAGATAGATAGATAATTCATATATATAATACATTGAATGTATACATAAATAAAATCTGCCATATGCATATGTAAAACACTGTAAACATGCATGTATTGAATATAAATATGGTTGTGTTTGTGTGTATGTGTATTTCACAAAAGTCACATTCCATCACTTTTGCCATATGCCATACTCTAGTGGTTAGAAGCAAGTCATTGGTCCTGTCAGCAGTCCAGGGTTGGAGATTATACAACAGTGTGGCTCACTTGGTGCTATGGTTTGAATGTTTGTTCCCCCTTTAAAACTGATGTTGGAATTTAATTACCAATCTAATAGCATTGGGATGTTGGTACCTTAAGAGGTGATTGGCCGTAAGAGCTCTACCCTCATAAATGGATTATGTCATTATATAAAGGGGTTTTAGGAGTAGGCTCTTAGTCTTGGCCCTTCTGCCTTCCACCATGTGAAGATCTAGTGCTCCATCCCCAAAAGGATGCAGTGTGCAAGGGTTCATTTTGGAAGAAGATAATGGCTTCATCAAACACCAAACTTCATGGCACCTTAACCTTCGACTTCCCAGCCTGTGAGTTAATAGACTTCTGTTCTTTATAAATTATCCTGGCTCAGGTGTTCTGCTGTTTATGGCAGCACAAAATAAACTAAGATTCTTGGGATCGCTTAAAGGTGTGTATGTTACATGCCTTAACTTTTTATTTGACAGTTCTTCTGAACAAGATATACCTTTATTTTGTTCCATTCACCAAAAAAAGTATTATCGATGGTAAAATGATCACATTTTACATTAATAGATAATCATCTGTGGCCATAATTAGTGTTCAATGTGATAGTCTGAGTCAGAAATCTCCCTATAATCTCATTGGCCATTATGTCATAAAATTTTTGCCCTAAAAAAGTGAATTAACAAACCAGCATTTGAAAAATGAAGTATTTATATTTGTATTACAGGCATACTTCTGCGATATTGTGGGTTTGGTTCTGGACCATGGCAATAGAGCAAGGCATACCAATTTTTTGGTTTGTCAGTGCATATAAAAGTTACATTTTTACTTTAATTGATTAAGTGTGTCATACAATGACATACAAAAAATATCAATGTGCATACCTTAATTTACAAGTGTTTCATTGCCCAAAAATGCTGACACAAAGATACAAAGTGAGCACCTGCTGTTGGAAAAAAAATGGTGTCAACAGACTTGCTTGATGCCGAGTTCCCACAAACCTTCAATTTGTGAAGGATGCAGTATCTGAGAAGCACAATACAATAAACACAGTGAAGTGAGGAAAACCTGTATTTCACTGGATAGGGTCAGGAAGCAAGCCACATTGCCCATGAGGTGCTCCAGAGAGTGAGACAACCATATGTTACCTTTCTTGTTCATTCCCACTGGCTAAGTCATTTATTTTGAAACATTAAAATCAGAGATGTCATCATTTCAAAAGTTCAATAAATACATGCTGAACACCTACTATGTGCCAGACACCATCCCAGGGTATTGACAGTAACAAAGGAAAAATGAATAAAATGTACATCCTCTGCCCTTGAGAAGTGTTCATTCTAGGTAGAAAGATTTAATATTTATGTAATAAGTGTAAATTCAGAGGTAAGCATAGGGTGCCAAGGGTTATCAATAAGAGAAACCTTGCTAAATTCTAAAAGAAAGCAGCAGTAGGCTAAATAATGGCCTCCAAAGATATTAGAACCTAACCTGGAACCTATGAATGTTGCTTTATATAGATAAAGGCTATTTTTAAATGTCACTAAGTTAAAAGTCTTGAGATGGGAACGTCATGGGCTGAATGTTCAAGTCCTCCAAAAATTCATGTGTCGAAGTCCAGACTCCCAATGTGATGGTATTTAGAGGTGGAGCTTTTCATAGGTAATTAGGATTAGATTAGCTCACAAGGTGGGACCTTCACATTGGAATCAGTGCCCTTGTAAGTAGAGGAAGACAGATCTGTCTCTCTATGCCATCTTGAGCTCTCACTAAGGAAAGGCCATGTGTGCAGACAGCAAGAAGGTGGCTTTCTACAAGCCAGGAAGAGCACCCTAACAAATCACTGAGTCTGCTGGCACCTTGATGTTGGATTTCCCAGCCTCCAGACTGAGAGAAATAAGTGTCTGCTATTTAAGCCATCCAGTTTATGGTATTTTGTTGTAACAGCCTGAGCTGAGTAAAACAGGAAGATTATATTAGATTGCCAGTGTGAGCCCTAGATGCAATGAAAAGTGTCCTTACAAAAAAGAGATAGAAGGAGATTTGACACAGAAGAAAAGGCAATATGACCACAGAGGCAGAGACTGAAATTATGTGGCCACATGCCAAGGGACACTGGAGCCACCAGAAGCTGAAAAAGGCAAGAAAAAAATTCTCCCCTGGTGTTGCTGAGGGTGAGACCCCACTGATGCCTTGATTTCAACATAGTAAAACTGAACTCTCATCTCCAGAACTCTAAAAGAATAGATGGGTGTGGTTTTAAACTGCAAAGTTTGCAGCAACTTGTCACAGGACATAGAAAACTAATACTGAAGGTATTGCAGAGAGAGAGAACAGCTTGAGCAAAATCATGAAGGTAGAAAGCAGTATGGTAAATCCTGGGCACTGAAATGCCTCTGCATTGATTGAGAGCCAAGAATTAGGTAGGAAATCATGGGAATTGGGGCGCATTTACAAGACTAAGGGAAATCATGGTGACCTCATATGGCACGCTATGGACATTATCCTAAAGGGCACAATGAGATATCAAGAAATTTTAAGTATGAGAGCAAAAGTTTTTGATTAGATATTCTACTCTGAAAGTGACATGGAACATGGTTTGGAGGTAGAAAGAGAGGAGATAAAAAGAGGATGAAGAAGGAGAAGCAGGGATACCTCTTAGAAGACTAAGTACCCTCAGAAAGGGTCTTGACAAGCATAACAATGAGATAAAGGAAAAATTTTGAAGAAATAGCCAATGAAAATCTGAAAATCAGCAAGATTTGGTGATTGTTTTGTGGTAGGCCAATGCTTGCTGACAGTCACACACACAGGCCTCCATAGCACTCCCGTTATACAGGCAAACTTCCATGGCATCTGCCTTAACACTAAGTTAATAATTAAACCTAGGGAAATCAATGCCCAGACACCAAAGACAACAATGAAACATATCTTCGGTAAGACCTTTCCCCGGGCTTCTGCTGAAGCCCAGGGCAAGTCAAGATAAAGGAAACTTTCATAAATTCCTTGTCTTGACGAGGTCCTGTCTTGGGTCCACAAAACCTGGGGTGAGTCAAGACAGCCCTTCATTCCTTGTACCAACACCCGTCTTGGATTCAATACATTTGCTGGGGGTCTGAAGCAACTCTCTAGACCCAAACCATAGGTAACATAAGGTAGAAGTAATCAACCTGGTATCAGGGGCCTAATAGATTAAGTAGATTTAGGGGACATTTCTTTATCATCCCGATACCAGAGACCTCATGCATTAAGTAGATTTAGAGGACATTTCTGGCCTCTGACATTTCAGTTAAAACAAAATTCATCACCTATAGACATAGGCGAATATGACACCACACATAGGCATATAGTTCAAAACATATAAAAGGACTGGAAAAACTTTAGAATCCTGAGTTGGTCTGATGAATTCTCTCTGACCTTCTCCCTGTACCTGGTTACTGAAATAAACTCTCTTCTTTCCCAGTTGGTCCGCATCTCGTTATTGGGCTACGAGAACACGAAACAGGACCTGGTTCAGTCTGGGAAGAGCTTAATTAAATTCTGACTTAAATAATTACGTTGATAGTGATGTCATTAAGTGCATTAATTTTTTTTACTTATTTTTACTTCAAGAAATAGTTCAAAGGAAGATATGTTTCCAGTTTTAGACATGTTAAATTTAAGTTACTGTTGGGGCTGTGAACTTCATCTGTGCAGTAGTGAGTTGGCTGTCCAAGTCTAAAGCTAGCAAGAGAAAAAGCAGAGGGGATGAGGCATACAGTTTGTCTTATCAAAACAAGTTTTGATAAGAGTGAAGTTTGCTTTTATAACAGGGTTATACATTGATAGTGAAAGAGTTTCTGAAAAACATTTGTTTTGATCTCTGGAAAAAAGGAGAATGCTGTTTATATAGACTTTTCCACATTTGTTTTAAAAACAGTTTCTTAAGTCAAAGCACCTTACATATTTTGTAAACTTTAAAAAATATATCAAATAAAATACTTTTGCTTATTTTAACAACCCTGTAAATAAGAATTATAAATAATATTATTCCTAGTTTATTGGCATGCACACTGAGGCCCAGAGGGCATTTTAAGTAGATAGCCAAGAGAAATATTCTTAGGAAATAGAAGCTAGAATTCCAGCTACAATTTCTCCGACACGTAATCCTACCATGCTGTGCCTTGACATTGAGATATCTTTTCCCAAAGCTAAATGATTCTTGTTCGTAGCATTTGTTCATATTGATTTTTTAAAATCAGCTTATAGTGTTATATAACAAAACTGAAGATGTTACAGAAATCAAATTTTAAAACAAATTACATTCCTATAATACATAGCAGAGAATTTAACATATAGTAGATATTCCATTTGTCATTTATTGATTGTTGGCTATCTTTGAATGCATACAATCAACCTAAGATTAGTTCCTGAATTTTAATTTAATAGATGTAAATAGTCACATTGTTATTATAACTTCTATTATAGAGAAATCATTTATCTCTGATAGAATTTAGTTATTTATCTAAGCAAAGACTAGTTCTCTTTCACTTTAATAATTAAATTCTTCCCAAAGGAACTCCAGCTGAGAACAGAAACCTTCCCATGTGAATCCGAAACAGAATTTCCTTTTGCAAATCTGTGCAATCTCATGGTCTTTATTCTTAGACTTGTTTTCATTAATTCGATGAAACCAGAATTTAGCTGTGTTCTTCCATACATGTTGCAAATGAAATTGTATTTTGTTATTGGAATCTTTAAAATAATATTCACCCAAAGTATATTTGATAAAGAACACTGTTGGCAATTTTCCTCCCAAGGAACAAAGGCTTTTTCCACATTACCAATGCTTGATTGGTTTTCTTCCCTATATGGAAACATTTTTAAAGCCATTTTGCTACTAGGACTGTTCCTAAGAACTTGGATTCATTACCACTGTTCCCTGTACACCAGATTGAAAACTGTAATAATGACCATTTGGGGAATTAAATTTGAGCAGTATTTCTCCACTGGATCCTACACCTGGAAAGTCCAGCTCCTCTGCAAAGACCCATCTTTATACTCAACTCCATCTCAAGCAAGCATATCCTTCAGCCTGGGGTGCCCTATTCCTCTGTAATCATTGATACCAAGTCAGCTTTTATAATACCATAAAATCTGAGTCAGAACAAAATTAATATAGAGAAACAAAATATGTTCAAAGATGTTCAGGAAAAGCATGGATAGAAATAATTCAGTGGGTGATTGGTGGTAATGAAGATGAACAAGCAATTCAGAGAAACATTCATGGAAACTTGTTTGTAGAAATGGAATGAGTTAAAGGATGATGAAAAGTTTTCAGGTCTGGAATAGTAGGACACTAACTGCCTTAGTAACAGGAGCAGGAAAACTGGGAAGGAAAGATAATTTGGGTTTCAATATTATTATATTTGAGAGTAAGATGAGGGCCAGACATCATTAACACAGAGAAGTCAAGCATACAATGAGAAATAATTAATTATTTAATTAATTGAAATGAAGCAAGCAACTCAGCATATTACATTTATCTATAGTTGGTGAATGGAAAGCATTATATGAGATAGCTATTACAGAAAAATTTTGACCTTTTGATTAAATAAACTGCTTTGTACGTAAGCCTACATGGAACATTTTAGATTTCATGTCTTTTAAACAGGTTATTGACAGTTAGGTTGTATTACCATATCCAGAGAAACAGAGAATATCATATATTTCCTGTATCCATTCCTGTGGCCCATGTAGTGACCAAAACTCCTCACCTCCAAGGTTAATTAGTAAGGACAGCAATCAATAGTAACTGAGGGGTTACAAAGGCACCACACATTTGGGCTTTGGCTTTTAGGAAAAGAAAGAAACTACCTGAAAAGCACTTGAACCAGGATAGCCTCTATGGAAAGCTATTTTCAAGAGCCTAGGTGAATTTGCTTTTGTTAGGGAAAAAAATATATTATGTTGAAACATTGTGTATATAATGAAATAGTCATTGGCTGGAATCTTACTGATATTATTCTTAGTTTCAGGAAAGAGAAAACAAGATTGCCTGTATGTGAATATCAACTAGTCTTTCCTAGATAGTCTCTATAGAGAGATGGACTGTCTTTCATTTTTAGGGGGAAAATGTTTATAACAGAGATCTATCTATAAAGTAAGCTGAAACGAGCAGGGCAAGGATAATTAAATTTATTTTGTAGGTGGGAAGCAGAGACAGAGATTAAATAACTATCTCATCAAAAAATTATACATCAAAAATTGGCAAATCTATGCTTTAAACAAGTCTTGGTATTAAAATTACTTTGGGCTTTCCTAGAAAAGTGCAAGCATATTTGGGAAATTTCCAACATTTTAAAATCTGGCATACACCTATTTCAGGTAGTTGCCATATTGTAAATCACTAATCAATAACTCAGATGCATTCAAGTAACAAGCAAATAACATACATGGGTGAAATGGCCAAAAATAAGACAAAAGGTGTTTCTGTACGTGGTGGTTAACTGAAGAAGGAATTCCCACCCCACTTAAAGGTGATCAAATACAAAGTTAGAACAGAAGAAATAAGCTAAAACTAACTGAACTTGTGCCCTGCAACAACAATTTTAAAAGCCTTTTATATAAGGGATTACATTTTAGATTTGTGGGAATTTCACAATTTTAACATGGTATAAAACATAACTTAGTTATGTTTTTTAAAAAATTTTAAATGTGCCCAGACATAAAAAATCAAGATTCATGTCATCAAACTACTTGTTGGTTCAAATCCAGGACTGAAAAATCTCACAGAGAAAACCAAAACAAGAAACCGAATACATTACCAAAAATAAAGTTGAAAATAAATTTAAAAATAAACTAAAAATAAAACAAATGAGAACAAAACAAATATACTTATCCTGAAAGGAACCTGATTGTAGAGCCGTAGTCCTGTGTAACACTTTGCTAGGTAAAAATATGCATGAACTTCTGCAAATGCCATATAATTTAAAACTCAATAATGCTGACAGTAAATTACTTTTCTAAATTTTCAAAATCAGACATTACCATTATTCATTTTCACAGTCCAACTGACTTGTTTTAAATTTGATCTTATAATACAAATGATTACCATTGCCTCTTGCATTTCAGACCTTCCATACAGAATAATTTTCTTCTCCCAAAATCATATACTTTATAAATGCCTGGTGACAATCTGTTGGAAGTAAGCGCTATGCTTATTTTGTCTGGAAGTGTCCTTATTTCTCTCTTGTTCTTGAAAGATTATGTCTTTGGATATATATTGGTTGGCTCATATTTAATCTTTGTCCTCTGAAATGATTATCCCATTCTATTCTGCCTTTCATTATTGCTATTCAGAATCAACTATCAGTCTTTGAAGGTAATCTATGTCTTCTCTCTGTCTTTTATCCCCTAGCATCTATCTTTTAAAATAGATACATAATATTTGTACATATTTGTGGGGTACATGTGATATTTTGTCATATGCACAGAATTGTAATGATCAAGTCATGCATTTAGGGGATACATCACCTTGAGTATTTATCAATTCTATGTGTTGTGAACATTTCAACTCCTGTCTTCTAGCTATTTTGAAATATACTATACATTGTTGTTTATTGTAGTCACCTGACTCTGCTAATGAACATTAAAACTTATTCCTTATATCCAACTGTATGTCTGTATCCATTAACCAACCTGTCTTCGTCCTTCCAACCCACCCACAAATCCCTAACAGCCCTTGATATCTATCATCCTACTCTCTATCTCCATGAAACCAATTTTCTAAGTTTCCATATAGGAGTGAAAATTTGCTATCTGTCTTTCTGTGCCTGGCTTATTTCACTTCACGTAATGTCCAGTTCCATCTATGTTGTTGCAAATGATACGATTTCATTCTTTTTACAGCTGAATAATATTCCATTGTGTGTATGTACCACTTTTTTTTTTAGTCATTAATCTGCTGGTGTGGACACAAGTTGATTCCAAATCTTGGCTATTGTTAGAAGTGCTGTAATAATGGTGGGGATGCAGATATCTCTTCAATGTACTGATTTCCCTTCTTTAGATATATAGCCATCAGTGGGATTGCTAGATCATATGGTAGTTCTATTATTATTTTGAGGAAACACCATATTGTTCTCCATAGTGGCTCTACAAATTTACATTCCCACGGGGTGTTCTGCTTGCTCCATATCCTCACCAGCATTTGATATTGCCTGTCTTTTGGATAAAATTCTGATATAGTCTCATGTTTTCACTCACAACTTATGTCAAGGGGTTCATTAAAGAACTCAGCCTCAAGTGGAAGTCATATTTATCCACAAAGGCACTCAGTTTTGGAGTCAATTTGGCAAAGTTTCTTTTGCAAAGAAATAAAATTCTAATAGTCACTTGTGTCATTTTTAGTTTCACTTGCTCTTCATCAAAAATATTGCTCTAAAAATCTCTGTATGTGACTGAATTTAAAGTTAAGCAAAGCATTTCCACACTTTAGTTAGAAAATAATATTGAATAATGTCAGATAAAAAATGTAGAATAATTAATTTTATTTTCTGACTTCTAGTTTGTGGCTATACATTAGTTTAGAAGTGTAATCTTTAAACAGCCTCATTGAAGCTTCATAAAGTCGAAAATCTGGACTCATGAAATTAATTGCTGTTTCCTCCTTCCCTTGTTCATTTTAGCTATGATCCAAATAAACAATTTAAAGCTATCTGTGAAAGGATAATTATGCCAATTAGATTCAGTTGATTGTGTTCTTAAAAAATTAGAGCCCAGAAAATTAGTCTTTATGTGTTACAATTCCAATCTTTGTAATTCAAAACTATAGTAAAAATTTCACTCAAAATGACCTTCAGAATAATTCAGTTTGTTTCGAAATATCCTTGTATATAGCAAAAGAAAATTGAGGGTGTAGCAGTAGATGTGTGTCTTATATGTGTTCCATAATTTTTAGAGTTTGATTTCTGTTCAGTTATCTTGAGTATTTTAACCTCATCTTTATAGGAATAGTGGACTAAAAGTCTACACTTTTTATTAGGAGGCGATCCCTTTAATTCCCCAACCCAGCCTGTTGGGAGAGCCAACAAGCATGGATAAATTCCAGAATGCTTGTTTCAAAGACCCGTTAAAAACACTATTCTTATCCACAACTTACCCTTTCTCTGTCTATTTCAGACAACGACTTGTACTCGCTCCTTCCAGTATCCTGCTCACTTTTAAAAATATACTTTTGCTTCTGACCTTGGCTCTGGTATATATAACTTCTGACCCAATTTTCATCTCCTGGCTCATACATTGTCTCCATTCAAAGTGTGTTTATATTTGAACTAAATTCCCAGGTAATTCACCTGTCAGCTTTGGCCTTTGGCAAGTAGTTTATGATCTCCCCGATGAGACTTTTGTCAATTCAGACCACCGTGTTTAGAACTAAATTATCTCTCAGCTTTAATCTTTAACATTATTTTTAAGACCTCTATTTCATAGATCAATAAGACTTGCAAACCGAATCAAAAATGTTAATGTCATTTCAAGTCAGCAACTTGCCTGTTTTAGAGAAATTATCTGCTCTGTGGAAGGAAAATGTTCTGTCAAATGAGTTTACATAGAATATGATAATAAAGTTGACTTTGTAAATAACAGGTGCAGTCTCTATAGCGCCCTGCATTTGATAAAATGACCACTGAGGTAATAGAAAATTCTACAGTAAATTGTAGTGGTTAACAGATTGAGCTCTGAATTCTCAGTATCCATCAATCGTTACTATATAATTTTGGATAATTGGCCTCACCTTTTTGCATTTCAGTTTTTAATCTATAAAATGGGTATGATAATTGTGACTGTCAAGGATCTTATGGAAAAATTATTAACTTATTGTAAAAAGTAAGCACTTAAGTGTCATCTCATTATTATCTCACAATTGCTTTTGAAATTAGAGACTTGATGTTTCTTTAGGCCTCTAGTGTCTTAGGATAAGCTGAGGAGATTATTCCTGCTCTCTAATTCTAGCAAAGGGAAAAAAAGTGTTGTGTCAAAATATACAGTTACAAACAAACAAATATTCACTTTAGTTTCTAAAATCTAGAATAGGAGAGCAGGAATAGTCTCTTTGCAATAGAGTTACAATCTTGAGCTAACAGTATACCCAGAAGGATAGTTTCCCCTTAGGAGTTCTAACACTTTAGAGCATCTAAATTCCTAGAGAATTTGTCAAAATGCAGGTTTTGGGGCCACACACAGACCCACCAAATAAGAATTTTTGTGGAGGTCTACCCCAAGAAAATGCATTTCAATAAATAACCTAGATAATCTTGAAGTAGATGGTGAATGGTTACAACATAATTGGAAAACAAGCTCAAGGTGCTAAAATCAAAGTTCCCAAGCAGAAGAGATGTCTAGGGAGGCCTAATGGGGCTATTCACCTAATCAGCCCAGCATCATCAGAGGTCACTCAACCATTCATACATACTTGCCAGTTTCCAAACAAATGCCTGCCAAAGTATATTTTATGGTCATTGTCCCAGATTTGATGCATTTGATTGATGGAATGGGGTGCCCCTATATTGTACTTTACATGGTAATCATGCCAGTGATAGAAGCATAAACCATGCCCTGCAAAATGGTGAACAATTTTGTATGTTTGGCATGTTTGAGGAACTGAAAATGTATACTATTTACTGTAGTAAATTAAGGAGGATAAGTTGTTTTAAATGATGTAAAAATAGACAAGAGGCAGATTATAAAATAACTTATAGGGTAAAACAATCATTTTGAATTTTCTTTTTAGAGCTAAAGAAAGCCTTTACAGGTGACTGCCTCTACCACTTAACCAGCAGCATCGACATTATCTGGAAGTATATTAGAATATAGAATTACAGGCCCTATTCCCGATTTAGGGAATCAGTAATTATCTTTAAACAAAATCCCTAGGTTATTCTTATGCACATTAAAGTACAAGATAGGCCCGACGCCAGGTGGCTCACACCTATAATCCCAGCACTTTGGGAGGCCGAGGTGGGCAGATCACCTGAAATCAGGAGTTCAAGACCAGCCTGGCTAACATGGCAAAACCCCATCTCTACTAAAAATACAAAAATTAGCTGGGCGTGGTGGTGCATGCCTGCAGTCCCAGCTACTCGGGAGGCTGAGGCAGGAGAATTGCTTGATCCCGGGAGGCAGAGGTTTCAGTGAGCAGATATCGCGCTGTTGCGCTCCAGCCTAGATGACAAGAGCAAAACTCCATCTCCAAAAAAAAAAAAAAAAAGTACAAGATAGTACTACTTTAGTTTATGGAACAGTACGGAAGAGGCAGAAGAGTTAAGCAAAGACAGTACTAGTTTATACATGAGAAACTAGGGCCACTGACTTGGTCTTCAGTGTTTTAGAGAAACCCTTCTCAAAATTTAATAGGGATCTGTGTGCTACTGCTACTAGTATTGTCCAAAACGATTCATCACCCTATGCAATAAAAGAGGTGGATAGTTTTCACTAAGACCAAGAATAATATCTCTTGCATCTATGTATTCTCAGTACCTATCCAGGATTTACATGTGAATGTCAATGACTAATATTTTGAGAGAGAAGTAAAGGAAGTGAAGGCAAGTCACTAATTTCAAAGCAACTTTTCATGATAGATCTACAGGATGTGTAACAAAGTGGGATCTCAGAGATTGTCTATTTCAGCCCTTTTAACTAAGAGGTATTTTAAAGGATTCCTCCTGGCAGAGCTTTCCCAATTTATTGTTTTGATCTTAGAAACTTGTCAAACTTTAATCTGGGCTATTCTTCTTTTTCCTAAGTTACCACTTTGAAATTTTATGTCTTATTAAGTCAATATGTTTTATGGCTGTTGTATTATTTTATCTGAACTACTTTGATTATTGCTCTTTAATATTATAGCACAATATGTACTTTAAGAAATTGTGGGCCAGGCGCAGTGGCTCATACCTGCAATCCCAGCACTTTGGGAGGCCAAGGTGGGTGGATCATGAGGTCAGAAGATTGAGACCATCCTGGCCAACATAGTGAAACCCCGTCTCTACTAAAATTATGAAATTAGCCAGGCATGGTGGCAGGTGCCTGTAATCCCAGCTACTTGGGAGGCTAAGGCAGGAAATCACTTGAACCCGGGAGGCAGAGGGTGCAGTGAGCCGAGATGGCGCCACTGCACTCCAGCCTGGAGACAGAGTGAGACTCCATCTCAAAAAAAAAAAAAAAAAAAAAAAAATTGTGTGCCAGTTGGGCACAGTGTCTCACACCTCTAACCCAAAAACTTTGGAAGGCCAAGACAGGAAGATCACTTGAGCCCAGGAGCTCAAGGCTGCAGTGAGCTATGATCATGCCACTGTACTGCTGCTTGGGTGACAGAGAGAGACCCTGTCTATAAGAAATATATATAAAAATAAATAAATAATTTTAAAAATTGTGTTCTATTTTAATAAAAAACTATTCTCCTTTAAATAAAAGCTAATCTTTAACACTGAATAGCTATTATGTATGTGCATATATATGAATAATATATATACACAATTAGTATAAGGAATAGTTAAATATATCAAAATTTATATATGTAATTAGTAGTTATGTAATTAGTTACAGACTAAGTTAAATAATGACTATAGATTTCATGAAAGTTTTTATTCATAAGTGTTGTAGTCACCCCCACAGGCACGGGGTGTACCCTACTCAAATTTTGATTTGGATATTGAAAAGGGTAACCCACACCAATAGGTGATGGAAAGGTTTATTACTCAAATAATGAGGCTTTCTGGGAAGAAGAGTGCAGCCTCCTAAGGAGGCCCAAATGCCTTAGATAAGTAGGGAATTGTCACTATCTTAGCTTTTAGTGGGATTAGGGATGGGGCTGGCATGAGGGGTCCAGTGCCCATGTGCCAGGGCCTGTGGGCTTTGAACTTCATGCAGGCACCAGGAAGCACTCTGGCTTTCTCATCAGCTTGCCCAGATGTGGGGTAGAAGGGAAAGAGAAAGGAGTGCAGTTTCAAAGTTATCAGCTGTGATTTTATCTTAAATATGTAGGTGCATTGGTGAAACCTAAGAAAAAAATAATTTGAAGAAATCTGAAAAATATGCATCACATATTTTCAAATAATTAAGCTAACTGCAATAAATGGATAATAAGGCATTTCAATAAATTTTCAATATAGAGGAAGGTATAATCATTTCTTTGTTAGTCCAGATTGTTCATCGTTCTTTTTAAATGTTGTACACAGTTCAAAATATTTCTTACAGTTACAAGGTTCATAATATAAAACTTTCCAAAAGGCATGTAAATGTTTTATATTAGTGTAAAAAGTGTAATTTATATTTGATTTTCTTAAATTACTTTATATATTTCCACCTTTTAAAAAGCTGCAGCCTTTTAACTAACCTTCTTATTTATAAATTCAACATTTTTACTAAAGCCAAATGATCATGAATCCACAAAAGACTGTATTCTAAATTTCATGAGATTTTATTATCATTAAGAAACAGGTGATTTGACTTTCTAATATTGACGCTGATCTTCTGACATAAAGAAGCTCTAACTGTATTTGCAGAAGTTTATTCTAAAACATCAGCATTTCCACCATAACAAGAGAACAGAGGTTGAAAAGTTCTGAACCTACTCATGACTTTAATGTTTCTACTTTTAGACCAGGACTGACCTTTCTCAGGCACAGGTTTTGAAGGGAACATTCACATGACTTTTGGGACTTTAAAATATTAGAAACTTTCACCCTCAAGTTTATATGATTGATGGCCATACATTTCTTATTTTATAGCCAGGGTGGGATGAAAAGCAATGTTATTTTGACAATTTGGTGGCAAAAACTCTAAAGAATGTTCTTTTCTTAAAATAGTACAGAAAATCTATTATGGGAATACGAGATTGGTTAGTCAAATCCTGGCAACTCGAAATTATTATTTCTACTATATAGTCATTGTGGTGTGTCCTTGCCTGCTAAGACTATTGAAATTTAAAAATATATTGTTGAAAGAATATTGTGAAGCTGGAGTATGCACGTCCTCTTTAGGTAAAGAGCAAGAATATTTCTGCTATTGAAATTCAAGTACTCATGAAGCCCAGTTCAAAATTTACTCTGTCCTTCAAATTTACCCAGGTATATCTGATATATTTGATCCCCCATGTATTTAATGATCTCATTGTGTACTCTACCAGAATAGCATTTATCACATTATGCCTTGGTTACTGTTTTGAATTTATATAACTTTCTTGAAGTTTTTCCTATAATGATTCAGTCTTGGATTGATATGCCCTTTAAAGTAACATACGGCTGGGCACGGTTGTTCATGCCTGCAATCCCAGCACTTTGGGAGGCCGAGGTGGGTGCATTACTTGAGGTCAGGAGTTCAAGACCCGCCTGACCAACATGGTGAAACTCCGTCTCTACTAAAAATACAAAAATTAACCGGGCATGGTGGCAGGCATCTGTAATCCCACCTACTCAGGAGGCTAAGGCAGGAGAATCGCTTGAGCCCGGGAGGCGGAAATTGCAGTGAGCCGAGGTTGCAGTGAGCTGAGATCACGCCATCACACTCCAGCCTGAGCAACAGAGCTAGACTCCGTCTCAAAAAACAAAAATAAAATATAAAAATTAAAGTAATATACATTAAAATGAAGTCAGTTTTTATAATATTAAAAGATAGCTGAGAAAGTAATCTCAGGCAGAAGTACATATCTCTGGAAATAAGCATATTTTTTATGAAATCTGTGTTCTATAACATGCTGACTAGAAAGGATCCATGAAGAGGGAACTCTTCATAATGAAGTGAGTAAGACAACCCATCCTGGGAGAGCCTGTCAGACATGATCATATGTGTTCACAGAGTCCATGGCAGCAAGAAGAAAGGCTGTGCATGGTCTCAAAATACTGAACATGTCTCACCAAGGCTGATCTTCCCACTACCATTAAGGTCCCAATTGCAATGACAAGTTATGAGCCCCTAATCTGGCACAATTTCCTGGCAGTACCAGCCATGGTGGCAGGTTGTTTCCATTACTTCCTTGCATTATTACAGGAGCAATCATTTATACTCAGAACAGATTCATATCTCAGTTACAGATTTGCTTTTCCTGTCTGAAACACTTCTGTCAGCACCACCATTCATGACTGACATTCCACACATCATCAGGGAACTGATGATTTGACATTCCATGATTGATTTGACATTCCACACATCATCAGGGAACTCATTTCATGGCAAAGGGATGGTGGGGTCACCTACTGAAGGCTCAGTTATAACATCATCTGGGATGCAACAGCTGTACACTCAGAACACTCTCTTATAATACGTGATATATGCCTCAAACCAGAGGCCACATGTGTTGTCATCTACTCTAGAGCCATCTAGCCTAGTAACAAAGGAAAAGAAAACAGCCTCTCTCATTGACAACAAGTAAACCACTTACACATATCTGGGAACTCAGTCAGTAGATCAGAAGGTTTTAGTTCATAAAAGGTTAATGTTTCCAGTAGGGTACACATGATCCTATTAAATTGAAAGCTGAGACTACTCCTGGCTATTCTGGGCTCCCCGTGTTCCTGATTCTGCAGGCAAAGTGAGAGATCACTGTATTGGCTGGTATGACAGATTCTAATTTCTCAGGGGAAATGGAGCCAGAGTTACTCAATGAAGATAAGGAGAATATACCTGAAACTGAGAAGTCATCACTGACACACCCCATAGTATTCCTCTTCTGAAAGTGCTAGTACACCAGAAATTTGAAAGCGCCAACCTAATAAAGTCAGGACCAGCAAGGATTCAACCTATGTAAATACACAGGTTTCAGTTCACTCATCAGAAAAGGAATCTCATCTAGCTATTTATAGATGGTAGTTCTCAATCACAAGCACTAAGTACAATTATTTTATTTTTACTCAGTACAAACTTTATTGGCAAAAATGGTAATTTATTGTAAATGGTTCTTAATAGTTTTATTTTATGTATCTTAATGGATGTAAGATATTTTACCATCAGATTAAACATAATTACTTATCTAGCCATCTGATTATTTTATGATTTTTATCTTTATCTCCTTAATTCATTTGAAATTTATTGATACATAGTTTGAGGTATTTCATATGTATGTATTTATCTATTTATTTTTGAGATGAAGTCTCGCTCTGTTACCCAGGCTGGGGTGCAGTGGCACGATCTCAGCTCACTGCAACCTCCGCCTGCCAGGTTCAAGCAATTCTCCTGCCTCAGCCTCCTGAGTAGCTGGGAGTACAGGCACGTGCCACCATATCCATCTAATTTTTGTATTTTTAGTAGAGACGGGGTTTCACCATGCTGGCCAGGCTGGTCTCGATCTCCTGACCTTGTGATCTGCCCTCCTCGGCCTACTAAAGTGCTGGGATTACAGGTGTGAGCCACCGCGCTGGGCCTAGTTGGAGGTATTTCTGTAAATTTCTGTCAAAATAATTAATAATCCTACAACTACTGTTGAATGATTTTAATTTTATTTATTTTAATTATCATATACAATTAATGCTTTCTCAAAGGCTTGAAATATAATTGTTATTATTACCCAACTTTTTTGTGTTTTCAAATTTTCATCATTTATTTTAGATACAGGGGGTCTTATTTGTTTTACATGTGATAAAAATTATATATATTATTTCAATTACTGGTGACAAAATTTAATATAGAACTCTCTTTTATGAAAAACATATTTTGTCCATTGTTAGGGATGAAAGATGATTTTTTGAGACCATGTGGCAGGAGGTTTATGCTCTGAAGAAATAAGAAAAAAAAATTAAGGAGAGGGAATTCCTAAAAAAGAGAGTAGTAAAAGAAGGAGAGAGGAAAACGTCAAGTAATAGAGGAAGTCTCACATGAAGGAGAATAACTTGCTTGGTGGCTGAAGGACATTTACGTGGAGTTTTCTTCCTTTTTTTACTCCACAAACATTTACTAAATGTTTACGGCAAAGACATTATTCTGGCTATTGAGTCATAAATCCCTCAAAAGCTTATATTTTAGATGAGAGAAAAATAATAAATACAAAATCAAGTGAATCAATAAGAATTTCAGACACCAATATTTAAAACATAAGACAGAGAATGGATATGGTTGTTGCAAAAAGTGAGGTGAGGTGGGTAATTAAGAAACACAGTCTCAAATGTTTCCATTGCTGCCCTGTTAAAGCACTCTCTCATTCCCCAACTTGTATATTCTGCTACAAATTCTAATATTTCAAGCAACAGGGATGAGTTACCTGGTTAGGCCCATATTCTTGGGCCTTTTGTCTTACAAAAGAAAAACAAGGACAGGAATTGAGGCTGAAGTAATTATGAGACACAAGTCCTGAAACTGAAAGAAACGCAATAAACTGCCAACTAGATAGTAGTAAATAGAAGGATGACCTCAGTTGGCATGATACATACATACACACACAAACACACATGCACACACTTTGTGTTATTTTAGTTATTCTTATATCAAGATCACACTCTTCATTTAAGTAGAATTATGACAGTGATAATAGTTTCCAATTATCTGACATCTTTTGAAGCATTTTTTATTTTTTTCATATTTACCTAATTTGTCATATTTTTAAAAAAACTCTAGGTTTTATTGGAATTTTCTTATACTTTTAGTTACAAAATATTTTGACTGGTTTAGTCAGGACCTACATGTAACTCAAGTAGCCTTGAGTTACTCAGTTGTCTTTAGAGTGACATGTGAAGATTTAGATTTTTTATCTTGAAAAGGTAAATAGAGGTTGAGGGGAGCAAGGTTTACACAAAGGAAAAATATGAAGAGCAGGGACTCTATCTACTCGTTGATGACCAAGATCTGATGGAAACAGGTCATGAGATAATTAGAGAGACCCAAGCAATGGTCAGAGTTGCTTCGTCATCTTGAAGGGATCACTTGTAGCCCATTGCTGTGAAAAAAGCCCACACCATGATCACTGTGAACATCTTACTCCTCTTTGACGATCTAAATAGCTGCAGTTTATAATCACGCAGGGACAGCAACCTTGTCACTACTGTTGGTATTCTCATACAGGAGCTGACAGCTGTAAAAGAAATGATACTCTTAAGTGTCTTTGTAACATTCGAGAGGCAGAAGTGGATTTGGAAAGGAAAGATGGTTCCTGGAAGATACTGCAAAGTGGCTGTAAACAGAGCAATGTTCTGTGGGTATAGGTGAGGCACTCCTTTGGAAACTCCCAGAAATAATAGGAGGACCCTTAAATATGATCTCATTGTCTGGTAGGCAGTGCTCATTTTGGATGATAATGAGGGACTCTAAGAATGACCATGCCAGCTGGAACAATACAGGCAATCTTAATAATCAATAAGAAAATTGTGATTTTTTCCCCCAAGACTATTAAGTTTTTCACAAAACATTAAAAACTTTCTTATTAACAGTTATAAGATTATAAGAAAATGAAAAAATGTTAAACAAATTTTTTTTAGTATACTCTAAAGTAAAACTTTAGAAACATTACAGTGTTTGATTTCTTTGTAAAAAAATACTTGTCAAGAGTACTTTGAATAAAGATGACTTCTTTTGTCACATAAATTACAACACAAGCAAGCATCCTCTCTATGCCTTAGTAAATAGAATTACTCCTTTTAAAATTTGAATCAGCTTCCAACATTTTATTCTGTAGCTTTTATTATCATGAAATATCTCTGAGAGTCCCTCTAATGTGAATTTTTTATCAACAGCAGTTCCTTTGAGATATCTTGCCTCATTCTGTTGGTAAATTTGACTTTGCTACAAGCGTCTGCCTGCATATCTACACTAACAACAGTATTTTCAACATTCTTGAAAGCAGCCTTTTTTTTTCTATAACTTCATTTGCATCCTATTTTAGTTTTATTTCCTGCCTTGTCACTTTTCATTTATTTGCTGCACTTTTATCTTTTTGGCCAGTGGCCATTTTCTAGTTACCCACTTTTGTAAATGTCACATAGATTTTTCACTGGGAAATAAGGAGGCAACACAACTACATACTTTGCTGTCTCAGGGTGAACTGAGTAACAGATACACAGAGACTCATCACTGACAGACTGTCAAAGAAGTGACAACTGGTCAGAGATTGTAATGTGCATCCGTTTTTTAGTAATGTGTGGACCGTAAGACTAATAGCAAAGTTTGTGCTTTATGTAATTACCCACAGGTAAGAGAAAATAGTAAGTAAAATATGAATTGTGTTGGGGGATTGGTATTTAACTAAACTGCAGTAACTAAAATGAATGCATATTAGAACCAAGCAAAGCCAGAACTGCCTGCCTATGAGTGTGTTTCTGGGAACATATTTATTTATTTTTATTTTATAGTTTAAATAATTGACCTTTATTTCCCAAACAAAATATTGGTTTTTATGCTCCCTTATTTTCTTCTACTTTTTGGGAATTTTCCTCAGTTTTCTCTATTTTATGATGAGAATTTTATTTAGAGAATCACATTTTTTGAAAATGTATAAGGTAGACTTTTTTATAATTTCAACTTTTAGATTCAGGGGATGCATGTGCAGATTTGTCCCATTGCTATATTGCATGGTGCTGATATAATTAAATATTGAATCATTCCTTACAGGAAACTTACAAGTTACTTCATTTATTTAAAATTATAAAAAGCATTTCACTATTAAATTAAACAGGTATTGTGTTTTTAAAATGAATTCCTAGATAGTTTATAACATGCCATTACTTTGTGGTGACATATTTCTCTTTCAGCTTTTCTAACTAGTTATTTCTGATATCGGTAAGGATAATATTTTTGTCAATGTACTGAACACAGTACAGTAGAATTAATAGATTTTTTTAAACTTTGTTTTTTTTCTTTTTTCTTTTTTTTTTGAGACAGAGTTTTGCTCTTGTTACCCAGGCTGGAGTACAACGGCGTGATCTTGGATCACTGCAACCTCTGCCTCTGGGTTCAAGCAATTCTCCTGTCTCAGCCTCCTGAGTAGCTAGGATTACAGGCATGTGCCACCACATCTGGCTAATTGTGTATTTTTAGTAGAGACAGGGTTTCTCCATGTTGGTCAGTCTGGTCTCAAACTCCCAACCTCAGGTGATCTGCCTGCCTCAGCCTCCCAAAGTGCTGGGATTACAGGTGTGAGCCACCATGCCCAGCCTGTTTCTTATTTATCTCAAAATAAAAAAAAAATACAAAAATATGTTTTTTCTTTTATTTTTCTATAATTATAACTCGTAAGTTATAAAATTATTCAAAATTTATAAATGCATATTTTTTCCTATTTTATTGCATTGGCTATGATCTCTAGAATGATATTTTCATGTTCCAAAATTAAGTATAAAATTTAATATTTTATGATTAAGTTGTTAAGTCATGATTTCTAGCTGTGGTAAGAAAAGTTAGTTTTATTATTAATTTTTAAATAATACTATAAAATTAGATAATACAGTATATCAAATGTAGAAACTTTTATCCTTTGACTCATTAATATTATATAATTATTCGTGTGGATTTTCTAATATGACTTTCTAAGGATACTGCCTCCCCACTCAGGAGAAAGAGTTGCAAGTTGGCTCAAGATGCTTCTATTTGATAAGCTCTGTCCCATGTCTATTACAATGGTTTCAGCATGTAGTTGATAGAATTCCTTAATTTATATCACAGATTCAGGATTTCCTTTCTTTTTTTTTGAGACAGAGCCTCTCTCTTGTCACTAGGCTGGAGTGCAGTGGTGCAATCTTGGCCCACTGCAACCTCTGACTCCCTGGTTCAAGCGATTCTCCTGCCTCAGCCTCCCGAGTAGCTGGGATTACAGGCACACATCACCATGCCCAGCTGATTTTTGTATTTTCAGTAGAGATGGGGTTTCACCATGTTGGCCAGGATGGTCTCGATCTCCTGACTTCGTGATCCACCCACCTCAGCCTCCCAAAGTGCTGGGATTACAGGTGTGAGCCACCACACCCAGCTGCTTGGGATTTCCTTTGTGCGTTCAGAATGTAGTCATCAGAATGGAGGAATAGAAGTAAGAAAACTTTTTTTTTTCCATAAGACGGTCACAACATCAGAGATTGGAAGAAAATAATACTAGAAAAAGATAAGAAATGGTCAATACAATTGTTATGGTTTGGCTCTGTGTCCCCACCCAAATCTTATCTTGTAGCTCCCATAATTCCACCTGCTGTGAGGAACCCAGTGAGAGATTGTTGAATCATGGGAGCGGGTCTTTCCCATGCTGTTCTAGTGACAGTGAATGGGTCTCATGAGATCTGATGGTTTTAAAAATGGAAGTTTCTCTACACAAGTTCTCTCTCTTTGCTTGCTGCCATCCATGTAAAATGTGACTTGCTCCTCCTTTTCTTCTGCCATGATTGTGGGACTTCCCTAGCCATGTGGAACTGTAAGTCCATTAAACCTCCTTCTTTTGTAAATTGCCCAGTCTTGGGTACCTCTTTATTAGCAGTGTGAAAACAGACTAATACAGTAAATTGGTACCAGTAGAGTGGGGTGCTGCTGAAAAGATACCCCAAAATCTGGAGGTGACTTTGGAACTGGGTAACAGGCAAAGATTGGAACAGTTTGGAGAGCTCAGAAAAAGATAGGAAAATGTGGTAAAGTTTGGAACTCCCTGGAGACTTGTTGAATGGCTTTGACCAAAATGCTTATAATGATATGGACAATGAAATCCAGGGTGAAGTGGTCTCGATGGAGATGAGGGACTTGTTGGGAACTGGAGCAAAGGTGACTCTTATTATGTTTTAGCAAAGACACTGGTGGCATTTTGCCCCACCCTAAAGATTTTTGGAACTTTGAACTTGAGAGAGATGATTTAGGGTATCTAGTGGAAGAAATCTGTAAGCAGCAATGCATTGAAGACTTGACTTGGGTGCTATTAAAGGCATTCAGTTTCAAAAGGGAAACAGAGCATAAAAATTTGGAAAATTTGCAGCCTGACAATGCAATAGAAAAGAAAAACCCATTTTCTAAGGAGAAATTCAGGCCTGCTGCAGATATTTGCATAATTTACAATAAGCCGAATGTTAATCACCAAGACAATGGGGAAAATGTCTCCAAGGCATGTCAGAGACCTTTGCAGCAGCCCCTCCCATCACAGGCCCTGAGGCCTAGGAGGAAAAAGTGGTTTCATGGGCCAGGCCCAGGGTCCTCCTGCTGTGTGCATCCCAGGGACTTGGTGCCCTGCATCCCAGCCACTTCAGCTGTGGCTGAAAGGGGCCAACATAGAACTTGGGTTGTGGCTTCAGAGGTGCAAGCCTCAAGCCTTGCCAGCTTCCATGTGGTGTTGAGCCTGTGAATGCATAGAAGTCAATAACTGAGGTTTGGAAACCTCCACCTAGATTTCAGAAAATGTGTAGAAATGCCTAGATGCCCAGGCAGAAGTTTGCTGTAGGGGCAGGGTCCTCATGGAGAACCTCTGCTAGAGCAGTGCAGAAGGGAAGTGTGGGGTCAGAGCCCCCACAAAGAGTCCCTGCTGGGGCACTGCCCAGTGGAGCTGTGAGAAGCGGTCCACCATCCTCCAGACCACAGTATGGTACATCCACTGACAGCTTGCACCACGTGCCGCAGACACCTAGCACTAGCACATGAAGGCAGCCAAGAGGGAGGCTGCAACCTGCAAAGTCACAGCAGCAGACCTGCCCAAGACCATGGGAACCCACATCTTGCATCAGTGTGACCTGGATGTGAGACCTGGAGTCAAAGGAGATCATTTTGGAGCTTTAAGATTTGACTGCCCTGCTGCATTTCGGAATTGCCTGGAGCCTGGAGCCTCTTCATTTTGGCCAATTTCTCCCATTTGGAATGACTGCATTTGCCCAATACCTGTAGTCCCAATGTATCTAGGGAGTAACTAACTTGCATTTGATTTTACAAGTTTATAGGCAGAAGGGACTTGACTTGTCTCAGATCAGACTTTGGACTGTGGACTTTTAAGTTAATGCTGAAATGAGTTGAGACTTTGGGGGACTGTTGGGACGGCATGATTGGTTGTGAAATGTGAAGATATGAGATTTGGGAGGGGCCAGTGGCAGAATTATGTGATTTGGCTCTGTGTCCTCACCCAAATATCACCCTATAGCTCCCATAATTCCCACATCTTGTGAGAGGGACCTGGTGGGAGATGATTGAATCACGGGGGTGGGTCTTTCCTGTGTTGTTCTCATGTTAGTGAATGGGTCTCACGAGAACTGATGGTTTTAAAGATGGGAGTTTCTCTGCACATGTTCTCTCTTTCCCTGCTGCCATCCACATAAGATGGGACTTGCTCCTCCTTGCCTTCTCCCATGATTTTGAGGCCTCTCCAGCCATGTGGAACTATAAGTCCAATACACCTCTTTTTCTTTGTAATTTACCGAGTCCTGGGTATGTCTTAATCAGCAGTGTGAAACAGACTAATACAACAATTATTACCATATGTATTGAAAAAAGTGAACTATCTAGAAATAAGAAACATTGGAATCTAGAAATTTTTGTGATTTATCTTCCTTTCAGCACCTTAAAGTCACACTCATGGACATTTTCAAACTGTCTCTATCAGTAAGTTTCATAGTACATTTTACTTCTATGACCAAAATACTTTTACAATCATCATAGAAAGTACATAGAATATTCTTTTAGATTTCTTTTCTTACAATTTTGGTCACTTTTTCAACTGTTTTACGTGTATATAATTGTAGAATACAAATATTAAGGAAAAAATAAAAAGAGTGAATGCTTGTGTGGCTTTGTGTTTCAAGAGACCAATTACATTTTAAGAACAATAAACACTATTATACATTCTTGTTTTCTATATACTTCCTTCCTCCTTTCATTTTCAGGTTATTTCTGAACCAGTTATATGAAAATTTGGTTCCTTTTAAGAAGTTCCATAACTGTAACTACACTATTCTACTAAGAATTTCATTTTAACTACTGACATCACTGAATTAACATGAATTTGGTTTTAAGGAAAACATTGATTTTTTTTTAAATTGGGTCTGTTTAATCACCCATAGCTTCCTCAGTTGGGCTAGTGACTATTATTCTTAATATATTTGCATATTTACATATATTTTGAGGAAATGTTGAAAACAATTATGTATGTAATTCATAGGGTCATATGACAGCTTTAAAATGTCATGTCTTAGATATTGCTATTAAAATTCAATTTAAGTCTTCAAGAGAGTTGACTAAATAAAATGAATTAAACCTAATATGGTTTACAGACGGCTTGGCATATAGTAAATGCTCAGTAAGTGGCAGCAATTATAAATAATTTAGAGTGGGAAATAATACTGTAATTCCCCCAGATATGTGAGTTCCTGTAATCAGATGCAGTTTACAATTGTGTTCTTGTATTCTAAAAATGTTTGAGACTATTCAAAATGTAAAATCTCTTAGTAGACTTGATAGATGTTAAAAGTCACTATAGAAAGTTAAAAAGTAAAATAAATCATATTCTTAATAATACTGAGAAAACTTTGTGGTATTATCGATTATTCTTTTTCTCTTTCTTGGCTTTCAACGTACTTCTACTCAGGTAAATGTATCCCATCTATCCATTCATTCATCCAACTTTTATTAAGTGATGACAATATGATAGCACTTGGTCTAAATGATATGAGCAGACCTGCCTGAACTTGCCTTTTTTTGGTCAGGAGTGTCCTTCAAAATAATTCAATTCTCTCTTACTCTTCATCTATGCCTCTGCCTTCATTCCTTCTGTACTGCAAAAACTTCGCTAGTAAAGAATAAATATTGATAACCTTATGTATGCCTTCTTTCAGAATATGATCTATAAACTCTGAATTTGCCCAGAGTGGCTAAACTATAAATTGAGATTATATATTTGATAAGTTAATTAAATGATGTTGAAATCTTTCTGATTAAAAGTCAGTACAGGTGAACGTTTTATTTCAACCCAGTACAAACATTTCTCACTTTCCTTTTCCCTTCCTCCAGCTGTACATGTCCCCTGCAAATGTGCCGTTTCTCTTGTTCATTCTATTCATCTTTTACGCCGTTCATTAAAATGTTACATTTTATACCCCGTATTGTTCACACTCTACAAGGTTTTTATCACTTAGATAAAAGCAATCTACTTGATGCACAGCTGGTTTTCAGTATGATCTAATTGCTTTTGTGATATGACTAAGACACCTAATGCCACACAGAGCACTGCGGAGCTTTTTCACATATGTAAATTAAATTACTTGTAGATGAACTTGTTTTATAACATGTGTCTGAAAAGAGTTTCAGTTCATTTAGTCAGATACCTAACATCAAATCCTACTGAGAATGTGCCTGCAATGACTACATATTTTTCATTTTATATCTCATATTCCTGATTTGAGTTTCTTATCACATATCTCTAATCCATAATATTTTAATGAATACAAATGTTTTAAATGTTCATATCAAATTTCATACCTTTATCTTTGTGGTTTCTATTTTCCATTCCAATGTACTAATCAAAATTTGTAATCAAAGGAGTTTAACTGAGCTATACTTTTATTTGGCTTGCATAGCTATTTTATCATTATTAATGTACGACATATCATGTAAAGTCCGTGAACGTATAATTCTGAAAACTAGCTGTTTGGTTTTAATTTTACATCCCTGCACCATTTTCAAGACATCACATGCTGTCATCTTGCTCTAGATCATATCTATTTTCACTTTCAAATTTAAAATTTTCAAGTTATACATTTTTATTAAATGCCTGCATGGTTTTTTACATAAGTGAAAATTGTTCAGCTTAACCTTATGAGGTATTTTGGGGTTAAAAAGAGGCACATGGAGTAGAAATAAAATAAAATAATGGCTCTACTAAAATTTTCACATAATTTCCTTCATCTTTCATTTTAGAAATTGAGGTTTTAGTGAAAAAATAAGCATGTTTACTACATCCATGACTTTGTATTATATTTGTCTAATGAAATATCAAGCAGAAACACGGGTTGGATGGGAACTAGTGGGAAAGAGACATTTTACAGATAAAACGAAATAAAACTACTGAAAAAGCACTTATTTCTAATATTTAAAATTAAGAACCTGGCATTGTTAGTGGAAAAAAAACCACATTTATAGAAGTGTAAAAACCTTTCTATATAAAACTAGCTTATTTTACCCAAATTTAAATGGACATACATTTCACACAATTATTCCATCCTATCAGTGCAAGCATATGACATATTTGCTTGTAATTTACAAAAAAGGAGGTAACTATTTATAAGAACTGATTATTATAGCATAAAATCACTTAATAGAAGTTTTCAAGTTTTAAAAAGTGTAAAAATGTCTGAACTATGTGTAACAATAGAATAAATTAGATACTAATGAGTATTGGAAGCTTAGACAGATAGTCTAAGCAACTAAAATGGAACCATAATGACAAAAATGGATCAAGAATATTGGTGAGAAAGATGCACAATCAGAAATTAGATAAGAGCAAACTACCATAGGATTCATCAAGTAGAAGTACCAGATGAAAAAGTTAAATAGGGTATAATCACCATGAAAGAACATAAGATAAATATGTTACATTTATGCATTCTGAATGTAAAGCTATTGGGGCAAAGTTTGGAAATATTTAATAAATATGCAAAATGCGGTCATGATTGAAATAATTCAGTCAACCCATATTCCAAAATATTTGCTTTATTTTAAAAATTATTTGCTGGGCACGGTGGCTCATGCCTTTAATCCCAGCACTTTGGGAGGCCAAGGCGGGCAGATCACCTGAGGTTGGGAGTTCAAGACCAGCCTGACCAACATGGAGAAACCCCATCTCTACTAAAAATACAAAATTAGCGAGGTGTGGTGGTGCCTGCCTGTATTCCCAGCTACTTGAGAAGCTGAGGCAGGAGAATCGCTTGAACGTGGGAGGCAGAGCTTGCGGTAAGCCGAGATCACCCCACTGCACTCCAGCCTGGGCAACAAGAGCAAAACTCCACCTCAAATAAATAAATAAAGAAAAATAAATAAAGAAAAATTATGCACAAGAGATACATGGGAACCAAAAATTATAGAGAATATACATGAGAATAACAATGTTTAAAATAATTCATATAGATATTGATATTAAACCATGTTCTAAAAGTAACCCTTTCTGTGTTGAATACAACATGAGATAACTAAAGTAGTTTAAATTTGCGAGAGTGGCATAAATTTCCCAATGTATATCTAGTGATAATCTATGAAAACAGAGAATATGGGTTAAACAAGATAAAGGTAAGTTCTGTGTAATCATAAAGCAATTAAATTATTCATCTATGTAGATACTCTCACCTCTTCTAAAGTCTCCTTTAGGACCATAAATATATACATTGGACAGGTAATATTTCTTTTTAAATTATATTTGTACGTGGTAAATATTTTACAAAATATTTTAATCAGACAGCTGAATGTTTAATTGTCCTCTAGATTAGCCCAGCATTGATGATAAAAAGAATTGATGATGATTATGCTGTGCTATATTTCTCAGTTCAGTATTGATATGGTTTGGCTGTGTCCCCACCCAAATCTCACCTTGAATTGTAATAATCCCCATGTGTCAAGGGTGGGGCCACGTGGAAATAACTGAATCACGGGAGAGTTGGTGTTCTCCGATACTATTCTTCTAGTGAATAAGTCTCATGAGATCTGATGGTTTTATAAATGGGCGTTCCCCTGCACAAGCTCTCTTGCCTGCTATCATGTAAGATGTGCCTTTCTTCTCCTTTGCCTTCAACCATGATTGAGGCCTCTCCAGCCATGTGGAACTGTGAGTCCATTAAACTCTTTTTCTTTATAAATTACACAGTCTTGGGTATGTCTTCATTAGCAGTGTGAGAACTGACTAATACATCTATTCCATTAAAAAATAATAATTTTCATGTTTAATATACATAGATATGAGTGGTTTATTTGTCAGTATAAGCAAGAGAATTTTAAAAGATAAGACCAATGACTGAATTATTATCAGACAATATTGCTTCAATTCTGATATTTAAAGGCAAATAGTATTTTGGTTTATGTATAATACAGTTGTAAGTAAATCCAAAAAGCACTGAATGATGCCCCACTATAAGCACAGAATCTTCTAATATGTAGCAGACTATAAAAGAAACATCTTAGAATTTTAAGGTGTATAAAATCTAGTTGAAGAAGGAACATATGCTATAAAAGAGACCAGAAACTCCATGGCACCATGGCACAGGATCTATAATTGTACTGAATATGATGATAGAGATGTGTGTGTGTGTGTGTGTGTGTGTGTGTGTGTGTGTGTATTGGAAAGGTGTCAAGAAACGCTTCCTAGAATTAGTACTTGAAAGGAGTAGCTTTATCAACTGAAGCAGACGGTGAAAACTGTAAAGTTCTCCTGGAAAATGAGGCAACAAAAGTAAGGCATTGGGCTATGAAGTAGCTTGGGATGTCTAGGCTAAAAGCAATTTTGTGCTGTTGAAAAAGAAGAAAAGAGAGTCGGTCAAAATGAATTTGAGAAGGCCGGAAGGATCCAATTCTTTTCAAGTGTGGCAGCGTATGCCATTTGAGGAGTTTAGAATTTAGGAAATGGGAAGGTTATGATAAAGTTCAAACAGAGGATAACATGCTTGTATTTAATTTTTAGCATCACAATTCTGGAATGAGTATGGAAAAGTGGACTTAGCATTTCATTTCCAGTATCCAGCAGACTAAGAATTATCCAAACAACTCTCTCCATTGAAGAAACTATAGTGCCAAATAAAATATAATGAAAATATAACATTGTTAACAAACAAAAGCAATAATTTTGAAAGAGAAAAATGAGGATATCCTAGAGATAAGCAAATGTTAGTGCCAACTTAAACACTAAGTATACTGTAGTTGCCAAAAAAAATAGAGTCTTGAGTTGTTACCTAGGTAATACCAAAGGACAGATAACAGGATATAAGTGTTTAGCTTTTACTTTTGTGTATGATGGAGTAGTTTGAATCTAACTGATTTTCAATTTAATAACAATTACAGAAGCAGAGGGGGGCACATAACTACTTGATGACACTGGGGAGCAATTAGGAAATGGAGTCAGGAAAGAGAGTGACTGTAATGCTTGAAACAAAAGAAACATACAATAGGCTCCACATTGATCCACATTTGTCCTTGAGGCGACCTTCCAGTTTGTTCCATTCTAGTGGCACAAACAGAGATGAGTGGTCTTATTGGTCTGAGGAGACAACAGGTTGGAATTCACAGGTGCCAGAGGACTTGGAAATTAGAGAACAAAATCCTGAGACAACGGGACCAGAAGCTTGACGTTTGGAGAATACATTAAATATTTGTATTTAACTCATGCCTGAGAATTAGAGGAAAGTTTTCTCTGGAGTCAACAGAGTGATTAAACGTAGTTACAATGGAATCCAGCTGTGTTGTCCAACATCTGCATGTCAGAGGTATTGTTTCCTGTAGACCTTATTTGGACTTTATGGGAGGTTGTCTAGAGGTCATTTAGGAGGTTTTTCTTCCAGAGAAAGTGTCCTCAGCCTACAGAAGAGAATCACTGGAAGTAAGATAGGAAAAGAGCATTCCAGAGGCTATGCATTGCCCTTTAAAACTATAAGAATGTTTCTGACACTAGAGAACCTCCAAAAATCTGAAAATATCTCCATACACAAAAAAGACAGCTTTAAATACCCGTTAAGCCTGGAGAACTCCAATATCCAATCACAAGGCGATAGAGGCACTTTTTGTTCCGAACTTTTCCACTCTCGCTACAATTCCCTCTCACTCTGCTTGGACTCTGCCATGTAAGAAGTCTCACTATCCCGTGGCTTCTACGCTGGAAAGGAAGCTCCTCAGTTAACTGCCCAAATTTTTAGCCAACAGCCAAGATTAATGGCCAGTCATACAAATGAGTCATCTTGGATATGTATCTAGCATAGTGGGCTCTAAAATACTGCAGCCTCAGCTACCATCTGACTACAGCGACTCAGATACCAAAAACATGAACACTGCAGGCAAGGCTTTTCCAAATGTGTGACCTATAAAATCGTGCACAAAACAAATAGTTTTTTAATCACTAATTTTTCGAGGAATTTTGTATATATCAATAGTAATTAGAACAAGAAATCTCTGATCATCCGGATTATTCAGGAAATATTTGCTGCCCATTGATGTTAAAGTTAGTCATAAGATTTGCTTTGGCCAAAGAAAAGACGTGAAATGAGCTTGTACATTGGATTTTGCTCTCTTGCATCTCTGACTTTGTAATGAGAAAATAGTTGTGCCCCTTTAGATTGGACCACAGAATTAACACATTAGTAGCAGTGAGGACCCAATTCCAAGCAGACATACAGCCTGAGAAACAGCTACCTACTAGATGTAAGTCTGCAGACATTAATGATAATTCCTTACTGTTTTATTTCAATGAGATTCTGTGACTGTTAGGCAGGATTTTTGCAACAGTAGTAGCCTGGTAACAGAACTTAATCTGAAAACAATATACATGTATTATTTGGAGTGGAGTTGAAAATCAGATGGGGGGAAACTACGGGTCAGTTAAAGTAATGAAGCAGTGATGACATAAAGCTTGTGATCGAGGAAGGTTCCTATAAGAATTGTAGCTACCTGTAAAAACTTACAATTTCTTCTTTGAAACAAAGGAAAGAAAGCAGTGATTCCAGAAAGTGAGACAGCTATGAAAGAAGGCTGGGTTTCTAGGATAAAGGTTATAGACTGCGCATGATCGCAGGAAACTATTGTCACACATTTTAAACTCACCCACAGAAGATTTTACAATTTATGGCAAGTAAAATATACTGGGGACTATAGCTAGTGACCTCATCTACATTCCTCTAGCCATTACATTTTTCTATTGGAAAGGTACATATTGTTGTAGCTCACAGACATGAAGCGTGATCTCATGTGGACTCTCCAACCTCCATTTTATCTTAATTAAGGCAAGAAACTCTATGCTTTCCCTACTTCTGTAAGGTCAGAATATAGGCTGCATAACCATATTCTGTAACAAGTAATTGAACACATTTGTGTTATAATTGTCCAGCACTAGTTTTAAACCTGACCATTAAACAGTCATAACTGTATTATGTGAGGTCTTTGCTACCATTAACAGATTATAATTTTGTTCTTTGAAAGGGTAGCTTGATTTTAAGAGTAGTTGTCCTGAGAGAACTAATTTTTTTACTTCTTAAACAAGTATTGGGATTTTCCTATGCTAAGAAATAACAGATCCTCTCTTAAATATGAAAGATGACTTGAACGACCCATTTGTAAATGTTAGTGTTCAACCATAAAATACTTTCATTTGCAAGAGCTCAGACAGCTGCCCCCTGACTAATCAAACTTAGTTGTTGTACAACTGAATATGCTAATTTTTTATTTTTTCATGTTGATTTTCATAGTAACACTCCATAAATATCATGTTTTTACTTTAGGGCCTTTTACACTAACAGGGACTACGAGAGGGTTAATTTGGTTTTGTTAAAATAAGTAGACCTTACCTAATAGGACTTACTCCAGTCTAAAATTTTCTATTACCTAATTTCCTTTTAACCTCATTTATGGGCCTAATTATCAGAAAAAATATACACATAAAAAAATTTAGTGCAGCCTAAATTTAGTGCAGCTGCCTTAAATTATATTTGGATCAATATGAAAAAGCCACAAGAGAAAAAAAAAGATGGCCCTATGATGACAATAAAGATGGTTTCAGTGTTTGTTCATATTTATTATTTTGAAAACTTGGGGTCATTTAATTAAGTCACCTTATCTTTTGCCTTAAATTCTTAAAAAGACAGCCATATTAATTCAGCCAAAGAATTACTTTGGAATTTTAAAAGTCTATTGATTTGTTTTCTTCTAAAATCTCTTCAATGAAATCTATCCTTGGAGAATTCTATAAAAAGAACAAAAGATGTCTTTGCAGTCTTGGCTCTTTCAGACACTTGGCAGTTTAATGACTCATTGTACTTATAAATGTCTCTGATTAAGCCCTTTTATTTTTATTCTGTAATTTAATTTATAACACTACATTTCACACAAAATTTTCTCATCCCTGCTACTTGATTTACCACTAAGTGTCCACTTATGCAGCGGACAGTCTCAAAAACATCAGATATGTTTTCTCTACTTGACCTCTGATAATCTTGTATAATACATCTGTTCTTTCAAATGAACAGTGACGTGATTTTTTTGCATATAAGATATATTTAATATGGTGTATGAAATCATTTAAGTAAAAATCAAACTTCAGTTGCAGATACAGTGATATTGATAAATATTACTAAAGAATGAAAGTAAATATTAATTGTATCCCTTAAACACAATTTTATTTGGATCTTGTAGAGTGACGTAACATTGACATGGCTGGTTTGTTTACTGGGGCATTAAAGTTTCCCAAAGCTTAGTTTGTTATAGCAGATCAGAAAATGTTGAAATATGATTTTATATAGTATTCTTTTTACTGAGTGTTCAAATATGACTTTGCACTAAAGCACAAGTTGCAATAGATATGAAATTATGACACAAATTGCCAGACCAAAATATAATTTTCCAAAGAATAGCTATGACACTTGGTTCGAAGACCAGTCTGTTCACCTATAGGTGAACCCCCTCACCTATTCTGAGAAAATAAAATAATCAAAGCAATTTCACAAAGAAGTTTTCTTTGGTGAGGGCTTTTGCTTCACCTTTGAATTGGGTGTATGACTCCTACCTGGAAAATCTAGAGAACAAGGAATGTTTCAGTGGCAGATCCAAGGAATACCATTGCCATGGGATAGTTCTGCACCCTAGGAGTTTTCAGACGTGTTACATAAATGTTTCCCAGGGATGACAGTCTTGCATACTGGGGAGCAGAAGGAAGCTGGAGCTGTGACTCTTGATACCTAGGGGCTGAGGAATGGGTCACAAATCATCAGCCACATCAGGCAATTTCAGGGGAGAGGGACCCAGCAGATATCCCTCCTGAAGGCCCGGAAAGAGTTCTCTTTAACTATCTGCCAGACCCCAGAAGCTAGAAAGAATCTACAAATGAAGATTATTACCCCATTACTTTCCCTCTCCTCCCTCCCTCTATGCTGAATGTGATGGAAGACAGAATTGAAGCTAACTGTGGTGAATCCACCTGAAACAAAATATATTACAAGATTTCCATAATTATCATATTAGTACAAATTCATTTTAATCAATGTCAGGGCTCGGACTTAACTGGAGAACTGGAGCTTCAAATCAAAGGAATAGTAATTTGCTTTTCATAAGATTTTTGATTCAACAGCCATTGACTATTAGCTTTTGAAAAGGAATACTATGTCTTACATGTTTGTTCTTTCCCTGATTATGCCTAACATGAAATAGATTCACCTTTAAATGTTTGGTAACTGATCCACTTGTGGAGGCAAAATGTGGTTTAGAATAATTAAACATTCAAAATGGTAAAAGTTAATATTTCTAGTTATATACATGCTACGAGGGAGGTTATTATTTTCTCCAGTATCAGAAAAGGAAATAAATGCTGAGAAACTTTCATTTCCCCAAAACACATTTCTGGCAGAGCTAGAAGTGAACGTTAGCTTGACTGACTTCAAAGGCTACCCCTTTTCCACCACATTGCATCAGCCATAGTGAGCCAAATTAATTAACTTACAAACCTACATATGCACTAATGTAGCGAATTAGAACAAAATCAAGCTGATCATATAACATCCAGCTAGGTCCCCTTACAATATCTTTGATAAAACACAAAACCAAACACCAGTATCTCTCGGAGCTTACCCATTTGATTGGTTTAAACAAAACTGTGTTTTAATTTGTGTGGTTTGTTACAAAACCAAGAAAATTCTGGAACTAATTTGTCTTAAAATATTTATAACAGATAGAATCCATTCATTCACATCTATATTCACTGATTCATTAAGTATTTGTTAGGTCAGCTATGTGCCCGGCACTGTTCTTTTCTCTAGAATTCAGCTGTGAACAAGATAAAAATTCCTCTTTTCATGTAACTTACATTTTTATGGGAGAGGCAGACAATAATCATAAATAAATGAACAAGCAAATAAGATTTGTAAGTGGAATTCAACTTACTAAATAAAAGCCTTCCATTTAATAGATATTTTCAAAAACAGAATATCATAATTAAATAAGTTCTAAAGCAGTTGTTCATTATATAAGCGTTAAAAAATGTTGATTCATTGGTTTTATATATATTTGATCTTACTGAGAGAAAAGTACTAAAAGATAGTGCCTTCATGTTATTCATGGATACTAACTCAATATTCTTAGCAGCAATATCTTAAAAGACCACAAGATGGTGACATTACTCTATACATACAAATCTTTAACTCAAATGTTAAAAACCTTCAGTTTTTCCAAAGCAAAACCTAAAGTTTTTACTATTCTGAAAACAAACAAAGGATTTCAAAAGCAACTGTTGCAATCATGTTAAATAGTGATTTTCCTATTTATATTTTTTAAAATCTATGAGCTGTTTTAAAACAGCACTATGACTAAGTCAATCAACCAGAGATTTGGCAAGCATTAAGGTTTCACTCTTAAAATTTGCTACCCAAATTATGGTGGCTTGTCTGTTACATTCACACACAAAATTTTTTCTCATTGTGTATTTGCCTCTTTTTTGGACTTCCTTTGGTTGTCCTTGATAACAAATTGTAGAGTGGTTGAGTATATATCAAAATAACAAAATATTTTCACATCAAAAGAGATTATTACATTGATGGTTTCTGTTTATATTAAATAAATTACTTGTTTCAGGACGATATTTATAATTGTCAACAGCTAAGAATTCCAACTAGCAAAACATTCCAAAATAATTAAATATGTCTCCTCATTACATCGGATGTGTTCTTTTGTCTATTGACTTGCCTGCATCAACTCCGCATCCGACTTCACTCCTTACCTTCACCTCTGAATCACAGAAGAATCCCTTTCCAAGATGGTCCTAGGTCAAAATCTGACAATGGGAGGATCTCAGTTGAGATCTGAGAAGAAAAGACGGAAGGCTTTTTTTCTGATGACAGTTGCAAACAAGGGATATGGCTAAGTAGCAAATGGGAGGTTTGCAGCAATATCCAAAACAATTTCTGTAAATCATGCATCTCAGTGCTTACGGGCACCTGGGATCTGCAGGTTTTCCCAAGATTGTTCAAGGTAATAACATTTTGTATGGGGGTTCTGCAAATTTCACATTTGAGGGTTGTAGGCAGCTGAAAACATGGCCTGCAATGTAATTTTTATAGCCTCTAGCAGCAATTTTTCTGACCTTTACTCCCCAGTCCAGTTCAATGGATGCACAAACCTCTAATTTCCTGTGTTACAGCCAATACTTCTTGGAATACATAAAGTGCATCTGCTTTCTGCATTTAACTCAGACTAATATACCACCATAAATTCCAAAGAAGTAAAATGAGAACAGACCATGTGAAACTGTTTCTATGTTTAAATTACCAAACTTAAGTGCATACGATGACATAACAATTTCAGAAGTATAGTTCTAATAATAATCCCAACCAACCCTTCTGTCAAAAACAAGCAAGGGACACAGATCCATAGTGACTGTGAATTCCTGCTGGCAATTTTGCAAGAGAGCTTTTCTTGATGATAAGGAGTGTTCCTTAGACTCTTAGGCTTGTTTCCTGGGAGTTGCCTCCCAGTCCTTATTCTTTTGATTTTATTCTCTGGATATTGTGGGTTTTTTGTTTTGTTTTGTTTTTTTCTCCTCAGCTACATCTGAAGAGCAATGCCTCTTGTGAGCAGACACGTAGGAAACTTAGGCCATTATACATCTTGAAGAGACACTCTTAATTCGGGCTGGTTGTGCTTGGCAGTATAATCCTCTCAAACATTATTGAACTTTTGTCCATTTTATTTGTCTAAGTGTTGGAAATGTGCCAAGAGAAACACCCACAATTATTTTCATGACAAGGCTCTGTCTAAAGTCATCAGGCTTTCTTGGGTGAGCCAAACTCTTAGTCATTTTGCTTTGAGCTATTTTCCTCAACTGACACATTTACTAGGATCACGTTGATCCATTTAGTGTTTTTAATAAAGGGCATTATGAACACACCTTGAATTGAATTTTGTTTGTAGATTGAAATTTAATCAGCCTTTGTTGCTCAGAGTATTTTTAAATGAATCTTTAACTGATTAGGTATGCAGAGTTGTATCTTTCAATATTGCAAGATTATCTCTAATAAATTGCATTTTCCAATTATTCAATGCTAAAGTATGAAAATACAGCAAACTTTTATATTGTCTGGTATCCATAAACTTTGATATACTGTCTTTCAATTATAATTATCACCTTTAGAGTCTACATACAAAGGTATATTGTTTTTATTATTGAATATATTATTTTGTTTAATACTTACAACTCTGTATTTTTTATTTACTTTTTTGTCTTATTTTACTGGCCAGGACACTCAGTACAATGATGAATGAAAATCATGTAGTCTTCATTTATTCAATATGTTACAGACAAAACTATCAATGTGTCAACATTAGATATGAGACTGGCAATAGGTTTTCACATAAACATTTTATAAAGAAAGTTTCTCTCCACTCCTAGTTAAAACAAAAAAAAATTTGATTGCCCAATATAAACCCAACTTTCTCATTTATATATTATGCTTTTAAACATAGTATGATGAGAGTTTTTAAAAATATTTTGTGTAAAATATTTGCATTTCTGTTTTAAAGAAAAGGAGCCTATGATGTTTACTTCTTGAAAAGTCATTGTCAGGATATTGTACCAAGGTTTTGCTGCTCTCATTAATGAGTTTAAAAGCTGTCCCTCTTTTTCTACTCTATGAAAGTCTTTAAGTTTGATACATTTTTTTCCTTAAATATTCAGTGCAATTCACTGGAAATGTCTTGAAATTTTTGAATTTGAAGATCTCACATTATGGTTTCATTCTGTAACAGTTTTTAAATCAAGATTTTCCCAACTCTTTTTATTTCTGTTTTGGTTAAGTTCTATATTTAAATAAATGTGCATATTTTATCTAAATTTCCGAATTTATTAACCTATACTTGTTCATACAATTCTCTTTATAAATGAATAATATTTGGTGATGTCTCCTTTTATGCTCTTGATGTTAATTTAAAAATGTTTTCTTTTCTCTCTTTTTCCAGATCTAGTGATCTGGAGGCTTATTAAGTTTTAGTGCCTTTTTTTGAACCAAACTTTGCCTTATTTAATGTTTACTAGTTTGTGTTGTCTATTTCATTAATTTAATTCATTAATAATTTTCTCAATTTATTCACTTACTTCCACTAATTTATTCTCTTACCTTTATTATTTTTCTTCTTTTGTTTTCTTTGATTATATTTTGCTGTTAATTTAGATTACTGATCTTCAGGTTTTCCTCTTTTCAAATATTTCTATTTTAGCTATATATTTCTAAAAGAAAGGAGTCAGAGAAAAAAGAGCTGTCAAAAATTAAGAGTGATGAACTACGTAATAATGCTAAAGAGGTCAAGTAAAATAGTAAGAACTATTCAATGCACTTGATATTAAAAATTAAATTGCTGTGTATTCAGAAATATTTTAATGAGATAACTGATAATTCTATTATTGCTTCATCCATGATTAAATTCATGCCTTTTCTAGCAATCAAGCCTTGGCCCTAGATGGAAAATTCCATAAGGTTATCAGTGGCCTCATTCAAAGCAAACCCTTGTCTCGTTAATGTTTGTTATCACCATATTTCTACTTTGTTTGCACCAAATTGTTTCTTCATAGAATTTTGTGGTATAGAAAAGTAAATCAATATAATTTTCTGAGCATGTTGGGAATATTCTCAATAAAGCAACTCTAAATATATTCAGACTTTTTAAGTAAAAAATTTTATTTCTATGAATTAAAAATTCAGAATTATCTGTAATAGTTTATGCATGGGAATATTTATTCACTATGTTAAATCAAATTTCTAAACATATTAGAGCTTAAAAGGCAATAATGTCATATTAACAATTAAAATCTAGATGAATATTCAGGTGATATGTAAAAATTGTATAATGACCTATTGCTATGATCTGAATGTGTCCGCTAAAATTCATATGTTGAAATTTGATTGCCAATGTAATGGCAAATAAGTGAGGCCTTTAGGAGGTAGTTAAATCATGAGGAAAGTGTAATCATAGACGGAATTAAGGATCTTATTTAAAAATGTGAGGAAGTGGGTTTGCTCTCTTTTGCTCTTCTGCCATGCAGTGACAGAATGTTCATCCACTTTTGCCCTTTCCAGCCCTTTCAAACTGTATTTCTTACAGTTTCATATTAAGGGGGAAAAATCTTCATTTTCTTATGTCTTGCACATGTTCACAAGACATGTATAAACATATTTATCCCTTCCTTGTTGATAATAAAAGTGAGAAAGCAAGAAAAAAACACCAAAATTCTCACAAATAGAACAAAAAAATGCTAAAACTTACTAAAATATTTTACAGCTGCAAAAGAATTTTATGCAAACATTTAACAAGTATTTATTGATGTGCTATTGTGTGCTAGGTATTCTAAGTGCTGAGGACAATTAACAAAACATACACAATTTCTGGATTCTTATAATCTGTTATAGTAAGGGAATATACACTATATGAATAAAATAATTGATCTGTTTATTTTTAAATGATACACAATGTAGAGAAACAAAAAAGAATGAAAAGAAGTACAGACTATTCTTACAATCTATGTTATAGTAAGGGAATATAGACTATATGAAAAAAAGAATAATCTATCTTTTTTTTCTTAATGACACACAATGTAGAGAAACAGTAAAGAATGAAAGAGGTACAGAGTCGTGGGGCAGAGGTAGTGGAGGTGGCTAAATTAGAGTCCCGTATTAAACCTTCACTTCAATATTGGATCACAGAAACAAATTACATAAAGTTAAATAGTCTAATAATATTTATATAAAATTTTTAGCTTGCAATATTACACATATTTACAGAACATCTATGCAAAGGAAACAGAAATATATTGTAAAAATTTGAAAGCATTTATCAGGTTAGTAAGCACTGGATTCATGAGAGTGATTACATCTCAGAATAGCAAACTATAGGACTGGGTTTAGTCAAGGAAGGCTTCAATTCTGGGGTGTTTAACCTCTCCTCAAACAATATTTAAAGAAATGACATAATTATTAGACACTGCTGAGTGAAAGATATTAATATATGAGTGCTTATTACATTGTCCTCTTTTGTTTCAATATTTTGGTTTTATTTTGTTATAAAATCTTTATTACCGCCATGATCTAACTAACTGAACTAACCAATCAAGCTTATTTTGTAATATAAACTTCAAAAGAACTAAATTTATGTATTCAGGTTTCTGGATAGGAGTGTGATTAGAAGTTTCTACTTGTTATTATACATTTTAAAGTTTATACAAAAATGTGATTCATTATTTCATTTGCAATCTCAAATTGATTGAACTAATGAGCTTCGAGGGGAGGTAGAGGGAGAACAGACAGTCCCATATGAACAAATCAGAACATTATAACCATAGTAGCACTAAACACTTGTATAATGCATACCATGTATGGTGTACTCTTTTCATTTTACTTTTGTAAACCAGTTTAAGTGCCACTATAGCCTGTGAGGTAAATGCTACTCATGTCCCAATTTTACAGGTGAGGTCATCTAGGTAGTAAATGGCAGAGCTATATATGTAAAGCACTTACTAAAATCCTTGGGAAACATTAATTGCTAAAGAAATGGTCATATTTATTATTGATATTGTCATTGCTGCTGGTACCCAGGTCATGTTTTCTTATCACGGATCTTTTGGTGTTGAGGCCCATTAAGGAAAACAAAGAATAGTCAGGCTTGACAGAATTGTAAAGGAAATATCTTTTTTCTTCACCATAAATTCCTGATAGCTCATAAAATATGTAATTTCATTTGTTTTGATACGTGAAAAGAAAAAAACGTGATCTTCTCTTGATTCTCACTAGTACCTTTCCATATGTCTCAGCTCCTGAACTACTACAGCCCAGCTCTTTTCCAATCCATTTTCCACATTGCCATCAAGTAGCTTTCTATCCCGTAAATTTCATTAAGAGTCCTCTTTTTAAAGCCTTGCAATTGCCTACTGGATAAATGTCAAGCACTTTTTCACAGCACACAAAGGTCTCCATGAATTTATCTCAGACTTTCTCTTCAACTTTATTGTTCATGGATACCCTTTGAAAACTTCTACATCTGACTTATCAAAGTCAGAAGTACATTGCTCAAATTTGTAATGCTATTTCATAACTTCCTGCCTTGGCAAATTTTGTTCTCTCTGCCTGGAAGTTATAAACGCGTCTTTCTAAACTTAGTTCAAGAGTCTCCCCTGGAAAATCTCAAAAATAGTTAATTAACTTTCTCCATTGTCACATGCTATATTTTGCATAGAAAAATATTTAGCACTTACAATACTTTTTACTCAAAATTATCGCCTATCTAAAACAATAATTCATAGTCTCCATGTTATGAGAAACTATCACTATCTTTAGGAAAGAGAAAATTTATTCCCACAGGTTTAAAAAATGAAATATTTACTTTTCAAGTAAAAGAATGTCAACTTCTGCCTATATTAGGAGAAACAAAAGAGAACGTTGCAAATAAAAAAAAAATTATTGCTTCATTGGCTCAACACCAGCTATGCACTGGTGATACAAAGATAAATAAGGAAGTCCCTTCCAATATTACACAATACGTAGAATGGCATTGAATTGTAATTGCATGTAACTCATGAAAACGCATGCTGTTTTTTAGGACCTAACATCCATGTAAATTATGACTCCACTATATCTTCAAACAACAATGAAACATTAGGCAGCATGCACTTTCAGTCAAGTTAACTGTATATTATACTCCAAGACACTACCATACATGTAACAGTAATGGATAAATTATAAAAAGTTAAAAATTATAAAGATATCAGGTAGTCAAAAAACAAAAGAAGTGCAAGACAAGGGTGGGAACTGAGCTCATTATTTCAAGCCATGCAATTCCTTAAATTATTTCTTATGAAATGAAGCCAGATAAAATTGCCATGTTCTGCTGCTACTGAAAATTATATGAAGATGCAAAGTTTTCTAGTATCACTGTTGGACAGGAAATCAGAATTGCTAATCTAAGATTTCATTCTGCACTAGAATTCCTAAACAATTGAGTGCAGTCAACCAAAAAGCTAAAAGATATGCACAGTTTACAGAAAGTGAAAAGTCCTACTCCACTGAGCCTGAAATTAAAAATTCCAAAATAAATAATCAAATCTAACAATGAGAATAATGATCCAAAACACTAACACTTGAAAGCTGCTTTCACACCAGATAAAATGAAAACAACCAAAGTGTTTTAAAAGATAAAAACAGGAGCAAGTATGTTCAGTCTGTAGAAAGCTAAATAAAAGAATCATTAAAGAATCAACTCCAAAAGTGAAAAAGGGCAATTAAAAATGATATAAAAAGTGAATAGAGAGAATATCTAAAAAATCAACACATTATCTCTAGAAGAAAAACATTCAATAGAAGAGATGTGAACAAAATCAAATAATTAATAGAAGACAATGAGGAATTTTCTTGGTGTGCAGTAATGAGAGACAAGTAAATTTTTAAAATATAAAGGAGCAGCTAAGAGACATAAAGAATAAATTGAGAGTCTTCAACTCTAACAGGAATCCAAGAAGCGTGGCCGAATGGTAGGAAATCATTTAAAGAAACAAAAGCTCAGTGAAATACTTGAGTCTTGACAGAAAACTTACATTCATCAGAAATTAAAGATAATCAATTATAAATGTAGATAGAGAAGAAAGTCAGATCGCTGAAAAGAAATTAGAGACAATTAGACTTTCAATATACTTATCAGCAATAAAAAATACTGGAAGACAAAAGTATGATGTTCTTAATGTGCCAAAGAAAAATAACTTTCCACTGAAATTTCTATTTTTGGCCACACTAACATTCAAGAAGACTGATAAAGATATTTTCAGGTATTAAAAAATGAGAAAATTCATAGTCCCCAAATTCACACTGAAAGGCTTATTAAAATATATGCTTGGCCGGGCACGGTGCTTCATGCCTTTAATCCCTGCACTTTGGGAGGCCAAGGCGGGCAGATCACGAGGTCGGGAAATCGAGACCATCCTGGCTAACACAGTGAAGCCTCATCTCTACTAAAAATACAGAAAATCAGCAAGGCATGATGGCACGCACTTGTAGTCCCACCTACTCAGGAAGCTGATGCAGGAGAATCGCTTGAACCCAGGAGGCGGAGGTTGCAGTGAGCCGAGATCATGCCACTGCACTCTAGCCTGGGTGACAGAGCAAGACTCCGTCTCAAAAAAAAAAAAAAAAAAAAAAAATATATATATATATATATATGTATATATATATATACTTATACAAGAAGAAAACAGCCAAGATAGATAGGAGTAGTCATATGAATATTATGATGTAAAATGGCAAATTGAATTAGTTATTGATTTATGAATCATAGCATAGCTAATTGGAAACTAAAAAATATAAATGATAAAACTAAGATTGTAATTAGTACTACTGGGAGGGGAATGGTTCAGAGTTAAAGGGCTGACGTTTCTTGTCTTTTAAAGATGGGAGAGAATAATGTTGCAAGATTTTAAGTTGTGTTAAAGAACTTAGTTATATATGTATGTTCCACACTTAAAGCTAAGTATTGTAATAGACAAATACTCTATCACTTCTAAAACAACAGAAGCATGAGAAAGAGAGTAAGAATACATATTCTGTCCAAACAAATTTATAAAACAAAAGAAAGTGAGGAATTTAAAAAATAGAACTGGGAAATAAAAAACACAACATAAGTATGTGTGTGTTTGTGTGCATACACACACAACAAATATAAACAAGTGGTATTTATCAATTTATTTAAGAAAATTAAAATAAAACTTCAGACCTAATCTGAATCAAGACAAATGATAAATCTACCTAATCAAGACATATGGTAAATCTACATCTCACTGAAAAAACTGAAAAATAAAAATATTCAGCAAAAAATCCAGAAAAATAATTTTTAAAAGAGTCTATGTAATAACATATAACATAGATCAATTTAGAAAACTGACATATTAACTTTAAAATGAGGGCAAATTTAAATTTAATATAAAAATCAGAGAAGTGAATAGACACAGCACATAACAATAAAAAGCATAATTCAAACATTGTAGTGGGCTCACTGGTGCTCACAGGTAGCTGGTGATCCTGTCTTTCTGGACATTGAAGTTTGTACTTCTCCCCTCTGCAGTGAGTCACTCCTCTGTGATTAATTCTAATCAATGAAATGTGAGCATGAGAGATGTGTGATCCTTCTGAGCAGAGGCAGTCGAAAGCCCATGCATGGTTCTTTAGTCTGGCTCTTTGCCTGCTCTCATAGCTTAAAAAAAAATGAGTCTGGTGTGGTGGCTCATGACTGTAATGCCAGCAATTTAGGAGCCGAAGGCAGGAGGATTACTTGAACCCAGGGGTTCCAGACCAGCCTAGGTAACAGTGAGACTCTGTCTCAACAAAAAATACAAAAATGAGCCAGGTATGGTGGCATGCACCTGTTGTCCCAGCTACTCAGGAGGCTGAGTTGGGAGGACTGCTTTAGCCTGGGAGTTACAGGCTGCAGTGAGCAGTAATCACACCACTGCACTCCAGCCCAGGTGAAAGAGCAAGATCCTGTCTCAAAAAAAAAAGATAATGTTTACCCAAAATCTTCAAAAGTGAAGACAATAGAAGCATTGCATTGCAATAGACGTGGAATGCAGCTAAATAATTTTTGGTGAAAATTGTAAAATTGCAAATGTGTTTATTAATAAAACAAGACACCCTGAAAAATTATTAAGTAGTCAACACAAGAAGCTTGGAAAAAGAACAAGAGTAAATCTAAACTTAAAAATGAAAGAAAAATATTTAAAGCAAATAGTATAAATTAATTTAAAAGAACAACAAGAAAATTAAAAAAAAATTAAAACCTGATTTTAAACCTTTGGTAAAATAAAGAAAAAAAGAGTTATGATACAAATAAGTTACATTACAAACAGAAAAGAAAAAATGTACACATAGTACATATAGAAAGGGGAAAAATTAAGAAAATTTCAAGTAGCAGGGAATTTTAAGTGCTCTCTCCTTTCTTGCTGGACTTGCTCTAGCACTAAACGGCAGAAATAAATAGAAGAGTGATAAAGGGATATTTTATTAGTTCCTTGTGTGAAATGTGTCTAGGAGTATGCAGTATGACTATTGCAATCAGTGTAGCCCTGATTGTTCAGTGTGGATAAGTTCATTCTCATATATGAGTGCATAAAACTGTGATGTTTATATACTTATGCGTAAACATTTCTCTCTTGATTATTTGTCTATATATTTGAGAGAATTTTTTATTTTACTTTTTTTATTTTTCTGTATTTTTTTGAGGATGCATTTTAATTTTATAACACATAAAATAAAATCAAATGGTACATACAAAGAATTTTTATTGAAAATATTTGTATAGGGCCCAGCACGGTGGCTTATGCCTGTAATCCCAGCACTTTGGAAGGCCAAGGCAGATACATCACAAGGTCAAGAGATCGAGACCATCCTGGCCAACATGGTGAAACCCCATCTCTACTAAAAATACAAAAATTAGCCCAGTGTGGTGGCACGTACCTGTAGTCCCAGCTACTCAGGAGGCTGAGGCAGGAGAATTGCTTGAGCCCGGGAGGCAGAGCTTGCAGTGAGCCAACATTGTACCACTGCACTCCAGCCTGGCGACAGAGTGAGACTCCGTCTCAAAACAAACAAACAAAAAAATTGAATACTGCCTCCTACATATCTCATAATATTTAAAGCATGGCCAGATACAAAATACATGGTTTACATAAGTGAAAGTTGATTTCGTTCTAAGATGTATCACAGTTACATTGAATTAAAGATTGAGGGGACACGTGGAGAATCCCTTCTGTCAAAAATTGTATTATGTTAATGTTAGTATGCTAAGAGATGAGTAGTAAAAGTAGAGTCTAAGCTTTAAAACATTCATTTTCAAAGCTAAATTGGCGCTAAATTCAAAACAGTTTAATATATCATATCTTTCTGCTAACATATGAAAAAACACGCTACTCTGTGGGCAAGCTAGCACTATATAAAGCTTTTCCTCTGTAGTGTTCTACAAGCACTCTAGTAAACAATAAGCTTAAGAAAGTTCCAGCTTCATGGTAGATGAGTACTATGCAAGCCCCATAATATGCTATAAACTGAATTCTCATCAGAATTTAAGTAGTTTAACAGCTAGGCTAGATATTTAAGGCACAACATGATGCAATGACAAGTTTCTAGCTTTAGTTATTTATCTGTAACAAGACTGATAACGAGATGATTCAGCCAAGCAAAAGACAATGTAGAAAAAAATGGAACAAAAGAAGGTCAGGATTTCAAAATATCAGATATATATACTTATGAATGAACCAATATACTCACATTCAAGTACATAATGTAGAGGAAAAAAAGGTAGCTATCTAAACATGGGGAGAGTAAACCATGATGACAAAGATGCATAATATCTTTTAATCAATATATAAAATGTTACAGTTGTAAATGTCTTAGTTATTTTCAACTAAATTTAACAAACATTTATTAATAAGGCATTATCTGCCAGGCATTGTGAAAGGTACTGGAGACACAGATATGGAATTAGACTGAGGGGAGCAGAAAGCTCCTAGTCAAGTAAGGAACATAGGTAAGTGAACAAATAAAATCTGAGGGCATGATAATATCGCAGCTGAAATATGTGCACAGAATTATGCAGAATAAAAACAGATTTACTTTACCTAGGACTCAGGAAGACTTCCTAAATAGATAGTATCTGATCTGTGTTCTGAAGACAGAGGGAAAAGTTTTTGCAAAGACACAGGCAGGTTACAAAGCATGGCGGGGTTAGTGACCTCAGGCAGAGAGGCATTCCACCTGGTAGGTCACAATTGTTCAAGACTCTGTATTAATGTTTTGACCATAACCTTGGGTAAGTTATCACCTTATCTGAGCTTTGATCATCTTACCTGTTAAGAGAGGATTGCCATGCTTTTAGGATAGTTTTAAGGTTTAGAAATCATGCATGTAAAAGCACATCATAAAACAATAATAAATTAATAACCATAATTAAGTGATTAATATTTTAAAAACTAAAATTAACACTTTTTAAATTTAATCATATATAATTCCAGTTACAACCCTGTGATTCATATTATTATCCCCATTACAGAGGTGTAAACTGAGTGTGACTGTAGTGTGATTTGCATATAAAACTCTTGAAATTTCTTTGCTCTTAAAAGAAAATCCCAACCCATAATCCAGCCTGCAAAGCCCTCCATGAACTGCTCTGCCTATCTTCCCAGCCCCTCTCATTTTTGACACTTCAGCCTTACCTGTGAGTGGCCTTTACACATGAGCTTCTCAGTGTACCAAAGCTCTTTCATGTCAGATCATCTCACCTACTGTTTCCTCTGCTTGGAATGGTTGCCTCCTCCTCTTCGCTTAGCTAGTCACTTTTACTCTTAATTCCAACTTCATACACACTTTCCTTCTCCTTGCAGACCACAACAGATTTATCTATTAAAATAATCTGGGATAAGGTTGGGCGTGGTGGTTCACGCCTGTAATCCCAGCACTTTGGGAGGCCGAGGCAGGTGGATCACCTGAGGTTGCGAGTTTGAGACCAGCCTGACCAATATGGAGAAATCCCGTCTCTACTACAAATACAAAAATTAGCTGAGTATGGTGGCACATGCCTGTAATCCCAGCTACTTCGGAGGCTAAGGCAGGAGAATCACTTGAATCTAGGAGATGGAGGTTGCAGTGAGCCAAGGTCAGGCCACTGCACTCCAGCCTGGACAACAAGATCAAGACTCCATCTCAAAAAAAAAAAAAAAAAAAGAAAACAGTTTGGGTAATTAATTGTCAAACATTAGCACGATCAGAATCACCTCTGCCATAATTCGATTGGGGTGGAAAATTTTAATCCTATTTTTCACTGTATCTGCAGCATCTAGCACTGTCCTTTGTTCATAGTAGAAGCTCAACAAATATTTGTTAAATAAATGAATAAATGTTTGGAAAGAACACAGCCAGGTCTAACTCCAAAAGCTGCACTCTTAAACCACAAATAATTGATTGCCCGATGCTAGTACTTGGAAGTTATTATTACTGCAATGTTTAAAATTTGCTTATTGGAAATTTAAAATACTTTCTAGAATATCTGATAGATGAAGTTTTTATTGGCAAAAGCGGACAAGAGAAGGAAAAAATGGAGAGAAATAAAGAGAGATCAAGCAATAGAAAAGGTACCTTCATTTAAATCTGATGACAGCAGAAATGATCATTTAAAACAGTGCTACCTAGCAGCAGTTGAGGCTTTCAGAAACAGAGATGAGGAAAAATATGGTTCAGCAATAAATAAGCAAAAGTTAGAAACATTGGCATGTAGAAGCAGGGCAAGAGGCCTCTAAGATAATCAGGGTTCCACAATAAAGACAAATCAATAACAAGAGATACCTGTAATATTTAGTATGTGGAGTGGGAGAAAAAGAAGAGGTGGCAGAAATAAGCAACTCAGAGTTTCTTGAGGGAGAGGATATATTATTAGAAAATGAAACTACATCAGGATCTTTTTCAATAAATTAAGTTACAGAGCCTTCTCCGTGCCCATTTATCTCTCTGTACCTAAAGCTATAAATATACAAAAAGTTTGATATTATATCTTAGCCATTCAGAAAATGAACATGGATGTGTGTGTGTGTAAATGTGTGTGTGTGTATACCTGAATTTTTGAAGCACATGTTAAATTATACTATTATATGTTGAATAGGTCAAGAAGCCTGAGGCACGTATTACATATTTTAGAAAAATTTATATTTAAAATTCAAATAAAAACACGCTCAGAAATTTCAATTGGTATTCAAAAGCTCTTGTCATGTATGTGTAAAACGCAGCTCAGCCTACTGTTGAGAGAGGTGATTGTTAATGTTAAGTATCAACTTGAGTGAGACATGGTCTGCCAAGATAATTGGTTAAATGTTCTTGTTGCTGTGTTTGTAAAGGTGTTTCTGGATGAGATTAACATTTGAATAAGTAGACTGAGTAAAGTCAATTACCCTCCCCAGTGTGGGTGGACCTCATTCAATCCATTGGAAGCCTAAATGGAACAAAAGCCATGGTACAGGGGAATTCTCTCTCTGCCTGATTGGTTTTGAAGTGGGGCATGTCTTCTACACTTGGACTGGAATTATACCATCAACTCTCGTGGGTCTCTAGCTTGCAGACAGCAGATTGTGGGACTTCTCTGCCTTCATGACTGTGTGAGCCAAATCCTAAAATAAATAAAATAAATCTCTTTGTCTAGCTAGCTAGCTAATCCTATTAGCTCTGTTTCTCTGGAGAACCCTGGCAAATAGAGGAGACTCATACTTAATAGCTGTGGCTTTCCTGAATTCCAGGTGATCTAGAGAGGGCAAAACCACTCTGTCCTAAGGATATCTAGGGATGCTTGAACTTCCAATGCTTACCAACAACTTGGGCCAAGTGAATAAACTTATACTCAAGGTAATGCAAGATACATTCATCCCATTTTTGAAGTCCTCTCCAATTCGGTCTCCAGATCCTTGTTTCCATTACAGCCAGCATCCTCTAATAAGTTGTGCTATTTTATCAGAAATGGTAGACAAGCATTGTTTTGATTTTCCCCTCATTATCTATAGAGGCCTTGTCCAGTGATCTTTCAAATGTTACAAAATTTTTAATGTAATAATCTGTAGATGAAGCATTTGCAAATGTTTGCGTTATTAGAGTACTCTCCTGCAAGACAAGGGAAGAGAAAGATAGGTCAACCTGGCTAACCATAGACATCTACCTGTCATTCTGGTGAGAAAATTCACCTTACATTCAAATCCAAACTCAAATCCAAATCCAAAGGTCTTTTGTGTAATCCTGGATTTGATATACTGATATTTCGTTATAGATTTCTGTCCCTATGTTTTTGAGGAATATTGGTCTTCAGTATTCTTTTCTCATAATGAAACTACCTTTGCAAAAAATATAACTGAGGAAATTATAACAGTGAAAGAGATCAGACCTAACCGACTCCATCTTTCTTCTAACCTTTAAGCTGTCCTTGTTCTTTCCTAGCCATAGGCCAAATTAACCTAGGGAAGGAATTTAGTTTATAGTTTGACTCTGAAATAAAATTGATAATAGCGCTTTCCCGAAAAGACCCCCTTCTTGCCTTGGGACCAGTCTGCCTTCTTAAAACTAACAAATTAGCTACAAGATTAGAAATTATGGTTTAGGAATCATGCAGCCTCTGGCTGCAAGAGTCTGAACCTCCCCAAATTGCTCCTGGGGATAACATCACTATTGTAAAACCTAAGATCAGTGCTTGAGATATTTTGCAGACCCTGCACTCAGTTGATCAGCTGACATCACTCAGACCAGTAATCCGACTCAACCGTTCTATGATCCCACCCAGAAAGGGAAGACAGCAAGAAAACCTCACTTCAACCCCACTATGATTCTGTCTCCAATCTGACCAATCAGAACTCCCCACTTCCCAAACCCCTGCTCACCAAATTATCTTTAAAAATTCCAATCCCCAAATGTTCGGGGAGACTGATTTGTGTGGTAATAAAACTCTGGTCTCCTGCACAGCTGGCTCTATGTGAATTATTCTTTCTCTATTGCAATTCCCTGTCTCGATAATTGGCTCTGTCTAGGCAGTGGGCAAGGTGAACCCATTGGGTGGTTACAACAATGTTTTTATCTAGTTTTGGTAATTAGGTAAACCTGGCCTTATACAATGAGTTAGAAAGATTCTAATTATCTTCAGTTTATTTAACTCTTTTAAAGAATTCATCAGTGAGACTATCCATGAACGGAGTTTCCTTTGTTCAGTTTTAAACTCAAATTCAGTTTCTTTAATCAGTGTAACACTATTCATTGTATGTTTCTTCTTAAGTGAATTTTAATAGTTTGTGTCTTTTCAAGGAATTGATTTAGTTTAAGCTTTTGAAATTATTGGTATAAAGTTGTTTATAATATTTTCTTATCAATTTGAATGACTGTAATGATTCTTTGTCTTCATTCCTAATAAAATCTCTATTTATATGGCTATTTCTGTCAATCTGGCTACAGATTTACCAATTTTATTAATCTTTTTAAAGATGTGGTCAGGCACAGTGGTTCACGCCTGATATCCCAGCACTTTGGGAGGTTGAGGCAGGTGGATCACCTGAGGTCAGGAGTTCGAGACCAGCCTGGCCAACATGGTGAAACCCCGTCTCCACTAAAAATACAAAAATTAGCTGGGTGTGGTGGCACACACCTGTAATCCCAGCTACTCAAGAGGCTAAGGCAGGAGTATCACTTGAACCTAGGAGATGGAGGTTGCAGTGAGCCAAGATCATGCCACTGCACTCCAGCCTAGGTGACACAGCGAGACTCCATCTCAAAAAAAAAAAAAAAAGATTTTCTTGCTTCTGCTTATTTCAACTTTCATTTGCTTTTCTTATTCCAATATCTTAAGATAAAAGTTAGATCATCAATTTGAGTCCTTTCTTCTTTTCTACTAGAAGTATTTTTTGCTATAAATTTTCCCCAAATCACTGCTTTAACAGAATAGTATACATTTGTATATTGTATTTTCACTTGTTTCAGTTAAAAAATGTGTAATTTCCCTTGTGATATTCTAACAAAGGAGAAAGTTTGTTGACTATTTCCTAAATATAGACAGTTTTCAAGATTTTTTTGTTACTGATTTCCAGTTTAATTTTATCATTGTTCAGGCTCATACTTTGTATAATTTTCATTATTTTAAAATTACTAAGGATTTTTGTAGCTCATTAAATGGTTTAGTTGGAAGTTGAATGTGTATCTGAAAGGAAAGTATATTCTGCTCTTGTTGGGTGGAGCGTCATTTAAATATCAGCTATGCCACCAGTCAGTCCCATGAACCAGACCTGTTCTCACTTCAAAGCTACAAGAGAATAAAGGGAAACAAAAGAAAATTCACTTCTATTTGGGTTACTGCTGAAGATGTTAATACTTCTCCATTTTCGGTCAACTTTTATTTCCCTTCAGAGTTCTTAGGCAGTTATTTTTCTTTTGCTGGTATCGCAACATTCTTTTAAACTGGGAAAAAAAATTGAATGAAAGAAAACTAATAGCAGTTTAACAATATTTTGTGAATACTAGTTACAAATCAAGCCCTAATGCAGATTACCTCATTTACTCCACAGAAAAAATGTGCAGTTATTCATTTTTATTTATCCCCATTTTACAGATAATGTGGCTTTTAAACAATTAAATAACTTGACCAAACTCCTTCAGTTAACAATAAAAAGAATTCAGGATTGAGCATAGGTTGCTGTCCAGCAGTGTGTCTATATTCTTATTGTTAAAGCAAACTGAAATCTGGCCTGAGAAATCCTCTGTATTTCCATGCATGAGTCCCTATAGACAAGCCATAACACATCTTAGTAGATAGGCAGACTGAAACCCTAATGAAGGAGTATGCTTCGGTAACAGCAACTTAGTATCAGCCAACCCTAGCAGACATACTTCAACCATTCATAGGTAGCCGACTGTTTAAACCATTTTCAAATAAGGCAAATGCCAAACTGTAACCAATCCAGCAGTTTCTTTACCTCACGTCTGTTTTCTATACATTATTATCCTTTTTCTGTCCATAAATTTGCTTCAACTATGCAACATCCATGGAGTCTCTCTCAATCTGCTGTGATTCTGAGGACTGCCCAATTCACAAATTATTTCCTTTTTCTTGTTCAATTAAACTTTGTTGCATTTGATTTCTCTAAACTTTTTCTTCGAACAGATCTGGTGTCACAAGTGGGATCTGAGGCAAAATTCCAGCAACCTCTAGGAATACTAGGTGACCAGAAGAGGTGCCCACAGCACTAGTTGTGCTCACTGCTCCCTCGATTGTAACTGGAGGTCATAGATGAGATTTCTCTAGGATTCTGAACTTCGTTAATTTGTGATCTGAGCGCTGAATTTATCTGAGCAATATTTAGACTGAACTGGGTACAGAATCAAATTACACTTGATAATTAACTGGATGGGATTTAGTTTGAAGCCTTAGGTAGATGCTCTTATTTTTGATAGTGAATTTGTCTCAATCCAATGAGTCTGGGACCCCAACTTCTGGGACTCCAGCTAATTTTATATATACAAATTATGGGCCCAGAATGTGTGCATCATTAGGAAAATGGGTTAATCTTATTAGAGAAAACTTAGAATCAAGATAGCCACAATGGAGAACTTTTAATTTGGATAAAATTATTTATTTTGAGGCATATTAAGGAAAGGAGATCAAAAACCCCCACAAAAACTTTGCAATGTGTTCTTTCATTGGTATGCAGAGGCTTCTAAGAGACTAAATGAATCAAAATGTTCTCCTTCAAAAATTCTTTGCAAAAAGCAAATGAACTAACCCCAACTGTTCCTTCTCTTTATCCATCTCTGCCTGCATACTCTGACACCACTAACCTTTTTGCTAAATTACCTTTTCACTCGGAAGATGATGAAAAAAGACAAATTAGAGACCTAACAAAGTAAGGCCTTCTGATCAGCCAGGCCTGTCTGCTGCAACCACTCTCACTCCATGGTCTAAAACTGAGCTTAGAGCCATTGGAAAGTACTTCCCTGATCCAAGAGGAACTTCTCAAAAATTTACTGAGAAATTTAGGATCCTCATAGAAGGTTATAATCCAGGACTCCCTGACCTTTATCAATTTAGTCACTTGATATTGAAGCCTGATAAAGCTTGCAAATGGATTATAGCAGCAAAATGGGACAAACCTGAGGACGATGTTAAAGACCCATCCAAAACCTTTTTATGAGAAGGAACAAAAAGCGTTAGAAAAAATGCTGAAAACTTCTTAAATTCAATTTCTAAATTTTCCACAAAAAGTTGATCAGTACATCATGAAAACAAAAACAGGATGAGGGACCAGTTTCAGATTACAAATTCTGTAGAAACACTGTTAGAAACACTTGTTTGTGAAACATTCTGGGCTCAAAGTTCAGCAAGGAGTATTTCCTGCAGGAACGGAAATGGTATTAACTGGTCTATTTATAAGTAGATTCCATTTTGAACTTAATAATTTAATTAAAAACCATAAACTGGGATGGGAAGTTATAGATATGACTAAATTAGTGACCTTAACTGAACATTTTGAGAGGACTCTAGAGCCAGGAAAAAAAAACCCAAAAGGTTAACAAACTTAAATCTCTTTAATTACAACAGTTACAGGGGCCGGGACCAAACAGACCTTCCCATTCTCCTTTTAAATCACAACCAAGAGGTCCTAGAACAAGAAATTCTTTACTCTAAGATGTCTGCTTTATTTGCAAACAGCTAGGACAGCGGAAAAGAGATTGTCCCCCTTTAGTAACCGTCCACCCATAAGCCTCTCTTTAGGCCAAACTGTTTTGCCACTAGAGGGAGCCAAAGAGACCTTTGTTCTGATGATAACATTGATGCGGCTCCAAGGGATTCTGTGATAAATTGCTCCCCATTACACCCTTAAATAAACATGGAGAAACAGAGGTTAAAATAAATGGGGAGTCATGTAAAGTCATGATGGATACTAGAGCTATTCTATCTACAATAAATCCCACTTTAATAAGCCAACAAATTCCTTGGGGTAGAAAGGTAGATTCCAATATCTGAACTTGGGGCTCTTTTCAGAAAAACACTCCTTTTCACTATGTGAAACCACTCCAGTAAATTTGCTAGGGCAAGACTTACTTTCAAAGCTAAAAGGCACATAAAATTTTTCTCAGAGGGAGAAAAAAATCTTAGAGTTTCCTGAGTCTCCTGAACCAGAATTGTTATGCTGTCTACAGGCAGAAATTGATAAGAACAAAACTTAGGCTTGCAATACCCCTGATCATTCAAAAATACCTGAATCTTCATGGGCCTTTTCTTCAATTGATGTAGGAAGAATTAAAGTGTGGAACCTATAAAAGTCCAAATAGACCATTCTACACTTTTGCTTAAATTTTCACAATATCCACTAAATCCTGAAGCAATTTCAGGGCTCTCACCAATTATAGAAGATTTAATTAAACAAGGACTTATAATTTCATGCACCAGCCCTTGTAACACTCGAATCCTACCAGTTAAAAAGCCAAATGGATGAGGTTGGAGATTTGCTCAGAATTTACGGACAAGCAGTAAAATTGTAATACCAAGTTTTTCTGTAGTCCAAAATCCTAATACTCTATCATTTAATGTACCCACTGATTCCAAGTGGCTCACGGCAATAGATCTCTGCTTAGTCTTCTTTAGACTGCTCGTTCATAAAGAGCATCAACACTTGTTTGCCTACTAGAAAACATCAGCTGTACCCCTGGACTATAGTGCCACTGGGGTTTACCAAAGCCCCTTCCTATTTTTCGTAGGCATTGCATCAGGACTTAATTATACTACAGTTTCCTCAAAATCCTACTCTCATTCAGGAGGTAGGTGATTTCTTGTTATACTCCCCCACTAAAGAGCAGAGTGCTCTGAAATTGACTGTTTGCCTTTCATAGCAACTCTCACATAAAAGTCACAAGGCTTTTATGGAAAAACTTCAGTTTTCAGAGAAAGATCCCACTATTTGGGACATGACTTGACTGCTAAAGGGATTTCCCTCTCACCTAAGAGGGTAAAAACTATTCAGTTTTCATCAACCTGCAACCAAAAGACAATTGAGAGGTTTTCTTGGACTTGCAGGATGTTACAGATTCTGAGTTCCAAATTTTTTCTTAATGGTCTCGTCATTGTATGAGTCCACTAAAAATGCTGTACCAGAGACTTTATCTTGGGAAGACAGTCATGAGCAGTCTTTCAGCCAACTGAAATTGACTTTACAACCGCCTTCAGCTTTAGAAATTCCAAATTACACTAAACCTGTTACCTTGCTCATTCATGAACATAACTGTCAGGCATTAGGAGTTCTTAGTGAAGAATATGGGGGAAAACATAGGCCAATTGCATATTATATCCCAGAATTAGACCCAGTGGCTAAGGCATATCCTAGTTGTTTAAAAGCAGTAGCAGCAGCAGCCAAGCTGTAAAAGCTTCATCTGATCTGGTTTTAGGAAATGAACATAATTTGCAAATCCTACATGTTGTGGCAAGTCTACTAAATTCCAACAAAGCCCAGCATTTTTCAGTAAGTAGACTAACGTCTTATAAAATACTTCTCCAGTTTCCTAATCTTTGTCTAAAATGCTCAGTACACTTAACCCTCCTACTCTATTACCTCTGCCTAACAATGATGAAGACCACAATTGTGTAACAGTAGTGTCAGAAATAATTACCTCTCATGTTGACTTATGAGATGCTCCACTGGGTAATATTGAATTAAAATTAAAATATTGGCATGTGTTCTATGCCAAAAACTCAGAAGGAAAATATCAGGCAGGGTGTGTTGTTGCCACTTATAATAAATGAATAGGGAATGGAATTCTTCCTCAATTTAAGTCAACTCAAGCTGCAGAGCGTTTTGCCCTCACCCAAGCTTGTCATGTAAGTAAATACAAGTGAGTAAATCTTTATATGGATGGCAGATATGCTTTTGGAGTAATTCACAATTTAGACATAATATGAAAACTATGAGAGTTTCTCACTTTTAGCAGGACTCCCATCACAAATGGACTCCAAGTAGATAAACTCATTTTTGCTATCTTGTTACCATAATAGATCACTGTTACTAACATTGAAGCTGATACCTATAGATCTGAACCTATTTTGGTTCAGGGAATAATTTATCACATTTTTATGCTAAATCTGCTACTGCTTAAAACTGTTTGGATATGCAATCTAAATAAACTCCATAAGATTAATCCAAGCCAACTCCCTTGCGGTGACCTATTTAATAAGCAGTGCAATGTACCTGATTTGAAGAAACAAAATTTGTATCTTAAAAAATGTAAATTTAATGTTAAATGCAGGCTCACAGAGGGCCCAGACAGCCTCCTGGTTCTTCCTGAGTTTTTGAAGCTTCCGTTCTTAAAAGTTCTGCATTCCACAACTTATCACTAAACAGACAAAATAATCTAAATTATGAAATAAGTACAGTTGAGGTGATTGTTCCAAAATTGCTAAAATGGTCTATAACAATGTTTGGCTTGTCAAACTCATAATCCTGGAAAAATAATTAAAATTTTAGGTGGTGTATTTCCACTACCTGATGGAACAAAGCACATTTACCGATGGACTTCATTCAGCTGCCACCCTTAGTGAGATATCAGTAAGTTCTTGTAATCATTTGCATGTTTTCTGATTGAGTAGAGGTCTTCCTGGGTAGGAAAGCTGATGCTATGACAGTAGCTAAGAAATTATTAGAAAATACGTTTCCTTTATGGAGCGTCCCTGGAAAAATCTCCAGTGATAGGGAAACTTATTTTACTGGGTAAGTTATAAATCAGTTAAATAAGGTGTTAGTCACTGTCAGTTTTCTGGAAAGGGTTGAAATAAAAAAAAATGCATATTAAAACTGAAATTGGCAAAGTTAATGGAATCAATTGGGTTGCCTTGGTCAAAGTAATACCTTTGGCTTTAATGGCAATCATATCCACTCTCACTGGAAAACATGAATTACCCCTTAGGAAATAGACACTGGAAGATGTATACCCCTAATAATAGAACTTCATGCATGTCCTGCTCCCCTAAACTCTGCTATGCCTAAATACCGTAAGGCTTTAATGCATTATGCCAAAGTGTACTTTCACCAGATAAAGAAGGTTTTTGAGATCCACCAACTGAGGGCAATCAAACCTTCCACAGTCTAGAACCTGGAGAATGGGTCTTCTGGAAATGCCATCACAGGAAGGCTGCTCTTGAACCTTGTTGGAAGGGGCCATACCAAGTTCTTCTCACAACCCACACTGCAGTGAAGCTTCAGGACCTTAAACGTTGGATCCACATCTCACACCTCAAAAGCGCCCCTTCAGACTCCTGGAACTGTACGCCTGCTGGAGATTTTAAGGTAAAGCTGACCAGGGAAATCTCTCCATACAAGCAGACAGAATCCAAGTCATGAGCTTCTTTCTCAAGATCACAGATCAAAACTTCGCTGCAAACATGAAAACTTTATGTGCTTTTTTTTTTTTTTCCTATTTCTTACTTTCTGTTGCTCTAATTCTTTCCTTTTCCTGCAGGAAAATCCATGGGACCATACGCAATGGATGGCTTTAGCTCAAGATTATGCTCTAATACAAAACCATTAATTGTTGGGTTAGTTAGTTAATGCCAAAAAATCAAGAAACAATTACACTGATGCCAATGCCTCTCAACATTTGCAATGACAATCACCTTGAAACTCCAAGGGAAGAATAAAAAGCTATCCTTGATATTCTAAACATTGTTGCTACTTGCTTTCCTGCATTCACTAAAAATAGCACTCTTATTTTTTAATAAATAATATAGAAAACAAATCCAAATGATGCCTGCAAAAGGTATGTTATGCTTCCTGGCATTACACACTCAAGATTTGGGAATCATCTATGCGGTTACAATTATTTGCTTGGATTAAATCCAGTTGGGTCTCTTTTTACTAAATGTGGAGATATATATATATATATATATAAAATATATATATACACACACACACACACACACACACGCACACTAAATGTGGAGATATATATCTACACATTTATATATATATATATACACACACATATATATATATATGGTCTCCACATTTATGTGTGTGTGTATATATATTACATATATAGATTCCTCTATATATACACACACATAAATGTGGAGACATACATGTATAGAGGAATATATATGTATATATAGAGGAATATATAAATGTATGTGTGTGTGTGTGTATATATATATATATATCCACATTTAGTGTGCATATACATATGCCCTTACACCCTAACACTTACAGGGTGCCATAGAAAAGCGAATTTCCTACTGGCCCTTGTTCAAGAACTATGCAGATTTATGGGCAAACAAATCTAACTGACCCCTGCTCAAATGCAACTAGGTGACCCTCTTTTCCAGTCTCCGAGGGCCTATATTGGATCTGCAGAAAATCTGCATATTTCATTTTTTACTTCCTCTTTGGTTTGGATCTTACTATTTGACTTGGCCTGCTTTTGAATAGCTTTCCCTGAAAATTCTCATAACAGCAAGTCTTATGATCAGAGGCCAAAGTGGTCAATAACCAAAATTATCAGTAGCATGGAAATAGACAAAGATAAGCTAGTTTCCACTGAGGAAAGATTCTAGGGAGGTTTCTGGGGGCTCGCTCTTAGAGTAGTGGGGTACCAGTTGTATGAAATTTAAAGCTAATCCATAAATTGGGAAAAATTGGATTTTCAGTATATTAGTCTGTTCTCATGATGCTAATAAGGACACACCTGTGACTGGGTAATTTATAAAGGAAAGAGGTTTAAAGGGCTCTCAGTTCCACATAGCTGGGGAGGCCTCACAACTGTGGTGGAAGGCAAATGAGGAGCAAAGTCACATCTTAAATGGCAGCAGGCAAGAGTGCATGTGCAGGGAAACTTCTCTTTATAAAGCCATCACATTTTATAGTGAGACTTATTCACTGTCACAAGAACGGTTAATAGTGAATGGTAAGGCTTATTCACTGTCACGAGAACAGCATGGGAAAAGCCCGTGATTCAATTACCTCTCACTGGTCCCTCCCATGACACATGGGAATTATGGGAGCTACAATTCAAGATGAGATTTGGGTGGGGACACAGCCAAACCATATCATTCAGCCACTCAAACCTCCCATAGTTTCAGGTGGGTAGAAGCCATTTTCTGAAAGATATAAAGTAACATATGTGTTCAACATGCAGGGAAACTTCTCTTTATAAAGCCATCACATTTTATAGTGAGACTTATTCACTGTCACAAGAACGGTTAATAGTGAATGGTAAGGCTTATTCACTGTCACGAGAACAGCATGGGAAAAGCCCGTGATTCAATTACCTCTCACTGGTCCCTCCCATGACACATGGGAATTATGGGAGCTACAATTCAAGATGAGATTTGGGTGGGGACACAGCCAAACCATATCATTCAGCCACTCAAACCTCCCATAGTTTCAGGTGGGTAGAAGCCATTTTCTGAAAGATATAAAGTAACATATGTGTTCAACAGAAACACTTAAATATCATGCAGCTTTAGATCTTTTTACTCAAGGTAGGAGCCTATGTTTGGCATTTAACAAAACTCAATGTTATACTTCTCTCTCCCCTGATTTTGTTACTACAGAAAACTTAATTATTAATAAAAATGTGGCTGGTACTGCTGTTTCCTTAGACACTGCCAACAAACACATTAAAGAAACCTCCCAAGACAAAAGAACAAATGATGTGTTTACAGGAGCAATTAGAATTTGGTTTGCAAACATCCTAAATAATGGATGGCAAGCTTGGGATTTCCAAAGGTTTCTAATCTTTTTATTTTTTCTAGTTAGGTCTCCAGGTTATTATGACTTGTGTTACCAAGGTAACAATGAAAATGGATACCTCTTTAAATCAGACCACGTTACAACCATGGTTCTTAATCTCTATCATACTCCAAATAATGACTGTGACCAATTAGACACTAATGCTGTTGAACTGCCTACATTGCCTGAGCTTTGGTTTGTTTAACATGGTTTGGCTCATTTCATAACAACTCTTGTTAAGAAATACACCTTTGTATTTTGATGTTATCTTTTTGATAGTCATGATAATTATCCCTCTTGTGTTCTATAGCCTCTCACATCTTAAATGTTTTCTGTGCAGCCATCCGTTGAGAGTTAGTTTCACTTTGACTAGGTCAGCAAGAACAGAATGAATCATTCAGCTGATGTGAAGCTGTGACTTGTGAACTCCATGCTGACACCAAAGAAGACTTGTGAACTTCATATTAAGACTACAGAACACTTGTGAATTTCATATTGAGACAAAATAAGTCATTTACAGAGGTGACAGGGAGTAAAGTTATTGCCTAAAGTTTGGCCATTCTCTCTAAATTGAGAGGCTGAGCAAAAGGAGTGGATTGTTAAATGAAACTAAAATCTGGCCTGAGAAAATATTCTTATTCTTGAGTCCTTATGGATGAACTCTAACCTAATTTAGTAGATAGGCATACTCCTAACTGAGGAGTATGCTTCTGTCCCAGCAGCCATACTTTAACCAGTCACAGACAGCCAACTGTTCAAACCGTGTTCAAATAAGGCAAATGCTGAGCTATAACCAATCTGGCTGTTTCTGTATATCACTTCCATTTTCAGGACAACACTATTATTTTTCTGTTCATAAATTTGCTCTGACCATGTGGCATCCTTGGAGTCTCTCTGAATCTGCTGTGATTCCGGGGGGCTACCCAATTCTCAAATCTTATTATTAGCAGTAGTAGTATTTTGCTTAATTAAGCTGTATTAAATTTAAATTTTAAACTACATTTAACATTGCCAAATTCACAGCCTTTGGAAGGTTACCAGAAATCTTTCACATAACTACTCCTTAACCACTTTCACCTTCATCAGAATATAATTTTAAACAAGCAGATATTCTTGAGCAGATATATTTGAGAACAGCTAAAAAGTTTCCAAAATTATTTCTAAAAACCAGTTTCTTCTTGAAAATAAGTAGCATATTCCAAGTAAAATCTAATCTATCAATAGCAGTTTTAATATCATGTTCCTTCAAAGATACCTCATTAACTTTTTTAATAATTAAATGAGGAAACAGTATGGCAACAGTGAAATTTGTATAACTTTAATGACTCATTAATACAGGCGTATACTATCTCTCTAATATGTACTATTTGAATGTAAATACCAATTATATGAATTTGATGTAAATACCAAATTCATATAAATAAAAATCACTGTCGTCATTTAAATGTTCTATAAGCATAATTTTACAAAGGAGTTCTCTCTTTATGTAATAGACATGCAATACCTCAATTCATGTCCCCTACTCTTTATATAGCGATTTTAGTGTTATATTTAAAATAATAGTTTGCACTTATATTGCATCCTAAGGTGCCATATTTTCTTACTGAATAATATATGTTTAAAAGCTTTAATATTTTTCCCAGTCGAGTATTTTCCTAGTTAGTATTATTTTCTAAAACACTGTTTCTCTATGATAAACGCATTATGCCATAATTGAAGAAATCCACTATCAACATACCTCAACTTCTAAAATATGACTCCCACTATAAAGATGAAACTCCTTTTGTAAAGTAAGCAATAACCTTTTTATATACTTGCGTTGAAAGTTTGAATTTTCTAAGATTTTCCTTATTTCAAGAAAAATATTCTCTTTTTTGTACTCAAATTACTAAAAACATATATTTTAGGCTTTGATTCATATGGGTATCACACTAGATAGTTACTTCTAGCATCTGTTTGTTGTAAAGCTCGGTGTACCCTTAAGGCATACCCTTCATAAACATTGAACATAAAAAACACTGTTATTAAATTGTGCATGGCTGAGAGCAGTGGCTCATGCCTATAATCCCAGCACTTTGGGAGACCGAGGTGGGTGGATCACCTGAGGTCAGGAGTTCCAGACCAGCCTGGCCAAAGTGGAGAAACCCCATCTCTACTAAAAATACAAAAATTAGCCGGGCATGGTGGCAAGCACCTGTAATCTCAGATACTCGGGAGGCTGAGGCAGGAGAAATGCGTGAACCTGGGAGGCAGAGGTTGCAGTAAGCTGAGATTGATCCATCCCACTTCAGCCTGGGCGACAGAGTGAGACCCTGTCTCAAAAAAAATAAAATAAAATAAAGGGCTGCATGAATAATACAGAAGTCATGAATTTTAATTATTACTGATATCCAGAAAAAACAGGAATATCTCAGCCTTTAAACAAGAACTCCACTTTATTTCTAGAAAATGAAATTGTTAAGTTGTAAATCAGAGCCGTGCCAGGGCACCAAGCAATTCTTGATCTTCAAACAATGCTACGATATTTCAGAAATACTGATTTACATTATATCTCCCCTCCAGAGAATCTTAAGTTTACTTCTGCAAGGCAATGAAAACCTTTTAAATGATATGTTTGGCATTTTCTTATTTTATAAACAGGCAGAATAAAATATGTAGCAGGTCCTGAAATATGCACCTGACCTAGAATATGTGAGTAGATGGATTCATGAACTACCATCAAGCACTATAATTTCACATAGCTTCAGGGCAAAGTATGCTTTTTTATTGATGTTTCCTAATTTAAACAATTTTTTTTTCTCAAACTGCAAATGTTCCTACTATGCTATTTCAGAACTGGAATCGTACCAGATTCTGTAGGCTGCATGTCTAAAAACGTCACTGAGGTGTGGAAAATATGACTTGTTACAATCATTTTTTATATTGTTAACCTTGCCTGTAATGCTATCTTTCTTCCTATTTCTATCAAAATTGAACTAATTGTTCAATGGTTCAGTTCACTGTGAGAATATAAAGCGTATGGGGGGTTCTTAGGGTCAGAATAACCTGAGTTTTGATTACCTTTTGTCTATATGCTTGCAATGGGGAGAGTACAAACTTTGGCATCTTATTTTGCCTCTCAGAGCCTCCGTTTTCTGAGTTGAAGAGTTAAGCCCCTACTCACCATCATGAATATGTGTCTAAAGTCTGCAAAACTCAAAATCTGATTTGCTCAGACTCACACAGCCCCAAATATCTGAATCTACTTTTCCTTTATATTTTCACCTCTTTATCATTGATTTGATACAGGAAAGAAGGGGTCCCTTATAACTTCTCAGAGCAGAGCCAATCAAGAAACAAACTTTTATTTGCTTAATCCATGAATATTTAGGGCCTCTATGTTGCAGTGACTGAAATTAGACTCTTACCAGTATGCTTATATATTACATAAAAATTATACAGCTGAAACAAACCATGAAATAAGCAAGAGGGAAGCTCGCCAAATCAGGTTCCTGCATGTACTCTCCCATTTCTCTGTCTCTTCCCTTTACCTGTTCTTATTCTGTCTTGCTACAACCTGACTTATCCCATGTGGCTGGAAACAGTCATGGATGATGCCAGAGTTCCATCCTCAGAGTTTCTTACTCTCTAAACCTCAGTTGACTTTCTGTTAATTGGAGTTAATAAGAATGATAATATTTATTTCACGAAAAGAAGCAGTATGTAGAGTATCTTACTTCTTTGGCCTGGAGAAGCTTTTTTTCTAGCAAAACTGTCACATTAAGATAAATTGAAAAATTTACTATTGACGAAAAAATAATTTTTGTTCTTTGTCATATTCTTTCTCAAAAATAAAATCTGGACATTTTTCTTTGAGATTTTAATAACTTTGAGTTAAATTAAATGCTGATCTTTTAAGATGTTACTCTTATAATTGTCATTACTATGTCCTACATTAATACATTAATATTCAATTCACCCTAAAAATTTTGTGTACTTAAGTAGTGGAAAACTAAAATATCTACTACTGGAGAACAGAAAAGGTATGGGTTACTGCTGCAGAAATCACAGTGAGATGTGAAAAGACCTCAACATCTTTGCATACGAAAGCACAGACAACAATATATGTTCATTTTATCACCAAATTATTTGATGTAATACTAAATTATCAACTTTGGTATTGTCCTTTTGTTCAGAACTAGAATGTATTCATTAGCTTCACTCACATTATAGAAAGACTGAATTACATATTTTAGTGAAATAAAAAATTTCCTTCTATCTGAGTGCTTCAATTCACCATGGCTCTACATAGCTCTGAATACCTACTGAGAAAGTTGAGCTCAAAAACACAGTCACTTGAAGAAAAGATTTATTCTAAGTGCTAGTAAATATTCAAGAGAGTCTCCTAAATGACTTAGGTGGAACGGAATAGAAAAATGAGAAACTGTAAAAGGCTCTTCAGGCAACCTTGAATACATTAATTTTGTGGGTGGAGAATTAGGCTTACAACATATACATATAGATAAGGATATATTTAGATAAGCCATACTCAGAGTTTCTTAAATTCAATTCTGTAAACCTCATTTGGCTTCCTATTCCTATAGGTTGGTGCAAGAGTATTTGCAGTTTTGGACCATGAATTTTAAATCATTATATAATAACTAGATTCAAATACATCTTTACTAATCAAAATAGGAACCATTATAGTCAACACATTTTTGCCAACAAGAAATAAGCTTGTTTACTCCTGTAGCATAAAAATCCATGCTTTGGGATTTGATGAACTCTTGGAAAGCATTTTCTGCATCTTGCTGGTTGTGGAAGCATTTTCCCTGCAAAAACTTGTCGAGATACTTGAAGAAGTGGTAGTCAGTTGGCAAGAGTTCAGTTGAATATAATGGACGAGGCAAAACTTTGTAGCCCAATTCGTTCAACTTTTGAGGCATTGGTTGTGCAATGTGTAGTTGGGTATTGTGGAGAAGAATTGGGCCCTTTCTGTTGACCAGTGCTTGCTGCAGTCATTGCAGTTTTTGGTGCATCTCATCAATTTACTGAGCATACCTCCCAGGTGTAATGGTTTCACCTGGATTCAGAAAGCTGTAGTGGATCAGACCAGCAGCAGACCACTGAACAGTGACCAGGACCTTTTTTTGGTGCAATTTTGGCTTTTGGGAGTACTTTGTAACTTCTTCTCAGTTCAACCTGAGCTGGTTATCACTGGTTGTCGTATAAAATTGACTTTTCATTGCACGTCACAATTCGATCGGGAAATAGTTCATTGTTGTTGCAGAGAATAAGAGAAGATGACACTTCAAAACTGCAATTTTTTTTTTACTTTTTGCTCAGCTCATGAGGCACCCACTTATCGAGATTTTTACATATCCAATTTGCTTCAAATGCTAAAAGACCATAGAATGGTCTATATTGATTTCTTTGGCAACTTCTTCTGTAGTTGTAAGAGGATCAGCTTTGATGAGGAGGAGTGTAGTGGCCAGCCATCAGAAGTTGACTATGACTAATTGAGAGCAATCACCGAAGCTGTTCCTGTTACAACTACAGGAGAAGTTACCGAAGAACTCAATGTCTACTGTTCTATGGTCTTTTAAATTAAAATCTTAAAGTTATTTTTTACGCTCATTTACTATCTGGGTCATTTCCAATTAAGAAAGGATTGTGGAATTTTTCTTATCCATAAATGCCCATATCTGACAGTTCAGGATTTCTTGCTTTTTAGGGTTTTACAAAAGTTTTAGGTTACTAAGGATGAGAATTTTAGTTAAAATGTAATTCTGTATATAAAATATGCCAGAAAGGGTAATGTTATTAGTGAAAAGAAAAATAATTTTGTCTAATTCAGAAATTATCCAAAAGATAGTTCAAATTACAGATAAAAGGTTATTTATGAAAGAATGTAGTAAGGAACCATTTAGGAGAGAAAGATGTGGAAAAAGTTTAAATAATAAAATATTTTTAAAAACCTGATACAGAATTATAGACATTTGGCTAATTAACATTTTCATAGTTAAAGCTCTTAGTTTTAATTGAAGTAAAATAAGAAGTATTGTAAAAAAAAATGCATTGGCAATTTGGCAATTTTTTAAAAAATATAGTTAAGGCTCTTATTTGGTTCTGTGAACATTTTTTTTTGTTCCCTATGCATTTCTAGCAAGCCATCATTTGTTTCATTTATCTGGAATTCCTAAGCTACTTTTCTGAAGCCCACAGGAATTAATGGAGCACACTAGCCTTTAAACCTTAAACTAACTTTTTGCATTTTAAGCTTCTTGATACTTTAAGTGTGTCAAGTATGCTCTCATAAACAGGATTTGAGTCATATTTCTCTCTCTCTCTCTCTCTCTCTCTCTCTCTCTGCCTACTTTCTCCAACATTTGTAAACTATGGTACATACATTGGCTCATAATCTGTCAGAAACAAAACATTGATTCATTCCTTTTAACCCACATCATGGGATAAAGAGAACATTGCCAGGAGGCCTTCAATCTTCTAGAATGGCATCATTTGTTAGGTCCTTTTTCGATGGTTTAGAGTAAAAGAAGCAATGAATACAAATGTATCCTCCATGATAGTCTCTATAGCAAATTCTACTGTAAAGGCTACAGTTACACAACAAACTTTGAATTCTCTTGTGAAAGTTATGATAGAATTGGCTGAACAGAAGAGTGTCTGTGCAGCTGCTGGCACTTGTGGCCTATGGAGAAATACATCAAATGAGGATTATAGAAATTCAGTGGTAGGGGATTAACAAAAAGACTGCTTACTTAAGTGAGTAAATTCTATCTAGCTCATTCTTTGATCTATTTGATTTTAGAAGGTTTGGTTTATGGGGATCTTGGGTAAGGAGCCTACTCTGAACTCTTGCTATTATCCTCCCAACAGTCATAATAATAGTCTCCCTGGTGCTCTATATTCTCTCAAGGCTTTAAATGCTTGCATGCAGCCATCTCTAGAAAGTCAAATGGTCTCTCTTCAAATGGAATGGCAAGAGCTGAAAGAAATGTGTAACCATGAGGACACCATAACCTATAATAAAATGCCAAGACTGGAAACCCAAAATGATGGTAACTGAGAGTGGTGCTAAGGCCCTACGTTTTGGTCATACTCTCACCTAAGTAAGAACCTGACCAAAAAGGGAATTTTTTTAAAGAAAATCCTGGGAGACCATGGTTTTGGACTAAGCTCATGCCATAGGCCCCAACAGACCAAACCAAACCAAAAATGGAGTTGCTTCTGCTAAGACTTTAAGGAAACACATAAATTCTAGAACAGACCAGGTTTTGTTTTTTTCTCCTGCAAATCTTTATAATAAACATTCCTGACAACATAGTGTTAGATATGAGTTCTAAATTTCCCTTCAAAGAATCAATGTCACTATGTTCAATTCTTTGCCTTCTACTCTTAAACTTAACTTCCTTGTAAAGCAACCTTTTTTGATCACCTGCTCCACCCTGACTGATTCTGATTACTGGCTCCACCCTGACTCATTCTGAGCACCTGCTCCACCCTTACCTGCTCCACTCTGACTCCCACCAAGCCACTCACCCCCTCACTGCCTTTAAATTAGCCAATCAGAATTAGCCTGTGCGGTCTAATCCTAGCCAATAGGGGAATGACATAGCAGCAGGGGCCACATTCATCAGGGATAAGACCCCTTTCCCCTCCCTTGCCCAAGTGTGTGCTCACCATTGCTCCACCCATAAGGGTGTACCTTTCTATAGAAGTACACTGCCTTGTTGAGAATTGAAAAGAAAATTTTATATTTGAGTGCTATTTCTTTTGCAGCATCAAAACTTTCTTTATAAGAATTTGGGGGCTCATCCAGGATCACATTCCCCTCTGGGGGTGGTCTCTGGTTCTCTCTTGAGGAGGCATGCCCCACCTCCTTATGGCGGCCTCAGGGGTGAGAAATCAGGACCTACCCAGTGTGAGGAATAACCTGAGCTCTCAGCAACATGAAAAGAAACTGGCCAGCAACCTAGGGTAAAGGATCCTCACATACTGCAGTGATGACTCTGTGCACCGACCAAGGAAAGAGAAGCCACAGGAGCCAGTAAAGTACTTCCTTGGTGGTCAAATTCTGGAGGGCTGAATGTGTATGTGTGTGAATGATCACAAACAACCCTGCTTGCAGTGTTGTTTGTGTGGATGGTGACAAGTCCTCTGCTGGATGGAGTGAAGGGGTTCTCCCCGTGAGTGGGAAGTGTGCAAAGGACCTTAAGAGACAGAAAGGGGGGAGACAGGTCAACCTTCCAGGACAGGCAAGGCAAGACACCCCTGGTTTGAGGGGTTGAGCCTTCCAGGGCAGGTAAGGCAAGACACCCCTGGTTTGAGGGATTGAGACTTCCAGGGAAGGCAAGGCAAGACATCCCTGGTTTGAGGGGTTGAGCCTTCCACTAATTTCAAGGGCTGAACCTCACACAACCCCCCCTTTTCTTTCTTCTCTGGGGAAGAAAGAGTATCTCCACTCCCACTGGTCCCTCCTCTAGGGGAAGGGGGAGGGGAAGGAGAGGGCAGAACAGCAGCATAAGCAGCTGGCAGAGGCAGGTAAAGATAAGCAGAGAGGAAAGAGAGAGAGAGAAAGAGACAGAGGGACAAATTGGGAGTCAAGGAGAAAGAGAGAAAGAGAGAGGCAGAGAGAGAGGAAGAGACAGAGAGACAAAGAGGGAGTTAAAGAGAAAGAGACAGAAAGTCAAACAGAGAAAGAAAGAGAGAGATAGAAGTAGTAAAGAGAAAACAGTGTACCCTATTCCCTTAAAAGCCAGAGTAAATTTAAAACCTATAATTGATAATTGAAGGTCTTCTCCATGACCCTATACCACTCCAATATCACCTTGTTGTCAGTGTAAACAAGGGCATAGCCCCAGAGCACTGAGGCCACTGACAACCCGTAGCCTTCCTAATCAAAAATCCTTAACCCAGTAATGCACGGATGGCCTGAATACATTCAATCTGTAGCAACAACTGCTTTGCTAACAGGAGAAAGTATGAGGCTATTCTGTTAAAAAAAAAAAAAAAAAAAAAAAAAAAGATGATCAACATTAACCACTAAAAATTCTCTTAACCCAGCAGGTTTCCTAACAGGGGATCTAAATCTTAATTAACTACTATACAAAGGTCCAGCCAGACATAGGAGGAGCTCCCTTCAGGACAGGACGATAGATGATTCCTCCTGGGTGATTGAGGGAAAAAGACACAATGGGTATTCAGTAATTGATAGGGAAACTCTTCTAGAGGCAGAGTTAGGAAAATTGCCTAATAATTGTTCTGCTGAAACATGCGAGCTGCTTGCACTCAGCCAAGCCTTAAAGTACTTACAGAACCAGGAAGGAACCATCTATACCAATTCTAAGTTAATTTGGAATAAACAAGGTCTTATTAATAGCAAAGGATAATTGAAATCCCAAACTTACAAGGTTTTCAACAAAAGTGAAGTTTGCTAAAAGTTAACAGTGTAACATGTATTACCCTAACTTCTAATCTTGTGGCCTTAGGCAGTCTAGTCCACAGACATGAAGGAAGTTCACTTTGGAGAAGAATGGGGGAAAAAGAGGGAGAGGGGAATAATTTATATGAAAGGAATGTTATATGGTAAATTCTTGTCCTAAAATAAATTAACTGGTTGTTTAAAGAAAGGGATGTTTGCAGCAAGTCAGAAGGTTGAGACATGTCAAAGATTGTGAAAGTTGTGAAAAAAAAGAGTTATAAAAGGGAATTTATGCAAGAAATGTTGTATAATTTAAAAGTAGTTTGGCCTCCTGATGGTAAAACTATTGAAGAAACAGTTTATGTGCAAGGTGTGCAAGGAAAGTAAAATATGCTTTTGGAAAAAGGATTATAAGGAGGCATAAGATTGTGGATTTTTACCTGCATTAAAAGGTTAAAAAATTTTGTTTTAAAGGTTTAAGCAAGCTTTAAAATGTTAATTGTAAAGGAAACTCTGTGTGTAAACATTGGCTAAAGTTAGAGGGGTGTCATCTACTCTTTCTGTGAACTGGACATTAAAATAAAAGCACCACAGGTTTTTCTTAAAGCACTAACCTGCTCTTTAACAAAAATTATAAAAGATTAAAAAGAGTCTATAAAAATCTTACCTTATGGTCAGACGTTAAAATTGGATAAATATGTCTACAAGGTTTTATTAAAATTGAATTTAGCATTAGTAACACACTAATAGAAAGGTGAAATTTAGCTTATTTGGTATAAAAATCATACAGGAAGCATTGTCAAATATAAAATGGTGTTTGGCTTTCTTTGGTCTAAAAACTAACAAAAATAAGTGCTAAAGAAAATTTCTCAGTAAGAAGGCACGAAGGACATAAAGTCCACTGCTGATGTCCCCACGTTTAAAACAAAAGATCAGTTTCTTAGAAATTACATACTTGGTTTATCTTACACTTTCCTTTCCCTCAAAACTAAAATCCTCTAGCATAGGTACCACCCCTAGAATTTCCAGTAAACCAGCACCAGTATGAGGATCACGTTCTCATCAAAGGGTGGAAAGAAGGAAAATTCGAGCCAGCCTAGGAAGGACCCTACCTTGTGCTGCTAACCACGGAGACTGCTGCTGTTCGTACAGCAGAAAGGGGATGGACTCATCACACCCGAGTCAAGAAAGTGCTGCCCCTTTCAGATTTGTGGGCCATATTCCCAGGGGAAAACCCTACCAAACTAAAGCTAAGAAAAATTTAACTCTCTTTCATCTATTCTATTACTCTTTCTTCTTTCCTCACTCTATTGCTGACCATCTAGTTATTAACATAACCAAGTCAATTTTGCCTCAAACTATTGCATTTGATGCTTGCTTTGTTATACCCTGTGGGGACTTGCCAAGTCAAAGACAGCTCTCTACTTCAGAAAAGTAGCTCTGTCCCCCTTGACTCTCCTAAGACTGAGCATTAGTGAATTGGGACCATTTGATCTGGGAAGATTTCAATAAAGACCCCAGCGTCAACCAGGAGTCTTGCCCCCACCCCAATGTAGAGCTTTTATGCCATAGTTGTTCCAGCATTCTATGGACCACTAAAGAGCAAGGATGGACTGCCCCAACCGGTTTTTGTAATTTCCTAAAACCATACATTCACTTTATGAGAGAGACAGCACCACTCCCTCCAACTGTCAGCTAAACCAGTGCAATCCTATACAAGTTATCTTGAACCCTCAAAGTTCTTCCTCTTTTCTAGGCCACTTCCCTTCTTTAAGCCAGTTTTATGGTATGGGGGCTGAGGTTTCAGGGACAGACCCTATTGGATTCTTTGAAATGTGTTTATTCGATCCCCCACTGCCTGCAGCTTCCTCTAAGCATTCTTCCAAAACCTCTCACAATGGAACAATTGCTCCTCCTCCATCTAATGACAAGACCAAGATAGCTACAGTAGAAGTTAAAGACTTAAAACAAACTTTGACAATTAATACAGGTACCAAGATGCAAATGCCTGGTTGGAATGGATCAAATATTCCGCCTGCAGGTTAAACAAAAGCAATTGTTATGCTTGGGTGCACGGCAGGCCAGAGGCCCAGATTGTCTCCTTCCCACTAGGGTGGTCCTCCAGGTGACCGGGCATGGGCTTCATGGTAGCTCTTTTCCGGGATTCTACAGCCTGGAGTAACAAGTCGTACCAAGCTCTCTCTCTGCTATATCCCAAAGTCCGGCACCCTGCGGTTCAACCCCCAAGGGCCATCCAGCTTCCATCTCCCAAAACTAAGTTCAGTTCGTGTCTCTCACAACAGGCAGAAAACTTAGTGTTCCTTGGAGACCTGAAGGGATGCAGTGAGCTTAAGAATTTTCCAGAGCTTATCAATCAGTCAGCCCTTGCTCATCCCCGAGTGGATGTGTGGTGGTATTGTGGTGGACCTTTACTGCACACTCTGCCAAATAACTGGAGTGGCACCTGTGCTTTAGTCCAGTTGGCTATCCCTTTCACCCTGGCATTTCATCAACCAGAGGAAGGAAAAATAAGACATCATAAAGTGAGAGGAGCCCCTTATGGGTCTTTCAACTCTTACGTCTATTTAAATGCAATTGGAGTCCCACAGAGAATACAAGATCAATTTAAAGCCTGAAATCAAATAGCTGCAGAATTTGAGTCAATATTTTGGTGGGTGACAATTAATAAAAATGTAAATTGGATAAACTACATCTACTACAACCAACAGTGATTTATTAACTACACGAGAGATGCTGTTAAAGGAATAGCTGAGCAATTAGGGGCTACTAGCCAGATGGCTCACGAAAATAGGATAGCCTTAGACATGTTATTAGCAGAAAGAGGGGCAGTTTGCATCACAATTAAAACTCAATGTTGTACCTTGATCCCAAACAACACCACCCCTGATGGAAGTATAACAAAGGCATTGCAAGGTCTGACTGCTCTGTCTGATGAGTTAACCAACAACTCAGGGGTAAATGACCCCTTTACAGGATGGCTAGAAAAGTGGTTCGGTAAATGGAAAGGAATAATAGCCTCAATTCTTACTTCTCTCACAGCTGTAATGAGTGTACTTATTATTGTCAGGTGCTGTGTCATACCATGCATCCATGGGTTGGTGCAGAGGCTCATAGAAATGGCGCTTATTAAAACCTCCCTTAACTATCATCCACCTTATCCAGAAAAGCTTCTTCTTTTGGAAAATCAAGCAGAACAACTAAGCCAGGACATGTTAAAGAAGTTTGAAAAGAAAGAGCTGTAAGGAAAATGCAAGAGGAGGGAATTATTAGATATAAGTTCTAAATTCCTCTTCAAAGAATCAACAGGTCAGTATGTTCAATTCTTTGCCTCCCACTTTTAAACTTAACTTCTTCGTAAAGCAATCTTTTTTGATCACCTGCTCCACCCTGACTCATTCCGATTACCGGCTCCGCCCTGACTCATTCTGATCACCTGCTCCACCCTTACCTGCTCCACCCTGACTCCCGCCAAACCACTCACCCCGTCACTCTCTTTAAATTAGCCTATTGGAATTAGTTTAGCCTGTGCTGTCTAACCCTAGCCAATAGGGTAACACACAGCAGCAGGGGCCACGTTCATCAGGGATAAGAACCCCTTCCCCTCCCTTGTCCAAGTGTGCACCCACCATTGCTCCATCTGTAAGGGTGCACCCTTCTATAGAAGTACATTGCCTTGCTGAGAATTAAAAAGAAAATTTTATATTCGAGTGCTATTTCTTTTGTGGCACCGAAACTTTATTTATAACAATAGGTATGCATCCCCTGAAGTTTCCATTAAATCTTTTAACCAAATTCATTTCCTTTCTCCTAGAGACCATCAAGCTTCAGATGATCATGCAACAAAGGTTCCAGCTAGTTCCAAGTGAAAGCACCACCCCTGGCCTTCAAGAAGCTACCTTGCCTCCACTAAACAGAGCAGGGTGAGAGTTCTGTGATGCCCAATAGGTTAGCCAGCATGAAGCAGTTACAGAAGAAAGGCCATCAGTCCCACTACCTCCCATAAAGATTTATAGGGATTACCTCTCTCAGGGGGAAATGAGAAAGGAAAATAGGGTCTGGAGGCAGGGAATGTAAGGCAGATTCACTCTTTAGCTATGACAGGAAATATCCTCTCCATAGGGCGTACACTAAGTAAATGACTTTGTAACTTTACTTAATCTTCTTCATTTGCATAGGGTGTACACCAAGTAACCACTGGAATCCTCTAGAGGGTATTTCTGTAATGGAGCCCTTGAACCCCTATGGTTAGACCTGCTCACACACTGTGGAGTGTATTTTCATTTTCAATAACTTTCAGCTTTTGTTGTTTCATTCTTTCTCTGCTTTGTGCATTTTGTCCAATTCTTTGTTCGAGATGCCAAGAACCTAGACACGCTCCACCAGTAACAGTATAACATAACCACATTTATTTAAGAATGTATTCCAATATCAAATGGCAAATTTCATCAATGCAAAAACTGCAATAACTTGCACCAACTCTTAATTGGAGTTAATAGGAAGATATATATGTATCTCTATAGACCAAGGAAACACAAAAGCTACAAGCAGTTGATTTTATGCCAGATGATCCAACCTACAATAAAGAAAGATAGTAAAATGAGAAGAAGTAAGATGCATTATAGCAAAAGATGTCTTCGATTTGCACAAGAAGATTTGACTTTTTAAGCCCACCAATGACATTTCATAACTGTAACTGTGGTGCAAGACTCTAAATTAATGTCTTTTATCTGAGTCTTTGATTGCACTTGGATTTTCAGTTTCATCTCCGATATAGAAGAATGGAAGTTGTAACTGATGTCCTTTAAAAAAAGAAGAAAGAAGAAGGAAGAAGGAGGAATGAGGAGGAGGAGGAGAAGAAAGAAGAAGAAGAAAGAAGAAAGAAGAAGAAGAAGAAGAAAGAAGAAAGCAGGAAGCCAGGGAAGCTGAAAATCCATTACTTGGATAAAATAGTAAGTTGAGGTTGCAGGGAAAACTTTCACACTAAAATATGGAAGGACAGGTAAATCTAAAGAGACACAGACAAGATCTATGTACATGGAACAGAAGCTGGGATCATACATTGGTAAAATACTTTCATGGTAATTTTTACAAATTGCTAGACACTGAATGTAGAGTGGAAAAACTTCTGGGAGCTACAGTCTTGGGAGACCTACAAACTTGAGTTTCTCACTGTGAAGATCAAAAGAAGGTTTCTGAGCTGGTTCTGTTGGGTGGTGGAGGTGGGGAGGGAGAGGGGCAGGCAATGGGGCGGAGGGGAAGAGAAACCACTGTGAAACATGTCCAGAGCCTTCTCCATATCAAAGGCTTACTCTACAGGAAAAAGACTTGGCCAGAGCCTTACTGCAGAAGGCAGAAAAGCATTCCTCTCACCACTCCTTCCTCTAGCCCTCCTATTTCACCTAAGTTACAGGGAGGTTGGGGGTGGGGGTGTGGCGGGATTAACAGGGGTCAGGGCTTGAAGGGTATACATTGAAAATACTACACATAGGGAAGCAAGTAGGAACAAGGGAAAAGAAAATAGTACCATTGGAAGAATACTTAGAAGGTCACAGCCCAGATACACAGACTCACTAAAACACAGATATATAGCCTGAAGATTATAAAATGCAAAGGGAAAAAAGAATGAACAAAACAGAACATACAAGAAATGTGGGGTAGGACACAATTGCTCATGCCTGTAATCCCAGCACTTTGAGAGGCTGAGATAGGAGGATCACTTGAGGCCAGGAGTTCAGTAATAGCCTAGACAACATAGCAAGACCACATCTCTACAAAAAATATAAATAAATAAAAAATAAATTAGCTCAGCATGGTGGTGCATGCCTGTAGGCTTAGCTACTCTTGAGGCTGAGGAGGGAGGATCTCTTGCGCTCAAGAGTTCAAGACTGCAGTAAGCTATGATTGTGCCACTGCACTCCAGCCTGGGTGACAGAGCAAGATCCTGTCTCAAGAAAAACAAAACAAACAAAAAAACAAAACAAGGAAAGAAATGTGGAACTATATAAAAAGTTATAAAATACATCTAATTTAAATACCAGAGGAGAAGAGAAAAAGCCAAAGAAGCCTAGAAAATACTTGAATTCTTATAGTAACAACGGTCAAAAATTTTCAAAAATTCATGACAGACATTAAACATAAATCCACAAAACTCAGAAAACACAAAACAGGATAAATACTGAACCTAGCCATATCATATTCAAATTGTGTAAAACCAGAGAAAAGGAAAAATCTTGACAGAATCCAGTGTGCAGGGGGGAGATGAGACAAGTTTCAGATGAGAACTCTTCTGTAATTGTTATAGTTCCTATAAAGGAACCTTATATTGTGCCTCTATAGGCCTCTCATCTGAAACCAGGCAAGTAAGAAGATAATAACATGAAGTATTTAAAATATTGAAAAAAATCTAGAATTCAATAAGCAGTAAAATTACCTTTTAAAATGAAAGAAAAAATAAAGATTTTTTGAAAACAAAATTTGAGGTATTTATCACAAGCAGATGTGCCTTGCAAGAAATGTTCAAAGAAGTTCCTGAGGGAGAAGAAAATAATATAGGTCTGAAATTTGGATCCTCATAAAGAAAGGAAGAGTGTTGGACAAGGAATAAATGAAGACAATATAAAACCTCTTATTTTTCATATTCTTTATTGACCTAAAATATAACCATTTGCTTAAATAGTGGTAATGACAAATTGTATGATTATAGTCAATAGATAAGTGAAGTGCATGAGAAAAATATCACAAAGAGTGGAATGGTAGAATTGGTAATACTCTGGTATAAGGTAGACACATGAGGCAATATAGTGTTATTTAAAGGTGGACTTATGTTAATTTGAAAAGTATATTGTAAACTTTAGGGGAACCAAGAAAAAATCTTAAGTATAATTGATAGAACTAAAAGGAGAAATAGACAAATTTATTATAGTTGGAGTCTTCAAAGTCCCTTTTGTCAGTAATAAGCAGATCAAACAGACAGAATATCAGTAGATAGATGGAGACAGAGAGAAGGGGGGAGAGAGACAGCAATAATATGCTATAGTGGCTGTACCACTTACTAGCTTTGCTGTAATAGTTATGTGATTTTCTATTGTCTAAAGTTCAGTCTTGCTTTCATAAAATAGGAATCATAGCAGTACCTAATGATGTGTAGGGTCATTTGAGGGTTAAATAAGATATTCCGGGTAAACTACTTACCAAAGTGCTTGATACATAGTAAATTCTCAATGAAATATAACATCAGTATTTATATAAAAGCATTTTATAAATTTAATCATAAAAATAAATGTCATTAATAATTGCTAACCTAAAAGCAATTATAACATTTTTCTTCTCTCTTTTCAGCTTTATGACATTAAACTATTGAAGTTGCTCTGCTAGGCCCTTTCCCAAGATGAATTAAAACACCTGAGAAGAAAATAAACAAATCAGACAAAATAGAAATAACTAATACCTAAAATAGCTATTTGTCTTTAAGAACTTGAAAGAAAAAATTATTTTGAAATAGATTGTTTTGCTTTAGAGTAATAATATTAGAAAATTTCCAAACATAACCTTAAAATGTATATGAATTGCATCTTATCAGGATAGTAAATATTATTTAGAATTTAAGGGAAGTATTTTTCACAATAATTTAAAGAGGAATTTCTGTAGGATTTATTCCTTAAACCCAAAATTTAACTGAAGTGTTTTTGAAAAATTTCTTAACACCATAAATTTTAGCTTAATTAAACCTCTCAAGGGGAGGTTTTTCCTCTCAAGGGGAAATACAAATAACACTTCAAGGAAAATGGTATCTCTTCTTAGCTTGGATAGTTATTTTCAGAAGTTTGCTTACAGTATGAAAAGGTAAAACAATGTTATGTGTCAAGCAAGTGAACACATTACTCACAGTTAAAACACAATATGTATTATTTAAGCAATTGTAAACTTGTTTCTGTAAAATTTAATGAAGTTTTATTTTAAGATGCCAAAAATATTTAAACTGAATGTTTTTTAATTCTCTGCCTGAAAGTCAGACATACAATAGAAATAATGTAATAAGAGGAAATAAATATCACCCTTGAATATTCACTTTGGATTAGTATCTTTCATAAATCTATTTTTAAACTCATAATTAATGAAACTTTCAAAATAAATTTATTCCTTATTTTTGTACTAAGTTGAATAATGTACTCTCACAACATAATGTTAACAAAGTAAGTATATTTTGATAAAGACTACAATAATCAAAAAATATATTTTAGTAATGCCTGCAGTGCCTAAAGGTGGTATAAAAAACATTTGTTATTACTGCATCAATATAAGAATTGATAAGTTATATCTATGATCCAGCTATTAGAAATATATTGATTTAGGTCTTTTTCTCATAAATTCCTAGTAAACGTTCTTAAAAATAGCAAATTCCTTTTAGTCTCTCTAAAATTTGACACTTCAAATTATACATTTGCCTTTCATTTGCTGGCATCATGGTGTATAATTTCTTTTCACTTTCATTTAAAATCCTGACAGCCTCACCAGGATTCTTGCTCAAGATCAGAAATAAAAGGCTTAGAAAATCATTATATTGTCAGAGCCCACACAAGAGGTAAAATGCAGTGAGCTTGCTGTGAATGATGGAAATACCAGTGGGATATTTGTCTATGAACCAGAATTCTCAAAATGTATCAAATATGATTTGTCCTTCGAAACCATTTTCTCTTTTGAGAGAAAAACAAACCAAATAAAGAGTTAGATAAGTTTGATCTTCACTAGTAAGTTAAAAGAAACGATTTCTATTATCTTCTATTTGAAGAACTATAATAATACTATTGAATAGTTATATTTCTGAATAGACCGAAGGCCATGCTTGAAATATATGTTTCTCTCCAATGACCAATGCTTTGTTTGCTGGGTGAATGTCCTGATACAAAGTCAAAATAAAATAGAACTTTTACAACAAATAGAATTTTTAAAGTTCTATATTGGACACACAAAACCATACATATTAACAAGAACATACATACATATTAACAAGAACATAACAAAATAGATAGTAATTTTTTTAGCTTCAAGTGGAATTTTTGAGTAAAAAAGTGCATTTTTAAAATTTACTAGATATTATCAAATTATTTACCAAATTGTACCAGTTATACTCCTATTATCATGGTTTAGAAATGTGTGTTTCTCCATAATTCTACCAAAGCTTAGTGTTAGCAAATATTTTCACGTTTGCCTTTCTAATGAGTGCAAAATAGTATCGTTTTATTTTGCATTTTTCAAATGTTCTAAGCAATGATTGAACATTTATTCATAAAAAGTCACTCAGATTTTGTTACATATTTTGCTCGTTTTTCTATTCTGTTGTTGAGTTTCTCATATTAATTATGAAATATTGTGTACTCGTCCTTTGTCAAATATAGTGTTGTAATTATTTTCTCCTAGTCTGCAGTTTTTCTATTAAGTTTTATTGTATCCTTCAGGAAAACATTTGTTAATATAGCCAAATTATTACAAATATTATTTTAGGGTTTGAGACTTTAGTCTTACTTAAGGAATGCTTCACTGCCATAGTTATATATTTTCTTTTAAAAATTTTAAACTTTGTTTTTCTCATATCTCTTTTATTCATCAGAAATTACTTTCAATATGTTCTGTATGAGGTAGAATTTTAATATGGTTTTTCCACATGTGAGAGCATTATTTCCTGCACCATTGAATAATACATTCTTTGTTCACTGATTTGCAATGCTTCCTAATTCATGGGATTGAAGTTCCGTTTGTCCATGAGTCTGTTTCTGTAATTTTCGTGAATTAAATTGTTCCAGTTAACCTTTCCCTGTGCCAGTACCAACCTATATGAATTGATATAGCTTTGTAGTAGATCTTGATATCAAGAAGCAAATTCCTCCTCGAATTCTGGATATATTTTATTTGCCTCATTCAGTACCATGTTCCAGCTTTCTCCATCGTATTCTATGCTTTTTATACAAGCTAGTATTGTAATCTTACTTGGTAGACTTCGTTTTAGAATAGTTTTGAATTTATAGAAAAATTGAGCAGATAGTATACAGTTCCCATGTACCTTTTTCCCTGCTCACAGTTTCACACATAATTAACATCCTACATTAGTGTGATACGTGTGTTACAATGAATGAATCAATATCAATACATCATTAACTAAATTCATAGTTTACATTAAGATTAATTTTTTTGTTTAGTAAAGCTCTATGGGTCTTGACCAATGTGTAAAGGCATGAGTTCACATTACATTATCATACAGAATAGTTTTAATGTCCTAAAATCCTCTGCTTCATCTATTTATTCCTCCCTATACCTCTATACCACTAGCAACCATTGATCCTTTACTTCTGTATAGTCTTGCCTTTTTCAGAATGTCATGTAGCTGGAATCATACAGTAGCCTTTACAGATAGGCTTCTATCATTTAGTAATGTACTTTTAAGTTTCATACATTTTTGGTGGCTTGATAATTTCTTTATATAGCTAAAAAAATAATCCATTGTTTTGATGTACCACAGTCTGTTTATCTATTGAAAGTTATTTTGTTTGTTTTAAGTTTGGGACAGTTATTAACAAAGGTATTATAAAGACTGTTATGCAAGCTTCGATGTGGATATGTTTTCAACTCAGGTAAATACCTAACAGAATGATTGATGGATCATATGTAAGACTATATTTAGCTTTGTAAGAAACTGCCAAACTCTTTTCTAAAGTGGCTGTATAATTTTGCATTCCCATTGGCAATGAATGAGAATCCTTTTCGCTCAACATTTTTTGCCAGCATTCTATATTTTCAGTCTTGCTTTTTAAATAGATTTTAGCCATTCTAAGGGGTGCTTAGTATTATGGTGTCTCATTGTTATTTTAAATTGCAATTCTCTAATGGCATATGATACTGAGCATTTTTTTTCATATGCTTATGTGCCGTGTCTGTCTGTTAGATATTTTGTCCATTTTCAATTAAGTGGGGTCTTTTCTTATTGTTGAGTTTTAGGAGTTCTTTGTATATTTTGAATATCACTCACTTATCAGCTATGTGTTTGGCAAATATTTTCTTCCAGTCTCTGGTTTATATTTCTATTCTCCTTACAGTGTCTCATGGAGCAGAATTTTTAAATTTTAATAAAGTTCAACTTACCAAATTTTTCTTCTGTAGATAGTGCTTCTGGTGTTGTATCTAAAAAGTGATTACCAAATTCAAGGTCAACCAATATTGGTCACCAAATTCAACCTAAATTTTTCCCATATTATCCTCTAGAAGTTATATGATGTTGTATTTCACATTTAGGTCTATGATCCATTTTTAGGTAAATTTTGTAAAATGTGTAACATCTGGTCTATTTTCACCATTTTACATCTATTCTAGCACCACTTGGTGAAGAGAGTCTTTCTTCCCTTGACTTGCCTTTACCCCATCAATGATGAGTTTGCTATATTTGTGTACTTTTCTTCCTGGGCTCATAATTCTATTCCATTATCTAACTGTATAGTCTTTCATCAATACCACATTGTACTGATTCATACTGATAGCTTTATCCTAAATCTTCGGGTAATATTAGTTTTACCACTTTTTTATTGTATTAGCTATTCTGGATCTATAATATTTTCATATAAACTTTAGAGTCAGTTTGTCAATATCTACACAATAACTTTTTTTGTATTTTATTGAAAGTATAATGACTCTATAAAATAAAGTCAGAAATAACAGGTACTTTAACAATATTGTCTATCTACCCAAAATATGGAATACAGTTCCACTTGTTTAGTTCTTTATAAATTTATTTTGTTAGATTTTTGTTGTTTTTCTCATATATGTCATGCATATCTGGCTAGAATTACACCTAAGTATTTTAATTTTTTGGTGCTAATATAAAGGATATTGTGTTTTTAGTGTCAAATTCTTTTGTTCCCTGCTGGTATATAGGAAAACAATTGACTTTTGTATATTAACCTTGTATCCTATAACCTTGCTATAGTCACTTATTAGTTCCATGAGGTTTGTTGTTGTTGATTCTTTGGCATTTTCTACATAGTATCTGAGAATATAAAAGTTTTATTTCTTCCTTTTCAATTGGTATACATTTTACTTTCTTGTTTTACTGGATTATCTACAATGTTGACTAACACTGCAGAGAGGGAGTGTCTTGCCTTATTCTAAAGGTGGAAATATTCTTTCCTGCCATTAAGTATGATGTTAACTGTAGGCTTTTGTAAATTCTTTAAAAAATCATGGTTATGAAGTTTCTCTCTATTCCTAGTTTACTCAGAATTTTTATCATAAATATGTGTTGGAGTTTATCAAATTCTTTTTCTGCATCTGTTGACATATATGATTTTTCTTCTTTAGCCTGTCGACACGATAAATTTCATTAGTTGATTTTTGAATGTTGAATCTTTTTATACTTGTAATATATGCTGCCTTGTCATGTATAATTATTTTTGTACATGTTGGATTTGATCTGCTAATATTTTGTTGAAGATATTTGCACATATGTTCATAAGAGATTGGTCTGTTTTTTTTACGTTCTTGTAAACACACTTTTATTTGGTTTCAGTATTAGGATAATGCTTGCCTCAGAATAATTTAAAAATTATTCCATCTGCTTCTACTTTCTGGAAGAGTTGCCATGAATGGGTATAATTTCTTCTTTAAATGTTTGGTAGAGTTCATCAGTGAAAACTTCTGGGTCTCTTGCTTTTATATTTATTGAATTTTATTAGAAGTATTCTGCTATAACTTTTGAGATGGCTATATAACTTTTCACATATAGTTTCATATTGACAGATTATCAGGTATTTACCTATTCTTGCATGCCTAATTAACCTCTACATGATTATAACATGTCACACTATTTGCTAGTATTTTTTCATCTAAGTAAATTAAACTTGTTCTATAGTTATTTTATTAGCTTGCTATCTAGTTCTGATGTTAGTATTACAGAGCTTCATAAAGTTTGCACTCTACCTTTTCAAATTTTTGAAAGTTTATATAGAATAGATCTTATCAGTGCTTCGAAATTTTAGACATTTCACAAGTAAGACTGTCTGGCTACAGTAACCAAAACAGCATGGTACTGGTAACAAAGCAGATATATAGACCAAAGGAACAGAACAGAGACCTCAGAAATAACACCACACATCTACAACCATATGATCTTCGACAAACCTGACAAAAACAAGCAATGGGGAAAGGATTCCCTATTTAATAAATGGTGCTGGGAAAACTGGCTAACCATATGCAGAAAACTGAAACTGGGCCCCTTCCTTACACCTTATATAAAAATTAACTCAAGATGGATTAAAGACTTAAAGGTAAAACCTAGAACCATAAAATCCCTAGAAGAAAACCCAGGCGACACCATTCAGGACATAGGCATGGGCAAAGACTTAATGATGAAAACACCAAAAGCAATTGCAACAAAAGCCAAAATTGACAAATGGGATCTAATTCAACTAAAGAACTTCCGCACAGCAAAAGAAACTATCATCAGAGTGAATAGGCAACCTACAGAATGGGAGAAAATTTTTGCAATCTATCCATCTGACAAAGGTCTAATATCCAAGATCCACAAGGAACTTAAACAAATTTACAAGAAAAAAATACCCCCATCGAAAAGCGGGCAAAGAATGTGAACAGACACATCTTAAAAGAAGACATTTATGTGGCCAACAAACATAAGAAAAAAGCTCATCATCACTGCTTATTAGAGAAATGCAACTCAAAACCACAACGAGATGCCATCTCACGCCAGTTAGAATGCTGATTATTAAACAGTCAAGAAACAACAGCTGGTGAGGCTGTGGAGAAATAGGAACACTTTTACACTGTTGGGAGTGTAAATTAGTTCAACCATTGTGGAAGACAGTGTGGTGATACCTCCAGGATCTAGAACGAGAAATACCATTTGGCCCAGCAATCCCATTACTGGGTATATACCCAAAGGATTATAAATCATTCTACTATAAACACACATGTACACGTATGTTTACTGCAGCACTATCTACAACAGCAAAGACTTGGAACCAACCCAAATGCCCATCAATGATAGACTGAATAAAGAAAATGTGGCACATATACATCGCAAAATACTATGCAGCCATTAAAAAGGAGGAGTTCATGTCATTTGCAGGGACATGGATGAAGCTGGAAACCATCATTCTCTGCTAACACAGGAACAGAAAACCAACTACTACATGTTCTCACTCATAAGTGGGAGATGAACAATGAGAATACATAGACACAGAGAGGGGAGCATCACACACCAGGGCCAGTCATGGGGTGGAGGGTAAGGAGAGGGAGAGCATCAGGACAAATACCTAATGCATGCGGGGCTTAAAAACCTAGATGATGGGTTGATAGGTGCAGCAAACCACCTTGGAACATGTATACCTATGTAACAAACCTGCAGGTTCTGCACATGTAACCCAGAACTTAAAGTAAAATAATTTTTTAAAAAGTTAAAAGTTTTAGTGCATTGTGAATTTTAAATCTATTTTTTGAAATAATTTTTATTTTTATATTACTATATGAAATTCTTTGCATAGAATTTCTCAAATTTATTGACAAAAACTTTTTCATTATACATAGACACACACACTCTCTCTCTCTATTGTGTCTTCAATTATTTCTCCTTTTTTGATGTTGATCCACATATTAATGGATTATCCCATAATTTATTGGCCTTTTGGCTAAGATCAAGTATAGCATCTGTTCTCATCAGTTTAATAAATTATTTTTTGTTATTACTTTATTTTCCTAGTCAGCCTTGCTAAAGACTGTTCTATTATACTATCCTTTCTAGAGAATTTATCCTTGGTTTGGATGACACTCAGGTATAGATCGTATATTTATTATATTACATTTTATTAATCTCTGCTCTTATACTTATTATGCCCATTCTTCTATTTTCTTTGGCTAATTTTTGTTCTTTTAAGTTGCCTACATTAGATTCTTAGTTCATGAAATTTTAATTTGTTCTTGTTGAAAACACAAATGTAATTATGGTTAGAAATGTTCCAAAGTTTTGTTATGTGAAATTAATGCACTCATTATCATTTAATTCTTTTGTGTGAGTGTGTGTGTGTGTGTGTGTGTGTGTGTGTGTAACAGAGTTTCACTCTTGTTGTCCAGGCTGGAGTGCAATGGCAGAATCTCGGCTCACTGCAACATACCCTCCTGGGTTCAAGTGATTCTCCTCCCTCAGCCTCCCGAGTATCTAGGACTACAGGCATCCACCACCACATCAGGCTAATTTTTTATATTTTTAGTACAGTTGGGGTTTCGCCATGTTGGCCAGGCTGGTCTTGAACTCCTGACCTCAAGTGATCTACCCGCAACAGCCTCCCAAATGGCTGGTATTACAGGAATGAACCACCACACCCGGCCCATTTAGTTCTATTTTTCAAAGTATATTTACTTTTTTCCCTCAAAAGCCTGGCCTTTCTTTTTTAGATAATTGTAAAGTTTACAACATATAGTGTTTTCTGGCTATATTTGTTATTGGTTCATGTCTCATTTAGCTGCATTATCTCAAGTAACACTGTCTGTAAAATATTTATTTTTGAAATGTCTAGAAACATCATTGTGAAGAAGTACATGTTCTTTATTTGTAAATATGTTATTTGTATATAATATGATGGGTTTTCTATATTAGGCTTCAGATATTTACACATTTCTATTATACGAGCATTGCTCAAATCTTTATTTGTATTCTTGTTTTCTTTATCTCTTGTTTTTGTTTTGTTTTGTTTTGTTTTTTGAGATGGAGTTTCTCTCTTGTTGCCCAAGCTGGAGTGCAATGGTGCCAGCTCGTCTCACTGCAACCTCCATCTCCTGGGTTCAAGCCATTCTTCTGCCTCAGCCTCCAGAGTGGCTGGAATTACAGGTGCCTGACACCATGCCCGACTAATTTTTTGTATTTTTAGTAGAGAAGGGGATTTACCATGTTGGCTAGGCTGGTCTCGAACTCCCAACCTCAGGTGATTCGCCCACCTCGCCCTCCCAAAGTGTTGGGATTAGAGGCGTGAGCCACTGCGCTTGGCCTATCTCTTGATTTTTATTAAAAATTTATTAAAATCTCTCCCATGACTCTGAAATTAACAATTTATTAATTTTTTCAGATTTGACTTTTAAATATCAAAAGCATGTAATTAGATATAGTCAAGTTCACAAATGATATATCTTTTTGTAGATTCTTCATTTGACTACTATGTTGTAATCTTTATCATCAATTTTGTCTTATATTAATATTGCAACATTGGAATTTTTGGCTAATGCTTCCCCATCCTCCCACTACACAGACTCTTTGGATTTTTCTTATTATCAATTATCTTCTTAAACAGTTTTTTTCTGTAAGAGTCTAAAAGTCAAAATTTACTTAGTGTTTTATTACTCACAAATACATCTTTGTTGTTTCCACTCATGGATGACAGCTTAACTATCATAAAATACTGCGTTGTCTGTTTCCCCAAATGTAGACAATATCGTGTTAAGAGTATTCTGCCATTCACTGTTAATGAGAAGAAAGTTTTCAATCTAATTATCATTTTTTAATAGATAATGTCATTTCTCTCTGATACATTTTAACATTTTTATTTCACTTTTAGTTTACTATTATACACTCATTTTTTAAGTATGGTTTCATATTTAATTGATTGGCTTGGTACACAAAGTTTACATTTGATTTGGGGACTTACAATTCCTTCAATTATACAAGATTCTAAATTATCATCCATTTAAGTATTCCTTTTTCTTCTTTTGCTCCTTTTTCTTCTTCTGTAATTTCTTATGAAATTACATAATTTTCTTCACTTTACTTTGAGTAATTACTTATGTAATTACTTCTTATGTATGGTGTATTTTTACTCAATCCATGTGACTTGCTTTGTTCAATGAAATTTGAGTAAGATTGACAAGTGCCACATTCTAACCAGAAGTATTAAAAGTGATAACATGGTTTTATCATACTTTTTATAGACATAAGATCAATAATGTCTTACATATGAGTTAGTCTATCAACTTGGATTGCTGAGGAAGGAAAACATGGACAAACTGACTCTCAATACACATGTTCTGTGAATGAGAACTCAATGTTTATTATTTTTATTGTGAATATTTCAGTCAGTTTTACTTAGGTGTAAATTAGTTAAATCTGACTTGTAAACACCAATGAGACAAATATTAAAATTTCTCAATCCATCCTCTTTTAAATCTTCCTCTCTGTATATTTTTATCTTTTTTTCTTTAGAAGAGTTCCTCATTAACTACTAATCTAATTTTTCAGTGAAAGTCTATATAACAAAGTGATGGCATACTTCAAAGAATTTAATTAAAGATATTTAATGGGTCAGGCATTTATAGAAACAAGGAAATGTCTAAGGAAATTATTAAGATATGGTGAAACACCCAGTGAAAAGTAATAGCAGGGAGGTCTTACTATCTTAGGCCTGAAGAGACAAGGGAAGGCAATGATTTATTGGAATCAGTAAGTACTAAAGCTGTGAAAGAAAGAGAAGCCCATCAAAGCTATAAGCCTAGTCACAGAGGAATGCAAGCATTGCCAGACTGTTAGGAGAGAGTGGAAGTACAGACAAAAATGCCCACTCTTTCTGTCCTAATGGCTTTCAATCTACCCCCTAACTTTCCCTGTGTCTGAACCCAAATCCAAGGGAAACTAAAACTCCAGATTATATAATCCACAGAATTAAGCCCTAAAAGCATAGAATATGAAAAAAATGGCAGATAATTGATCTAGTTTTGGGAGCATAGTGAAATAAATAGTCAGCACATTTTCCATTTTCTCTTATTGACCAAGTCCAATAAAGAAATTATTACATCTATTAACATTTTCATTTAATTTTCTTTTTTATTAGGTGACATTTTAGGTTATAAGGAACAGAAGCTGAATGTGTGGGATTAGACCATTGTTAAAAGGACAGTGGGTAGATGTCCAATTTTGCTATTACAAAATAATTCATGCTTAAATAACGTTTCTGCCAAAACAATTATAAAAGCAATGCAAAATACATAAAACACCCATTCAAATGCATTGTAGATCAGCCAACACAGGCATAATATTCTCCATAATCACTTTTGATTAGAAATTAAGGGTATTTGCCAATTTTAAGTCTAGGACAACAGAAAATGAACATAAAGCCCCGATCCACCTGTGTTGAGGAAACAGAGGTTTGCAATCTAGTATTTCTAAGGGGCTAGAAATGGAGGGAAGGAAACTGCTGAAAACTGAACCCAAAATTTTGTACGAAACTTTTCTTCAGAAAGTTTGAATGCTGAAGATGCCCATAGGAAAGACACACTTAAAAAAAAAAAAAAAAAAAAAAAAAAAAACTATACAAACGAGAAACACCAGAAAGCAGCAGCTGGGATGCCAAAGAGCTGAGCAGAAGTTTTTTTTTTTACAGCCGTAGAGCTCTGAGAAGACAGAAGTTTGTGTTCATGACCTACCAAGAGACTCTGGTAAAAGCCTAGGCTTTCAGCTGAGGTCTTTGAAGGTTTATATCCTAGAAGCAAAGAAAAGCTGAAGTACACTAGCCGTAACGTAGGCTAAAACCTAATCTTCACAGTAATAATGTCATACTTCAATAACAACTGCATGCTCTTAAAATGTTTTCTTATAAACTGTTGCTTGCAAGGAAGAATAAAGTCAGTAATATCACTGTGGAAAAATCAGACAACACCTTAAGAGAATGATCTAAACTAATTCAGCAGTGAGAGACAGATGGAAAATATGTGCCTCCAGATGTGATATGCTGGGAAAGACATAACATCATCTATGCAGTTTTTCAAGCAAGAATGCATCAAGAAAAAAACAAATCAGGAACTTTTATTAATAAAGGTTGAAAGAGCTGTATTCTTCAACAATATTGTCACAAAAGGCAAAGTAAAATTGTAGAAATGTTCCATAATTTTATAAGTTCAAATGGCATGATCACTAACTGGTTTCTCACCCTAGACTGCCACTTGTACTAGAGGGAAGACATGACATTATAGAGTGAGCTGACAAAATTAGAGTAGAAAGAGTAGATTAAATACAAGTATTATAAATAATGATAATGTACTGCATTGGGTAACTGTACTTTTAATAGGTAATATAATATCTCTATTCATAGGAAATAGACACTGGCGTATTTAGGGACAAAGGGCTATAATGTACCTCAACTACCTTAAATGGTTCAAAAAATATGTATATATTATAGAGACAGTGTACATGCTTTAAATAATAAAATGAAATAAAATATTAACATTAAGTTATACCAAATAGAATACGCAAGTGTTCTTTGAAGCATTTTAATTCTTAAATGTTCTTGTAAGTTTGAAATCACTTCCAAAAGTTTTAAAAAAACAAATAATCTAATCTATGACAGCATTAAGAGGAGAGAATCCATAAGATTGATTAGGTGTCAAAAGGCTTTAGATAAAACTCAGCACCCATTCAAGATAAAAAGTGTTGGCATTCTGGGAGTAGAAGGGATATTGCTTGATCTGAAAAACTGTATTTACAAATCTCTGCAGCTTACGTCATATTCACAGGTGAACATACACTTCTCCTCTTAGATTAGGAAAACGACAAGGATGACCACTGCCTCTACTTCTATTGAACTTTTGTTTGTTTGTTTGTTTTTTGAGACGGAGTTTCGCTCTTGTTGCCCAGGCTGGAATGCAATGGCGCAATCTCAGCTCACCGCAACGTCCCTCCCCAAGGTTCAAGTGATTCTCCTGCCTCAGATTCCCGAGTAGCTGGGATTGCAGGCATGCACCACCATGCCTGGCTAATTTTGTATTTTTAGTAGAGACGGGTTTTCTCCATGTTGGTCAGGCTGGTCTCGGACTCCTGACCTCAGGTGATCTGCACACCTTGACCTCTCAAAGTGCTGGGATTACAGGCATGAGACACCACACCCAGCCTATTTAACATTTTACAACAAATACTAGTTAACAAAAATAAGAAGAATAGCAATTATACATAAAGTTTGGTTAAAAAACCAAACCAAACAACAACAACAAAAAACGGACCTAGTGCCCAGATCTTGCCTTCAAAGGACAGGGTTCTTTGAAGAAATAATTGATTCTAGATCTGTGGAAGAGAAAAGTGAGGCTGGAACATCTTTTTGCCCAAAAAGGAAGTGCTCAAAGACTAATAGTGTCATGATACACGGAAATAGAAACTGGCTTGAAGTAAATTCCACTCACCAAATTTGGGTCAATTTCAGAACCAAAATGGAAAATGAAATCAATGGATAATAACAAAATGAATCAAAATAAATACACATGGATCGACAGTGATACTGAAAAGAAGTGTTGTAACCAAGCGAGTTGAGCAAGTTATAGAGAAATGCCGCACTCTGAGACGAATTCAGGAGTCCTGTATTAGCTGGTGACCCAGAGACGGCTAGCGCTCAAAATTCTCTCGGCCCCGAAGAAGGGGCTAGATTTTCTTTTATACTTTGGTTTCGAAAGGGTTGGGGGGGGGGGTCTAGTTAAAACAATCTTACAGAAGCAAAGTATGCAAAAAGTTAAAAGGATAAGTGGTTACAAGCAAGCAAACAGTTCCAGGTGCAGGGGCTTTGAATCTATCACAAGGTGACAGATGAGGGGCTTTGGGCGTTACCAACCAGACACAAACGCGGGGGCTTTGGGTGCTATTAATGGGGCAAATTCCTGGGAACTGCAGATATAGCTTGCCACAGAATCTTATCAGTTCATTGCATTCTTGGATGTGCTGGGAGTCAGCTTCCACAAGTTAAGTCCTTGAGGAAGGGGGTGGGTAAGGGGCTGCAAGTGAAGGAGCCAAGATAGAGTCTGTCTGGCTCTCTTAGCTAAAGGAGAGTCAATTCTCTCAGGCCTCTGAGCCCAAGCCAAACCATCGCATCCCCTGTGACTTGCACGAATTCACCCAGATGGCCTGAAATAACTGAAGAATCACAAAAGAAGTGAAAATGCCCTGCCCCAGCTTAACTGATCACATTCTACCACAAAAGAAGTGTAAATGGCTGGTCCTTGCCTTAACTGATCACATTCCACCACAAAAGAAGTGAAAATGTCCAGTCCTTGCCTTAAGTGATGACGTTACCTTGTGAAAGTCCTTTTCCTGCCTCATCCTGGCTCAAAAATCCCCCACACTGAGCACTTTGTGACCCCCACTTCTGCCCTCCACAGAACAAACCCCCTTTGACTGTAATTTTCCTTTGCCTACCCAAATCTTATAAAATGGCCCCACCCCTATCTCCCTTGGCTGACTCTCTTTTCGGACTCAGCCCGCCTGCACCCAGATGATTAAAAGCTTTATTGCTCACACAAAGCCTGTTTGGTGGTCTCTTTATACGGACGCGCATGAAATTTGATGCCGTGACTCGGATTGGGGGACCTCCCTTGGGAGATCAATTCCCTGTCCTCCTGCTCTTTGCTCCATGAGAAAGGTTCACCTACGACCTCAGGTCCTCAGACTGACCAGCCCAAAAAACATCTCACCAATTTCAAATCCGGTAAGCGGCCTCTTTTACTCTCTTCTGCAACCTCCCTCAGTATCCCTCAACCTCTTTCTCCATTCAATCTTGGCACCACACTTCAATCTCCCCCTTCACTTAATTTCAATTCCTTTCATTTTCTGGTAGAGAAAAATGAGACGTTTTATCCATGGACCCAAAACTCCGGCGCCGACCACGGGCTATGGAAGGCAGCCTTCCCTTGGTGTTTAATCATTGCAGGGACACCTCTCTGATTATTCACCCAGGTTTCAGAGGTATCTTTCTAATCTTCCTTTTCTACAGACCCATCTGACCTCTCCCCTCCTCGCAAGGCTGAGCTAGGTCCCATTTCTTCCTCAGCCTCCCCTCCTCCACCCTATAATCCTTTTATCACCTCCCCTCCTCACACCTGGTCTGGCTTACAGTTTCGTTCTGTGACTAGCCCTCCCCCACCTGCCCAGCAATTTACTCTTAAAAAGGTGGTTGGAGCTAAAGGCATAGTCAAGGTTAATGCTCCTTTTTCTTTATCCCAAATCAGATAGCGTTTAGGCTCTTTTTCATCAAGTATAAAAATCCAGCCCAGTTCGTGGCTCGTTTGGCAGCAACCCTGAGACACTTTACAGCTCTAGACCCTAGAAACTCAAAAGGCATCTTATTCTCAATATACATTTTATTACCCAATCTGCTCCCTACATTAAATAAAACTCCAAAAATTAAATTCTGGCCCTCAAACCCCACAACAGGACTTAATTAACCTCGCCTTCAAGGTGTACAATAATAGAGGCAGCCAAGTACCAACATATTTCTGAGTTGCAATTCCTTGCCTCCACTGTGAGACAAACCCCAGCCACATCTCCAGCACACAAGAACTTCCAAACGCCCAAACCGCAGGGGCCAGGTGTTCCTCCAGAACCACCTTCCCCAGGAGCTTGCTACAAGTGCCAGAAATCTGGCCACCAGGCCCAGGAATTCCCGCAGCCCAGGATTCCTCCTAAGCCATGTCCCATCTGTACAGGACCCCACTGGAAATCGGACTGTTCAACTCACTTGGCAGCCACTCCCAGAGCCCCTGGAACTCTGGCCCAAGGCTCTCTGACTGACTCGTTCCCAGATCTTCTTGGCTTAGCAGCTGAAGACTGACGCTGCCCAATCGCCTCAGAAGCTCCGTAGACCATCACGGATGCCGAGCTTTACGTAACTCTCACAGTGGAGGTTAAGTCCGTCCCCTCCTTAATCAATACAGAGGCTACCTACTCCACATTACCTCCTTTTCAAGGGCCTGTTTCCCTTGCCTCCATAACTGTTGTGGGTATTGACAGCTAGGCTTCTAAACCTCTTAAAACTCCCCAACTCTGGTGCCAACTTAGACAATACTCTTTTAAGCACTCCTTTTAGTTATCCCCACCTGCCGAGTTCCCTTATTAGGCCAAGATACTTTAACTAAATTATCTGCTTCCCTGACTATTCCTGGATTACAGCTACATCTCACTGCCTCCCTTCTTCCCAATCCAAAGCCTCCTTTGCTCTTCCTCTCATATCCCCCCACCTTAACCCACAAGTATGGGACATCTCTACTCCTTCCCTGGCAACTGATCACATGCCCATTACCATCCCATTAAAACCTAATCACCCTTAACCCACTCAACGCCAATATCCCATTCCACAGCATGCTTTAAAATAAAAGGATTAAAGCCTATTATTACTCGCCTGCTACAGCATGGGCTTCTAAAACCTATAAACTCTCCTTACAATTCCCCCATTTTACCTGTCCAAAAACCAGACAAGTCTTACAGATTAGTTCAGGATCTGCGCCTTATCAACAAAATTGTTTTGCCTATCCACCCTGTGGTGCCCAACCCGTAAACTCTTTTGTCCTCAATACCTTCCTCCGTAACTCACTATTCCATTCTTGATCTTAAAGATGCTTTTTTCACTATTCCCCTGCACCCTTAGTCCCAGCCTCTCTTTGCTTTCACCTGGACTGACCCTGACACCCATCAGTACCAGCAGCTTACCTGGGCTATACTGCCGCAAGGTTTCAGGGACAACCCTCATTACTTTAGCCAAGCTCTTTCTCATGATTTACTTTCTTTCCACCCCTCTGCTTCTCACCTTATTCAATATATTGATGACCTTCGTCTTTGTAGCCCCTCCTTTGAATCTTCTCAAGGTGACACACTTCTGCTCCTTCAGCATTTATTCTCCAAAGGATATCGGGTATCCCCCTCCAAAGCTCAAATTTCTTCTCCATCGGTTACCTACCTCAGCATAATTCTTCATAAAAAACTCTCCCTGCCGATCGCGTCTGACTAACCTCTCAAACCTCAACCCCTTCTACAAAACAACAACTCCTTTCCTTCCTGGGCATGGTTGGATACTTTCGCCTTTGGATACCTAGTTTTGCCATCCTAACAAAACCACTATATAAACTCACAAAAGGAAACCTAGCTGACCCCATAGATCCTAAATCCTTTCCCCACTCCTCTTTCCATTCCTTGAAGCTTTAGAGACTGCCCCCACTCTAGCTCTCCCTGACTCATCCCAACCCTTTTCATTACACACAGCTGAAGTGCAGGGCTGTGCAGTCGGAATTCTTACACAAGGACCGGGATCACGTCCTGTAGCCTTTTTGTCCAAACAACTTGACCTTAATGTTTTAGGCTGGCCATCATGTCTCTGTGCAGCAGCTGCTGCCGCCCTAATACTTTTAGAGGCCCTCAATATCACAAACTATGCTCAACTCACTCTCTACAGCTCTCATAATTTCCAAAATCTATTTTCTTCCTCACACCTGACTCATATACTTTCTGCTCCCCGGCTCCTTCAGCTGTACTCACTCATTGTTGAGTCTCCCACAATTACCATTGTTCCTGGCCAGGACTTCAATCAGGCCTCCCACATTATTCCTGATACCACACCTGTCCCCCATAACTGCATCTCTCTGATCCACCTGACGTTCATCCCATTTCCCCACATTTCCTTCTTCCCTGTTTCTCACCCTGATCACACTTGGTTTATTGATGGCAGTTCCACCAGGCCTAATCGCCACTCACCAGCAAAGGCAGGCTATGCTATAGTATCTTCCACATCTATCATTGAGGCTACCACTCTGCCCCCCTCCACTACCTCTCGACAAGCCAAACTAGTTGCCTTAACTCAAGCCCTCACTCTTGTAAAAGGACTACGCATCAATATCTATACTGATTCTAAATATGCCTTTCATATTCTGCACCACCATGTGGTCACATGGGCTGAAAGAGGTTTCCTCACTACACAAGCATCCTCCATCATTAATGCCTCTTTAATAAAAACTCTACTCAAGGCCGCTTTACTTCCAAAGGAAGCTGGGGTCATTCACTGCAAGGGGCATCAAAAGGCATCAGATCCCATTGCTCTAGGCAATGTTTATGCTGATAAGGTGGCTAGACAAGCAGCTAGCTTTCCAATTTCTGTCTCTCAGAGCAACACTTATGCTGATAAGGTGGCTAGACGAGAAGCTAGCTCTCCAACTTCTGTCCCTCATGGCCAGTTTTTCTCCTTCACATTGGTCACTCCCACCTACTCCCCCGCTGAAACTTACACCTATCAATCTCTTCCCACATAAGGCAAATGGTTCTTAGACCAAGGAAAATATCTCCTTCCAGCCTCACAGGCCCATTCTATTCTGTTGTCATTTCATAACCTCTTCCATGTAGGTTACAAGTCGCTAGCCTGTCTCTTAGAACCTCTCATTTCCTTTCCATCTTGGAAATCTATCCTTAAGGAGATCACTTCAGGAGATCACTTCTCAGTGTTCCATCTGCTATTCTACTACCCCTCAGGGATTGTTCAGGCCTCCTCCCTTTCCTACACATCAAGCTCGGGGATTTGCCCCTGCCCAGGACTGGCAAATTGACTTTACTCACATGCCTCGAGTCAGAAAACTAAAATATCTCTTAGTCTGGGTAGACACTTTCACTGGATGGGTAGAGGCCTTCCCCACAGGGTCTGAGAAGGCCACCGCAGTCATTTCCTCCCTTCTGTCAGACATAATTCCTCATTTTGGCCTTCCCACCTCTATACAGTCTGATAACAGACCAGTCTTTACTAGTCAAATCACCCAAGCAGTTTCTCAGGCTCTTGGTATTCAGTGGAACCTTCATATCCCTTACCATCCCCAATCTTCAGGAAAGGTAGAACAGACTAATGGTCTTCTAAAGACACACCTCACCAAGCTCAGCCTCCAACTTAAAAAGGACTGGACAGTACTTTTACCTCTTGCCCTTCTCAGAATTAGAGCCTGTCTTCGAGATGCTACAGGGTACAGTCCATTTGAACATTTATATGGATGCATTTTCTTGCTTGGCCCCAACCTCATCCCAGACACCAGCCCTCTAGGCGACTATCTTCCAGTCCTCCAACAGGCTAGACAGGAAATCCGCCAGGCTGCTAATCTTCTCTTGCCTACTCCAGATCCCCAGCCATATGAAGACACCCTAGCTGGACGATCAGTTCTTGTTAAGAGTCTGACCCCTCAAACTCTACAACCTCAATGGACCGGACCCTACTTAGTCATCTATAGTACCCCGACTGCTGTCTGCCTACAGGATCCTCCCCACTGGGTTCACCGTTCCAGAATAAAGCTGTGTCCATTGGACAGCCAGCCTAATCCCTCTTCTTCCTCCTGGAAGTCGCAAGTCCTCTCCCCTACTTCCCTTAAACTCACTCATATTTATGAAGAACAGTAATAACCCTTATGAGCCTAATATATCCCTTCATTCTATTAGGTCTATTCGTCCTTACCCTACTTTTTGCAACAGGCTTTACGAAGTCACCCCCACCATTTAGGCCAAGCCCCAAAAAACTTGTCATCCCTACTATTTTCTCTCTAGTCATACTCCTATTCTCCGTTCTCAACTACTTATAAATGCCCTACTCTTGTTTACACTGCTGGTTTACACTGTTTCTTCAAGCCATCACAGCTGATATCTCTTGGTGCTATCCCCAAACCGCCACTCTTAATTCCCTCTTAGAGTGGGTAGATGATCTTTGCTGGCAGGGCACCCTCCAATACTTCCACCCTGATGAAGCTCTATTCTTTACTTTTATACTCACTCTTATTCTCATTCCCATTCTTATGCCACCCTTTACCTCTCCCCAGCTATCTCCACCACACTATCAACCTTACCCATTCTCTCCTAGCTGCTTCTAATCTCTCCTTAGCGAACAACTTCTGGCTTTGCATTTCCCTTTCTTCCAGTGCCTACACAGCTGTCCCCATCTTACAGGCACTCTGGGCAACATTTCCTGTCTCCTTACGCCTCCAAACTTCCTTTAACAGCCCTCACCTTTACCCTCCTGAAGAACTCATTTACTTTCTAGACAGGTCCAGCAAGACTTCCCCAGACATTTCACATCAGCAAGCTGCCGCCCTCCTCTGCACTTATTTAAAAAACCTTTCTCCTTATGTTAACTCTACTCTCCCCATATTTGGACCTCTCACAACACAAACTACTATTCCTGTAGCCGCTCCTTTATGTATCTCTCGGCAAAGACCCACTGGAATTCCCCTAGGTAATCTTTCACCTTCTCGATGTTCCTTTACTCTTCATCTCCGAAGCCCAACTACACACATCACTGAAACAATGGGAGACTTCCAGCTCCATATTACAGACAAGCCCTCTAACAATACTGACAAACTCAAAAACATTAGCAGTAATTATTGCTTAGGAAGACACTTACCCTGTATTTCACTCCATACTTGGCTACCTTCCCCTTGCTCGTCAGACTCTCCTCCCAGGCCCTCTTCTTGTTTACTTAAACCCAGCCCTGAAAATAACAGTGAAAGGTTGTTCATAGATGCTCAATGTTTTCTCATACACCATGAAAATCAAACCTCCCCCTCTACACAGTTACCCCATCAGTCCCCATTACAACCTCTGATGGCTGCCGCCCTAGCTGGATCCCTAGGAGTCTGGCTACAAGACACCCCTTTTCAGCACTCCTTCTCACCTTTTTTACTTTGCATCTCCAGTTTTGCCTCGCACAAGGTCTCTTCTTCCTCTGTGGATCCTCTACTTACATGTGTCTACCTGCTAATTGGACAGGTACATGCACACTAGTTTTCCTTACCCCCATAATTCAATTTGCAAATGGGACCGAAGAGCTCGCTGTTCCCCTCATGACACTGACACAACAAAAAAGAGTTATTCTACTAATTCCCTTGCTGATCGGTTTAGGACTTTCTGCCTCCACTATTGCTCTCGGTACTGGAATAGCAGGCATTTCAACCTCTGTCACAACCTTCCATAGCCTGTATAATGACTTCTCTGCTAGCATCACAGACATGTCACAAACTTTATCAGTCCTCCAGGCCCAAGTTGACTTTTTAGCTGCAGTTGTCCTCCAAAACTGCCAAGGCCTTGTCTTACTCACTGCTGAAAAAGGAGGACTCTGTATTTTCTTAAATGAAGAGCGTTGTTTTTACCTAAATCAATCTGGCCTGGTGTATGACAACATAAAAAAACTCAAGGATAGAGCCCAAAAACTTGCCAACCAAGCAAGTAATTATGCTGAACCCCCTTGGGCACTCTCTAATTGGATGTCGTAGGTCCTTCCACTTCTTAGTCCTTTAATACCCATTTTTCTCCTTCTTTTATTCGGACCTTGTATCTTCCGTTTAGTTTCTCAATTCATCCAAAACCGTATCCAGGCCATCACCAATCATAATATATGACAAATGTTTCTTCTAACATCCCCACAATATCACCCCTTACCACAAGATCTCCCTTCAGCTTAATCTCTCCCACTCTAGGTTCCCACGCCGCCCCTAATCCTGCTTGAAGCAGTGCTGAGAAACATCGCCCATTCTCTCTCTCCATACCACCTCCCCAAAAATTTTCACCGCCCCAACACTTCAACACTATTTTGTTTCATTTTTCTTATTAGTATAAGAAGGCAGGAATGTCAGGCCTCTGAGCCCAAGCCAAGCCATCGCATCCCCTGTGACTTGCACGTATTCACCCAGATGGCCTGAAGTAACTGAAGAATCACAAAAGAAGTGAAAATGCCCTGCCCCGCCTTAACTGATCACATTCTACCGCAAAAGAAGTGTAAATGGCCGGTCCTTGCCTTAACTGATGACATTCCACCACAAAAGAAGTGAAAATGGCCAGTCCTTGCCTTAAGTGATGACATTACCTTGTGAAAGTCCTTTTCCTGGCTCATCCTGGCTCAAAAAGCTCCCCCACTGAGCACCTTGCGACCCCCACTCCTGCCAGCCAGAGAACAAACCCCCTTTGACTGTAATTTTCCTTTACCTACCCAAATCCTATAAAATGGCCCCACCCCTATCTCCCTTTGCTCTCTTTTCGGACTCAGCCCGCCTGCACCCAGGTGATTAAAAGCTTTATTGCTCACGCAAAGCCTGTTTGGTGGTCTCTTCACATGGACACGCATGAAAAATTCAGGTTACAAGAAGGTAGGGTATCACAGAAGGAGGAAAAGAAAAAAAAATATGAGGTTGGAGGAAGCATATCCTAAGGAATGATAAAATTAGTCATTATTTGGCTGGGTGCGGTGGCTCACGCCTGTAATCCCAGCACTTTGGGAGGCCAAGGCAGGCGGATCTCGAGGTCGGAAGATCGAGACAATCCTGGCTAACACGGTGAAACCCTGTCTCTACTATAAATACAGAAAATTAGCTGGGCATCTGTAGCCCCAGCTTCTGGGGAGGCTGAGGCAGGAGAATGGCGTGAACCTGGGAGGCGGAGCTTGCAGTGAGCCGAGATCGCCCCACTGCACTCCAGCCTGGGCGACAGGGCAAGACTCTGTCTCAAAACAAACAAACAAAAGTCATTATTTTATAACTGCTAATATAGTTTTCATGATTCACACAGGGTAATCAATAGAACTTAAAACCATTGCTGGCGTGTTGGATAAAAAGGTATTTACAAGATCTCAGAGTATCACTCACATGTTACTTATTAACTACCAAGGAGAAAATGTCCCTATACAATGAAGAGATCTGGGTGTGACTCCTTATCTTGAAAGATACATGCTGAAGTAATTAGAAGTAAAATGTGTTGATGTCTGCAGCATTTATTTGGAGAAAGTGGGAAATGTAGAGCCGGTTGATAGGACATTACTGATTAATAAATGTCTATGATGAGTATTCAGGTGCTCATTTTCCTGTTTATTCAACGTTTTGAGCATCCAAAATTTTTCAAAATAAAAGCCAAATGCTTACAAATTTAAAAAGCAGACCTCTAAAATGATGTATGTTTTTTCTTTGAAAGCTGATTTCTCACTTAAATAAATTTGGTGTGGTCCAAACTAATTATCAAAGCATGAATCTTTTTAAGGATATTATTAATTGAAATTAAAAGCTGTGACAGTAACTGTTGAAAATGAAGTGGCTAGATTATGAGCAAGTTTCTTTTTTCACAGGGTCTGATCCATATTATTTCAAGTGTTCTGCTCTTTTGATTAGAAACACCAAGGTTTTATTTAATTGTATAAATTATGCCCCTGGCTTTAGAAACTAACAAAATAAATGGGAAAAAATTAATTACAAAATTGTTGGAATCAACCATCGAACAGCAGGATATAAGCATCATAAAATTAGCATTTTCATGTAATCGTTTTAGAGACACCTGCTAAGTTCAAATAGATTCTATACACAGATAATATTTTCAAAGTATTTTTACCCAAATTCTTAAATTTATATTGAGCCTTGTAACAACATATGGAATCAGTAAAGATTCTAAGAGAGACAATTCTTACCTCTCAACAAGAAATGAGGAGAGCTATGGCTTATTTACTCTGAATCCATATTCACAAAGAAGGTAGTGGATACTTTGAAAAACAGATGTTATTTGCCTTATTTCTCACGTCTGGGAATGCTTCCAAAGCCTAAGTTATCTTAATTTGCTAAAAAAGAACTCATTTAGTGAAGTCTTGTAAGAATATATTTTTTCCTTCTTATCATTCCATTCTCACAAGCATGAAATAAAAGTGCTTTTGTTTACTAAGAAATGTGTGCAGTTTTCTAAATGTATTGTGAGGGTAGGGGTTGAATATTCCTGACAATCTCTCAAATATTCCTCTCCCTATTATGTAACCTACAAAAAGAGATTTATCACTTTTTTGTATTCACAATATCTGGCATTGTATGAGGTTCTTAGTAAACATGTGTTATTAAAAATGAATTCTATTCATGAAATACTTTTTCTAATAGACTGTACCTCCTTTCAAGGTCCTTATGAGCAACATTTCTCTCTGATTGAGTCATGATTACTTCAATTTCTCATTCAACAAATATATATTGAAAGTATATTGCTTTCTTACATTAGCCTGTCAGATCCTACATTAGCTTATGGATTTACAAAAATTATTAAGACATGGCCCCTGCCCTTCAGGGGATCTTAAATCTAAAAAGTGGAGAAACATGAAAACAGATCTTGGAAACACAATCTAGGGCAATAGAGGAAATATCAGCAAAGAACCATGGGGCCAAAATAATTGGTAAGAATATGTTTGTCCTCATTTCAAATGTCAAGTTTCTTTTCCTTTGTATAAGAATTTTTTAAGATAAGAGCAGGCAGTCACCTTAAACAGTCATCTTAAACTTAAACACCTTAAAAGTCACCTTTAAAAAGTCTTAATATTTAGAGATAAACCTATATATATTATCAAAGATAAGAAGTAAAGGCTGAGAAAAGTTAATGACAAAATAAGAATCTAGAAAAATGATTACTGCAATTCACCATTTAATAATCTATACTTATTTCAATATCCCAAATTTTTTTTGTTTCTGTCAAATATAATCTATTCATAGGAATTTCTGGTAAAAAATGTATTTGACACTTTTGAGTTCCTTGAATTCTTGTATTTGCTTGAAACTAAATGTTTATTTATTGCATTGCATCCAGTTATCAAATGCTAGTGAGGTCAAGTGTATAGCAGAGGAAAGATGTCTTATCATAAATGCTGTTTAGGACCTCTGAAAATATCAAGTATTTTACTGATCATACAGACCTACCTCTGATATAAGAGGAAGTGTGAATTTCACTTTGACACTTTTTTTTTGAGACGGAGTCTCAGTCTGTTGCCAGGCTAGAGTGCAGTGACGCATCTCGGCTCACGGCAGCCTCCGCATTCCGGGTTCAAGCGATTCTCCTGCCTTAGCCTGCCGAATAGCTGGGACTACAGGCACGTGCCACTACACCTGGCTAATTTTTATATTTTTTTTTAGTAGAGACGGGGTTTCACTTGGCTGGCCAGGATGGTCTCGATCTCCTGAACTCGTGATTAGCACACATCGGCCTCCCAAAGTGCTGGGATTACAGGCGTGAGCCACTGTGCCTGGCCTCACTTTGACATTAACAAGGTACTCAGAAAAGTACATTTAAATGCTTGGGTGAAAAAGAAATTCTTTGTGGTGAAATCCTGGGTTGCAAGAGAAAGTCTTGTCATTACAAAACATCAAGACTTTAAGGAAAGAAAATCAATCTCTAGGTGTGCTTTTTTTTTTTTTCCTTTCTTTTCTTGTCTTAAGGAATGAGGTATCCATAGCTTGCCTGAGGATAATCCTTCACCTGTGTTTGAGATTCACAACCTGCTATCTCAGGGGTTTTATTCTAACAGTTTCAACTAACAGCCAAATACCAATCATTGCCAAACCTACATCTCTAGCTCTGAATTTTTTTCTGGCACCAAGACCAATGCATTCATGTGTCCTATTTGATATTTCTAATTGTATATTCTAAAGTCACCTAAATTCAACATATTAGTTTGAGGAAGAATTTTTAGTTGCAAGCAACACCGCTGACTCTAGACAATTTAAATGTTCAATAAAATTTTTGAAATGGCTAGGGAACCTAAATTGAACCAAAATAGTTAAGAATAGTTACCAAAACAGTGATGTAAAATTATTTCAGTGAAGGAACCTCTACCATCAAAACTGAACAACGCTATTGCAGTAGGAAAATGATTTTGCAGTTTCTACCACTATGACTATTATTATTGTTACTGTTACTATTAATACTACCACTTCTGCTGCTGCTATTCCTACTACTCTTAATAGTAATACTTCTACTATTTGAGAGAAGAAAGAAAAAGAAAGGGATCAATTTCACTGCTGATTGCTTGAATTTCCAGCTGTAGAACTGAAGTTCCTTGCCAGAAATTATTGGAGCCAACATCACTTCTCTGTTTCCTGAACCATTTGAAAAAAATGGAAAATGTCAGTTCCAACACCCACAGTTGAATTCATTATCTTTCCTGCTCTTTTCACCACTCCATTTCCTATTTTTCTAAATACCATCACCTCCCAGCCACTCAAGCTACAAACTTGAAAACCATCTTTGACTCCTCCCTTTTCCAATCAGTTTGGAAAAAGGTTTATATCTTAACCTTTTTAAGAAAAACATCTATCAAGTCTAACTTCTTTTTTTAATAAGAAAACCCTGTTACTATTTGAATGTTTCATTTCTGTTATTGTCACAATTTATTAGCTTTCTTTCTGACTCTAGTTACTTTCCAGCAATCCATTCCTTACATGAATAGAATACTCTTTTAAAAATAAAAATATTTCCGGCTGGGTGTGGTGGCTCACGCCTGTAATCCCAGCACTTTGGGAGGCTGAGGTGGGCAGATCACAAAGTCAGGAGTTCGAGACCAGCCTGGCCAATATGGTGAAACCCTGTCTCTACTAAAAAAAATACAAAAATTAGCCAGGCATGGTGGCGCACGCGTGTAGTCCCAGCTTCTTGGGAGGCCGAGGCAGGAGAATCACTTGAACTCGGGAGGCGGAGGTTGCAGTGAGCTGAGACGACACCATTGCACTCCAGCCTGGGTGACAAGAGCGAAACTCTGTCTCAAAAAACATAAATTAATTAAATAAGTAAATAAGTAAATAAATAAATATATTTCCTAGTCTGTGTCAGGCTATAATCCTTAATTATCTCTACTAGCCTTACAGAGAGTAAAATAACTAGGAAGTCTCCATTCAAAGCCATTGTCGTCTAGCTTCTACTTGTCTCTCAATCCTGTCACTAACCTAGCTCATGCAAATCACCAACAACAACATTATCACTGTCATTATGATCATCATTACCATTATGGCTTATATTAATTCAAAGCATATTGGAGTTCATACAGTTCTATTATCAACATGTTTTTGCACATGCTCTTCCACTGTTCCTTAATGAGTTTTATTCATCTTTCAACTCTCATTTTAGATTTCTCTTTCTCCAGAAGCCATATCTTAAAGCCAGTTTCCAATCACAAAACTGACTGCATTAGATATCTTTTATTTCCAGAGCAGCAAGCACTTATTTTTATTTTCCTTTCCATCAGTTTCATGTATACAACCCTATGCCACGAGACTGTTAGCTTCTTGAAAGCTTAAACTGTGTCTTGATGACCAAGACTTGTGGCCTAAGTCTAACATTATTTCTTAATGTTAGACTTAATTATATATTTTACTTAATCTAATAAATATTCCCTTGAAATCAAAACATTAAAGATTTCTGTGATCCTCTGGAACACGATAGGAAATAAATCACTGTAAAAGTGATTTGTAAAAAGCTACAGATTTTAAGATCATCACTGAATAAGTTCATTTATGTCCTACAATTCTTATAGTTCTTCCACTTGCCCAGGAAGATTATCAGAGCAAACAATAATGGAGGCTACCCAAAGAACTCAGGTGTGCAACCTGACCTAGGTTTCAGACATGCATAATACTACAACCTTGTTAATTTAAGAAAAATCAACATGTTTCCAATATACTGCTGGGTTTACAGAGACAAGATTTTTACAAACTATTCGATGAGGCCAGGCGTGGTGGCTCACGCCTGTAATCCCAGCACTTTGGGAGGCTGAGGCGGGCGGATCACGAGGTCAGGCGATCGAGACCATCCTGGCTAACACGGTGAAACCCTGTCTCTACTAAAAATGCAAAAAATTAGCTGGGCGTGGTGGCAGGCGCCTGTAGTCCCAGCTACTCGGGAGGCTGAGGCAGGAGAATGGCGTGAACCCCAGAGGCGGAGCTTGCAGTGAGCAGAGATTGCGCCACTGCACTCCAGCCTGAGTGACAGAGCAAGACTCCATCTCAAAACAACAAACAACTATTAGATGAGCTATAGAATATTAAGATTTTTTAAACACTAAATGAATTATAGAATATCAGTGTTAATCATATTCTGAAATGAGTAGAATTAAGTAAATTCTCTTCCATTATAGTTTAACCAAAATATTATAGAAGTTATGTCATACAATTTTTGTCTATTTTGTTAAGTTAGTATATTACTAAAAAAAACTCTATTTCAAATCCCTTGGACCCTTTTCTTCTCATCAAATTACTGCAAATACACTCTGAGCTTTATTTCATTTATTAGAGACTTAATAACATTGCTTTACTTCATAATTTTTTAAAATTGTCACAGAAATATTTTACAAATAAATACATTCAACAGATATTTGAATTATCCCTCAAATGTATTTGAACTTTAAACAGTGCAATAAAATAATTCTGAATTAAGACATAGATAGGTAGTCTGTATTTCATTTGCAACTAGGATAATAATATATTCCTTGTGAAACATAGATAAGATTACCTGTGATTTCCTTTCTTGTACAAATTAATTTTGTAGAGTTAATAACTGATTCATTTTTCTCTTGCTCAATTTTCTATAAACCTATCCCTAAATTCTCTAGCTGCCCTATCATATTCAGCCTAGACCTATCAAATTTATTTCCCCTGAATATTCAAACTCATTTTGAATAATTATTACTTTTCTTTTCTCCTATTTAAACCTGGAAAAATTACTCTCAACACCCGCTGCATGTTTATAATCCTGAGATTTCTCTTTATGGTTCTCTTGTGTTGGACTGCCTGTTCGCTATTTCTTATTTTCTTCTTTCTTTGCTTACTTCTTTACTTATGTATAGTACCCTTGTAAGTATTTGCGTAGGTAGAAGAAAAGTACATATCAAAGTCCTTGAATGTCCACAACTTTATTTTACCACCACATTTGAGTAATCCCTTGTTTGGATCTAGTATTGTAGGTTGATATAAAGAATTTTGAAAACTTTGTCCATCATCTTTTAGTACGTAAATGTTACTTTTTAAAATATGCTTACCATTTTAATACTTTCTTAATATAAATTCGTTATATTTTTTAAAGCTTTTATCATGTCCACCATAATCCCTAGTGTTCTAAATATTTATAATTTTCGGGATTAATGTAGGTTTTTCTCTAATTCAGATATTTGGTCACATAAAAAAACATTTAAAACCAGAATCTCAAAGAGCGATGTAAGCAAGATGGTGGAATTGGAGTTTTCTACCATCATCCTCCCACAGCACAGTGATTTTAACAGACACTCACAGATGAGAGTACTTTTGAGGGAGTCCAAGAGTCCAGCAGAGAAGTTCCACCATACCATGGGAGCAAAAATAACCAAGAAGAGACACACTGGGGAGGATAAGAAAAATAATTCACTTTACCCATGTCACCTCACCCCAAGGCATCACAGCTCACTACTGGAGAGAGCACCTCTGTCCAGGATTTTTCTTATAAGAGAAAATGAGAACATAAAGAGTGATTGTCCAGCTGTTCCAGCTGTGTGAAGTACTGCCCAAGAGGCCCACCTCTTTCTAATCACATCCAGAATAGTGAGGGGATCAGCATAGCTGAATGGCTAGGAGAAGCTGGAAGCAAAGAAAAGAGGCAGAGACTAACAATAATAATGGCTTAAAACTCAACAAAGAGCCATGTAGCCTGTTAAATTCTTTGTGGACTCTATCAGGAGTCCTTTCTATGAGTTGCTTGGAACACTTCTCCTGCAGACTCTCCCCACAAGCTGGCCCACAGGTGCCCCTGACACTTTGTGTGCTTCACCCACTCCTTTGAAGTTAAGTTAATATCAGCTTAAAATAGACTGTTATGACTGTAAGATTTCTTATGTAAGCCCCATGGCAACAACAACACAAAAACTATATTAGATATGCAAAGATAAATGGTAGTGGATCAAAGCATACCATAATAGAAAATCAAAAAATCACAAGACAGCAAAAGAGGGAAAAAGTAACAAAAGAACAACAAAAGAGACAGAAAACAATTTTAAAATGCCAATGTTAAATGCTTACTTATCAATAATTATTTTAAATGTAAATGAACTAAATTCTCTGATTAAAAGTCATAGAGTGGCTGAGTGAATGAAGAAAAAACAAGATCCAAAATATGTTGTTTACCAGAGACTAACTTTAGATTTAAGGACACATATAGGGTTATGTGAGATATGAAAAAAATAACCCATGTAAATCAAAACCAAAAGAGAGCAAGTTTGGCTACACTTACATCAAACAAAATAGACTGTAAGTCAAAAACTATAAAAAAAGACAAATAAGGTCATTATATAGTGATAAGATCAATTCATCAAGAGGATATAATAATTGTGAATATATATATGTGCATCCAACACCATAACACCTAGATATATAAAATAAATATTAACAAATCAGAGGGGGGAATAAATAGCAATATAATGATAGCAGGGGAACTTCAATACCCCCATGTTCAACAATGAAAAGATAACGCCAATAGAAAATCAACAAGGAAATACTGAATTTGAATACATTTTAGACCAAATGGACCTAACAGACATATACAGAACATTCCATCCAACAGAAGCAGAATACATATTCTTATCAAACTTATGCAACATTCTTCCGGATAGATATGTTAGGCCACAAAAAAGTCATAAAACTTAAGAAGTTTGAATATATATCAAATAGCTTTTCTGATCACAATGGTATGAAAATAGAAATCAATAACAGGGAAAATAATTTTTAAAATCCACAAATACGTGGAAATTAAACAACACACTCCTGAATAACCAATGTGTCAGAGAAGTCAAAAGAGGAATCAGAAAATATTTTGAGACAAATGAAAATGAAAATACAACATAGCAAAACTTATGGGATATAGCAAAAGCTATTCTAAAGGGAAAGTATGTAGTGACAAATGTCTATATGCAGAAAAATGAAAAAGCTCTAATAAACTACCTAACTCTATACCTCATAGAACTAGAAAAAGAAAAGCAAAATAGTCCAGGTTAGCAGAAGAAAGAAAATAACAAACATTAGAGCAGGAATAAATGAAAGAGAGGAGACAAGAAAAACAATAGAAAAGACCAAAAAAAAAAAAAAAGCGTTGGATTTTTGAAAAGATAAAATTGATAAATCTTTAACTACACTAAGAAAAAAGTGAGATAACTCTAATAAAATCAAAAATAAGAGAAATTACAACTGATATCACAGAAATGCAAAGGATCATGAGACTACTATTAATAATTAGATACAAAAAATTAGATATGATAGAAAATATGGATAAATCCCTAGACACATACAACCTACCAAGATTTAATCCTGAAGAAGTAGAAAATCTGAATAGACTATTAACAAGTTAAGAGCTTAAATCACTAGTCAACAATCTCCTAAAAAAGAAAAGCCCAGGACAAGATGGTTTCACTCACAAATTCTACTAAATGTTTAAAAAAGAATTAAGACCTGTCCTTCTCAAAATGCTTTCAAAAAATTGGAAGAGGAGGGGACATTTTGAAAATAATTTTACTAATCCAACGTTACCCTTGTAACAAAGCCAAGAAGGATACTGCAATATAAGAAAATTACAGTCCAATATCCCTAATGAACATAGATGCAAAAACCCTCAACAAAATATTAGCAAATTGAATTCAAAAGCACATCAAAATGGTCATACATCATGAACAAGTGGGATTCATTCCCGGGATTTAAGGATAGTTCAACATACGCAAATCGACAAATGTGATACACAGCATTAAGAAAATGAAAGATAAAAACTATGTAATTCTCTCAAAAGATGAATAAAAAGCATTTCACAAAATTCAACATCATTTCATGATCAAAACTTTTAACAAATTACAAATTAAAGATATATATGCTTCAGTGTAATAAAGGCTATATATGACAAGCTCACAGCCAACATTCTACTCAGCAGTGAAAAGCTAAAATCTTTTCCTCTAAGATCCTGAATGTGAAAAGGATGCCTACTCTTTCCACTTCCATTCAACCTAATACTGGAAGTCCTAGATAGAGCAATTAGGCAAAAATAAGAAGTGAAATAAAAGACATCCAAATCAGAAAGAAATAATGTAAGTGGTCCCTGTTTGCAGACATCATTATCTTATATATAGAAAACCATACAGACTCTACCACAAAAACTATTGGAAATAATGAAGAAATTTAGTAAAGTTATATTATAGTATACTAAATCAATGTACAAAATTTAGTTGTGTTTCTATGTAGTAACAACTATACAAAAATAAAATTAAGAAAATGTTATTTACAATAGCAACAACAAGAACGAAGTGCTTATGAATAAGTTTAAACATGGAGGTGAAAGAGTTGTACATTAAAAATTAAAGACATTGATGAAGGAAATTGAAGAAAACACATATAAATAGAAAGATATCCTATGTTCATGAATTGGAAGAATTAACACTGTTAAAATGCTCATACTGCCCAAAGTTCTTTACAGATTCAGTGTAATTGTATTAAAATTTCAATGGCATTTTTCAAAGAAATAGAAAAAAAGTCTAACGTTTGTATGGAACCACCAAAGACCCTGAACAGCTAAGGCAATTCTGACAAATAAGAGCAAAGCTGGATCTTCACATTCCCCAATTTCAAATAATATTACAAAGCTATAGTAATCAACAAAGTATGGTACTGCCATAAAAACAGGCATATAGACCAATGGAACAGATTACAATGCTCAGAAATAAACTCACACATAAGTAGGTAACTATCTTCGATAAAGGCACCAAGAATACCAAATGAGGAATGGATAGTCTCTTTGATAAATAATGTTGGAAAACTATGTCCACAAACAGTTTTGGATCCTTATTTTACATTATACACAGAAAGCAACTCAAATGCAGTAGTTAAGTCTTCCAGAAGACCTAAACATGTGAATTAATACCATAAAACTCCTAGAAGAAAATGTAGTGGAAAATCCATGAAATCGGTCATGGCAATAAATTTTTTGAATATGCCATCAAAAACAAGTCAACAAAAGCAAAAATAAACAAGTGACCTATATCAAGTTACTATTTCATGAAAACAGCAAAGAAAACAACCAACGAAATGCAAAAGTAACTGATGGAATGCAAAAAAATTATAAGCCATATGTCTGATAAGGGATTACATTTCAAATATGTAAAGATTTCATACAACTCAATGACAAAAAAAGCACAATTTAAAAAATGGACAAAAAACCTGAATAGACATTTTTCTAAAGAAGACATATAAATGTCTAACAGGTATATGAAAATGTGCTCAGCATAACCAATCAGAGAAATGCAAATCAAAACCAAAAGTAAAAAAAGTAAAAGATAAATGTTAGCAAGGATGTAAAGAAAAGGGATCACTGTACACTATTGATGAAAAGTAAACTAATATAGTCATTATGGAAAACATTATGGAGGTCTCTTGAAAAAATTAAACATAAAACTACATTATGATACAGCAATCTCACTACTGAGTATATATCCAATGGAACTAAAATCAGGATTTTTCAGAGATATCTGAACTCCCCATGTTCACTGCAGCATTATGCACAATAGTCAAGATACGGAAACAACCTAACTGCCCACTGATATGTAAAGCATAAAGAAAATGTGATACATGGACACAATGGAATGCCATTCAGCCCTAAAACAGAAGGAAATCATGCAATTTGATACAAAATGAATGAACCTGGAGGATGTCATGTCAGACATATAAAAACTAACATTGCATAATCTCACTTATACCTTAAGTAAAAAAAGAATGTAGAATGCTGATTACCAGGGGCTGGGGTTGGGGAAAATAGAAAGATCTTAGTCAAAGGGTACAAATTTTCAGTTATGTGATGAATAAGTTTGTCACATATGAACTTATATGTATATAAGCATAGTTCATCATGAAATATAATGTGTAACATGTTGACAATGGTTAATAATAATATATTGTATACTTAAAATCTGCTGAGAGAATAAATTTAAGTGTTCTCACCACAAAATGTGGGAGTTGACTATGTGATGTGATAGATATGTTAATTAGCTTGATTGTGGTAATCATTTCACAATTCATACAAAATCATCAAGTTGTACACATAAATACAATTTGTATTTGTCAATTATACTTAAAGCTGGAAGAATTTTTTAAAAAAATATACATATATACCTACATACGTGTGTAATTAAATGAATAATAATAAACCAGAAATTAATGTTCCTCTTTTTAGGAATTTGTTCATTATTTTAATTCTTGGATAACATTTTCTTTTCACTGTTTTTGTTATCTTTTTCTAAAGTTGTTAAAACCAGAAATTGATCCTCTATCTTATATTCTCGTCTCTCTCTCTTACTCCCTCTCTCCCGTGTGTGTGTGCACACACATGCACACGTGTGCACATGTCTCTGTCTCTCTGTCTCTTTTGTTTTTTTTTTTGTTCTACTTTCTTGGAAGTTATCATTGACATTACCCTTTCAGCTTTCTATTAAATGTTGCATTTCTACTGTCACATTTTTATTTTCAAAGCTTTTATTTGATCTTTTCTTTAATCATTTCTTGCCAATATTACTCTGCTTTTCTTTGGGTGATGCAATATTTTCTCTTATTCATCTGATAGTATCAATTGGAGACCTTTTGTCTTTGAAGTTCTTCTATTTTACGTATGTCTCTTCAAAATTTTTTCTTTTCTGAATGTTTGCATTCCAATCTTATGTTTTTGCTTCTTTTCGTGACATTAATGAATTTCCTTCTGAAACTTGTCTGTTTTCATCTCTAAGAGGGATGAAAAGATTGATTGGAGTGTATAAGGAAGTGACATTCCCATCATTGGCCTAATTTAGAATTGGCAGATGGTGAGAGGAATTTTATGGGGCCACTCTTCCAAGGCAGGTTGAGGATAGATTGTTTTTCAGGACTAGTCCGTTTTTTCAGAGAAGGACACCTCCATTTGCTGTCTAGGAGAGGACAAATAGAAAGGGGTTGACATGCATCCAACTGCCTCTTCTCTGGCAGCAGAAATGTGATTACGGTGTATCCGAGTGCTTGGTGTCTGAGGGTCCAGGAGTATATTCCATTCAATTTCTCCAAAGAAGAAATTTTGTGTCTCTGTGAATTGGGTGAAAGAGGAGCGAAGGGGAGCAAGAGAATGACTGTTGCACAGGACATAAGTGTCCTGGCCCATCTAGGAGAAGTATTCATCAGCTCTGCTCTCATCTTCTATGTAGAATTATAATTCTCTGTCAATCTGCTATCACACAAATAACACCTGCTGTTGTAATTATCCCCTCTCTGCTTATACCACATACTTCTTCTCAAAACAATTTCAGAAAAAAAAATATTATTCTGAATTCTTCTTTCAACATTTTATCTTTACTTCCTTCACTGATATGCCTTTTCAATTGTCTCCTCTTCTTTTCTATCTAGGTGCAAATAGGTTTCATGACAAATGCCACTCGCAATGGATTGTAATGGCTGTTTGAAGGGCTAGGTAGAGAGGGGTCGTAAGGCCAATTCCAATTTAGTAGAAAACAGTTCTGGGGTTGGTTAGTGATGTTCTCAGAGGTCGAGGGAATGACAAGTCTCTCACAAATACCGTGTGTTTGCTGATACTGATCTAAACTGTTCACTCCAGACCACAAACTCTTCTCAATTTAAATTTTTCCTCATTTTTATAGCCCATTTCTGATGTCGATTTGTTTAACTAACAACTTTCTTTATTAAAACATGTAAAGACATGACATTGCCTTATCTATAAGATACAATTACATTATCTGTAAAATGTGGGAAAATACCTCCCCTACCTATTCTGTAAGTTATTTGTGAAAATCAAATGAGATAATATGTTAAAAAGAGGCATCTAAATTTCCACCATCATAAATTATTAATACTTTTTGAAGGCAAAGGAAGATAATCATCTTTACTTTTCACAAGGCAGTATCTAGGACAAAGATTTTCATAGAATGGATATACAATAAATGTTTATTGAATGGAATTGTTTTTTATAACTTGCTCTATAAAACCTTCTCTAATATTTTGACCTGGAGTAGGGGAGTGGAGGAAGAGAAAGAGAGAGTATGTTGGAGTGAATATGACTTCACTAGGCTCTAATCAATTAATTATCATTTTGAAAAGTCACACATAATTGATAATGGTTTTTGGAATTTATCTTCTGCATATAATCTCCTATTTCCTTGTTGGAAACGAATTGTGTCTGTCCCTATCTAACAAATTACAGAATAAAATGTGCTACACTGTGGACCTGTGATAAATAATAATTAATATTGATGAATTAACCTGATAAATTATTCCCTAAGTAGCATCCCATAGGACTATGAAATATGACTTGTTCTGAAGTCAAAAGTAAAGGCTGCTAGTCCATTAATCCCTCCTGCAACACGTTCACATACAGACACGATTTTTACCCATGTTGGGGTAAAATGATTTTCAGAACCATTAACCTATTTGGCAGCGTTCCACTATGCCATTTGCCAGCATGTATACCTGATTTGTTTTCAAGGTAGGCTTATTCTACCAAGTTTGTAGCATTTCTACCAGAATGCTTACCTTAGGGACTTAACATATAATATTAAAAATGATAAAAACCATTTTCCAACTCAGTGTTTCATTGTAGAGCAGAAAGTCACATGCATATTCAAACTAAATACGACTATATTCCCTGATTCTCTCCAGGTCAATTCTGCTCCACTTTCTGCATTTTCAAGTCACTCATAATGAATCACACTTTATTCATCCATTCATGCAAGAAAGCTCCTAATCATTCTCACATTTTGCTTCTTCTTGACTACCATATTTAGTCATGTACTGAGCATACTCATTTTTACCTCCCATATGTGTTTGGCTCTATTCTCCTCAACCCCACTGTTGCTGACTTCCTTCAGGTCATTATGAATTTTTACAAGACAATAGCCATAAACTCTCAACTGCTCTTTTTCTCCATTTCTTCTCTTCAAATTATTGTTAATGCTGCACCAAATTCATCTTTGAAAAACATAGGTAAAATAGGGTCATGCTCCTACTTAAAAGCCCCTGACAAATGATCACTGCTCAGAATAAAAATCACACATACTTCAAAATCTGGCCCTAATCTATTTTAACAACACCCGTATCTCTTTTCCCCTTTCATAAAAACCAATATTCCTGCCATATTAAATATTTCAGCACCTGGGTCTTTTACCCTGTCATTCCTTGGCATGCAAACTGTCTTCTCTATGTTCACTGTGGAACATATTCTATTAATCCCTCAGAAGCTTCCAACTGGTAGCTGTTAAGCAGACACAGTCTGCAGATGTGACTTGTTTTTTTCAAAAGTACAATCAAAACTAAAATTTTAATGCCTTTAGACACGCTTTTATTCTTCAGTGTCCTTAAATCTTTACTATTCCCGAGTACCTATTCTGTCCTGATTCTCACGTTCATATTCCCTTTCAAGCTTCAACATGCCTCTGTTTCTTCAATTATATAAAGAGGATAGTGAACGACCACATAATTTGCCTTAGAACAATGTCTGGCACACAATAAGGCCAGTGGACGTTAGAAATAATGATAATATAATTGTTGTTATGATTAAACACTTGCCCCCAAATGTATCTTCTTATTGAATAATTTCACATTTTAGGTTGATCAACCTTCTCAGTTTTCTCAGCACTGTCCTAATTATAGCACTGAAAGTCCAGCATGCAGAGATATCCCTCAGTCCCTGGCAAACCAAGAAAGTTGTTCACCCTACTAATATCCTAAACAAGATCAATTATTTTCAGCCTTGGACTCCTTTTGTGCAGTATTCATGCTTCCTTTAATAGATCTTTATACATTTTTTGTATTGCTTATCATTTGCCTGTTTGTTCCAAGATCTAATTATTGACTCTGTGTGTGTGTGTGTGTGTGTGTGTGTGCGCGCACGCACATCCTCAATTCACAAAGTAACAACTTATTTTTAGAAAAAAATATAAATGAACTTCAGAAAAGAATTCAAATATCAAATCATGAGTTGCTGGTCTGGAAAAATACAGATTTATTGAAGGCATATTTACTTTTAATGGGAGGGCTTTGGTCAATAATTTGTTGATAGAATGGAGGAAGCAGAAATTTATCTGGGTATATGTTCCTGCTGTTGATATGGATAAGTAAACCTGGATAGATCTAAGAGCAGTGTAGCTGTTGCTTGAAATTTAGATTCTAGTTCCTAATATATTCAATTCTCCCTATATATATGAGCCCTACAGAAATTCTTATTCCCTCTGTATTATATATTAATTTATTTTCTTTACTCTGAAGAAACTGTTTATTTTAACTTTTCAAATGATCTATTCAAATTGTCAGATAATTTTCCATTGCTAATTAAGAAGTGCATTAGTTGTGTGGTTAAAATGATTACCTGGGAAAATATGTATCTGTATATATTTATAGCTTATAACTGTTAAGGACATGTATTAGTAAATAATAGACTAATCTATAAAACTCAATCTGCCAAAATTTGTAATATTAATGAAATAAAATTATTCTGAAGCTGAGAGACACAATAGTCATCTTTTTCTGCCACACTAGTCGAGGGAGGAAAAAATTTTTCTGTAAGACACAAGCCATAACTTTTTCTGAGGTCAAGAAAACACAGCCAATAGAGTGAGTTGTAGAGATTGACAATTGGGATATAAATCTGAATTCCAACTTACTACCTATATAAACTTAAAAAATTTACCTCTTATCTTGGTAGCTCAGTTTACACAGCCGTCAAATAGAAATAATAATATCTACCTATCTAGATTTCTGTGAATTAAATAAAATATTTCTTTTTTTTTTTTTTTGAGACCAAGTCTTGCTCTGTCACCCAGGCTAGACTGCAGTGGCGCAATCTTGGCTCATTGCAACTTCCACCTCCCAGGTTCAAGCAATTCTCCTGCCTCAGCCTCCCGAGTAGCTGGGACTACGCACCACCACACCCGGCTAATTTTTGTATTTTTAATAGAGATGGGGATTCACCATGTTGGCCAGTCTGGTCTTGAACTCCTGACCTTGTGATCTGCCCGTCTCGGCCTCCCAAAGTGCTGGGATTACAGAAGTGAGCCACCGCGCCCGGGCTAAATAAAATATTTCTCATTAAGCATTTAGTACCATAAATATCATGCAGCACCATCTTGATGAGTTACAGTAGTTATTACATTTATTTCTTTTGAGTTTGTATTTCCAATGGCTGCAGAGGTGTTTACATCCAAAAGGTCACAAAACGTGCAGTGTTTCTTTCCCTCTATCTGTTTCAGACATCTATCATTACATTTATGACTTACATATTTTCAGATCTAACATGAATAACCACTTTAAATTTTAATTAAACTGTTAGCTTTTTCAAATTTTATTAAGCAGAATGAATTAGATACTAAGGAATAGTGGGGATTGAGAACACTGAGGAATACAAGCATGTCTAAGGACATTCAAACTTAGTTTTGATTTTGGTTTTGAACTTGTTCCATCCAAAACAAGATAGATATTTCAAATTTTACTTATTGAAATGGATGGAAATAATAATGGTAATTGTAATAACATCATTTTTCAGATTAAAATTTATATTTATATTTATAAATGTTGTGGCTTTAGGGTTTTAATAAATTCCATCTTTAGTTTCTCCCCTACATTTACAACTGACCAGAAGATGTACGCATGACGGAAACAAATGAAGATCAAGATTCAGCTTTCTAGAGTGATGCATATAGTTTCCATGTATAGCTACAATGTGCTTAATAATCTCTCACTCCAGAATTAACTTACTCTCCCAAACTGTAGTCCTCATCCTTATACAGACAAAGCCTATCCAAGTCTGGTTATCATATGACAAGAAAAGCAGATCACATTGTCTGTGCAATACCCACAGGACACTGAGTTAATAACTCACTTCTATTCCCTTGGCATGAGAGAGTGAGAAAGTGTAAAAATATGAAGGTGTCCCATCCAGGCTTTTCCCTTTAGAAAGCAGCATGGAAATTCTCTCACTTTTATGCATATATTAGTGGGGGAAAAGCGCCCGTCCCTCATAACCTCTGTGGTATTATTTGAACATCAGATGATTCAAAAAGGATTTGTGCTTTTTTAGTAATACCACTAATGTAAGATTAAAGGAAATTACTAACCCAACCAAATAGCAATATGATCAATTACTAACATTAATTGTTATACTATCCTAATTATGAAACAAAAGACAAGAGGAAGTTAACATAAATGATTTGAGGTTAATATAAATAGTATAAATACTCTGTGCTTTCTATAACCTTAAAGAAAGTTCACACATCTTTTAGATTGTTCAAAAAATAATAGCAGTTAATAGCCCACAATCATATCTTACTATCAGACAAAAATATATAAATTCAAAGCTTGCTGTTTGGGGGGATCTGAAAATGCAGTCTGAAAACTTCTATCATCCCGTCAAAGGGGAAACAGGAAATCAGGGGAAATGGGCGAGAAGAGGGGCTGGTTGTTCTTAAAGACGAATAATGAACACCTGCCTTGTGTGTAGTGTGGGTTTCTCATAAGTGCTGACATAGGAAAACACTCCAGGGATTTGGGGAAATTGGTGATCTAGTAAAATATGGTCTTTAGCTAAAGGTCAAATGAAATTGTACTGGAAACCTTGGGGATACTTTAAAATGGGAGCTAAAGACAGGGGGCTGCTCATTAGAGCTTGTGCTTAAGTACCGGTTTCACTTTATCAGGGAAATTGTTCATTTGTCTGAAAATGTGACCTCTGTCAGTTTGCCAAGCAGGCTAGGCCCGGGGGTGATCTTAGGCTCACGTGAGCTTGCAGAAGTTAACACTACCTAGGGACTACTTTCAAAGGACACTGCCAAGGTTAGCAGACTCAAAATCTGACCTTCCTCCTCTTCCTTTCCATTTATATCTGTTTGTAAAGTTCAAATCGTTCTTTTTATTTCCCCAAAAAAGAAAGCGCTTCAAATGCAATAAAATGATAAAAAGATTCCAAAGGGATGCAGCTATAAAAAGAGAAGGTGAAATAAAAATGTTTCATCTAGGAAAGCTGGTTATTTAGGGAAATATAATTCAGATAGCTAGGTAACAATTACCATATTTCTTAACCTAGATTACATTTAGCCTTAAAATTTTATGGCTACTACCTTTGAAACAGAAGCAAGTATTACTGCTAACGGATTAATGAAGGAGGAGAGAAGCTTTTCAATAGAATGCTTGTTATCCAGAGAAGCTAATAATTAGAAATTCTTCAAACTGCCCAAATATTTGGACCCTCTTATCACATATCACTAAGCTGCAACAGAAAAAAGAATTATGGGCTAGATTAAATGGCATGGATATATAATTATGAAAAAAGCTGAATTTTAAAAATCTGCGTTGAGCACCTATTGCATGCTAAGATTTCTGTTTTTTATTTGATGTCACTATATAAAATTATGCTTTTGAATCTATCTACTTGCTTATTATCAGTTCTTTCCTATTAGTGTGTATGCTTCCAGAGGGAATGGACTTTGTCTTATTAACTGCTGTCTTACTGACATCTAGAGCAGCACCTAGTATGGTACCTGCTTGTACTATTTCTACATAGTACCTATTTATACTAGTTTACTCTTTCTTTAATGAATAAACACACATGACACACATACTAACATATATTATCTCATTCAAGCATGTTAACAACCATGTGAACTAGCTGTTTGAAAAGTAAAAATGTTGATTTTTATACTCATAGTTAATGAATGATAAAAAATGTAACTGTGACTTCTAATTCTATGGCCTTCTCACTATAAATAGAAAACATTTTTATTTGTAATAGAAAAAGCATTTTTATTTATACTGCTAGCATAGAGCCCTCAACAATTTTCTTAGCATAATTAAAATTACTGTGTGTTACGCACTTTACTGGGAATTTTGCACACATTCGTTTATACATATGTGGGAAAAGTAAGCTTGAACCATTAGAAATGTTTAGTATTCCACTACTTTAAACTTGCATACATAGCAATTTCACATGGTTCCATATAATATTAACTCCATTTTACAGGGGAGTTATTGAATGTTAGAGAAATTAAATAAATTATACAAGGTCCAATATCAGTGAGCAATAAACTTAAGATCGAAACCAGCACTTAATTGCAAATACCATGTTCTTTCATTTGTTTCTCAAATATGATTTTGGCTGTGAAACCCTAGGGGTGCTACAGTCAGCGCTAAACATGGCATAGTAATTTGGATATTCTCTTTCTTTTAAAATGATCATGGATTTATATAAAGTAACATGTGAAATGATATGACTACATGTCTATTTAAGACAACAGAAGGCTTCAGAGACATTTCACACTGTATGTGATCACTCTATCAGGAATGCTCTATCAGGAAACTGTAAGAAGCAGAGTACACTCACTCCTGGAGCTTCCTTCCCTACCATCATTTTAGAGCAAATGCCCATGATGAGTTAGCCATTAAGCAACACAATTGTATAACCTACTGGGAACAAGGAAAAAAAAGTTATTTTCTTTGGGAAAAGAAAAAACTACCTGTTATAAATGTCAATATGCAGTGATGTGCTTCATATAGGGCAGCCAATGTGAAAGTAAACATTAAAATGTTTTCTAATCGTTGAGAAATGGATATAGATGGATGTGGTATATACTTAGGTAATATGTACTATTTTGGGAGATTAAGAAAGATATTTTCTCTGTTTTTAATTGCATTCTATGTGCATTTTTTTCTTTCCCTCTCAAATTGTTTTTAAATGCTAAAAAATGTATTTGCTGCATTTCTATTATGTTACACATCATTAAAATGAAAGAGTACTTCTGGAGAACTCTACTAAGAGTTCTAAGATTACTAAATCTAAGAGGTAGTTTTTCATATCTGGTTGTTATTTAGGAATTTATGAAATCTCCAAATACCTTTTGATTTTTCATTTAAACAGTATATGAAAAAGATTCAGAGATACAAAGTATACAGAAGATACCGAAGAAGACACTGCTACAGAGAAATAGTGCACTGACGCAGGTGTTATTTGTATATGTAATTATCTCAATCGCTTTTCAATGAAAAGCGTTTCTTTTCAATTAGAATTCTGAATGACATTGACTCTTTGACCTCTGGGGTTTTTGTGTTGTTTTGGGTTTTGTTTGTTGTCTTAAATTCTCATTTAATAAGCAAAAGATTATGCTGAAGAAAATTAATTTAGATGTAATTATATGTTTAACTGATTCCTCTACTGCTACTCAAATTTCTATTTGCCTCTTTTTTAAGCAGTAAGAAAATGTCTATGCAGAAGTAACTATTCATGCTAGCACTTCATTGGAGTTGTATTAAGAAGTAATAAGGAGGGCAGCAATAGTGTTTGTTTTTAAGTGGATTATAATGCTATATAATGTGAGTGAGGATAACTTCTATAATTCTTAATAGGGATAGGCTGATGAGTTTATTTTTTCTCTTAAGAAGAAAAAAAAATTAAAGTCATGATTAGACTAAGATTTGAAAGGAGATAAACAGTACTAAGACCCAGTGCCTTTCACTACCTTGCCATCTGGAGCTAATTGTATTAGTTATGGTAATAGTGCCCTCCAGAGGAATTTTGCAGGAATTTGAAAGGCTAAGAAGAAACAGGGAACTAGAAGGCTCTGGATGTGATGAATTTAAATATTAGCTTTAAAAGTAAATTAACATTTTAATCTTATGTAGATATTAATATATCCTTTTCTTTAAATGTGATGCTAAAAGCTGACACTATATCCATGACTATAAATATCAACAAACATACACTTTTTAATATTTTAGGCCACCTGTGAATATTTACATATTATATTCTTAATATAATCTGCAATATCTTATCCATTTAAAAGGATATTTAGCTCGAGAAAACAGTAAAGGACTGAGATTCAAGAATTCAAAACCATGATCTTCTTAATTTTCCTTCTTGGTATTCATTTGGCAAGTTCTTCAGAGTTTAGTGTAAGTAAATTGTAATTTTATATTAGTATCCCAGAAATAAGGTAAAATTGTAAATTGCCATCATCAATTATTAGAAGTAAATTGAAATGGGAAAACCCAAAGCACTAATTATGGATGGCAAGGCAAAATTATTATAGCACCACAAAGCATCAACACGTTAAAAATAGATAATTAGTACAGAAAAAGGAAAATATGAGGCCTCCTTATCGTTGTCATTTTAAATATTTAAACTTTTTTAATTTTAGAGAATGCATAATGACTGTTTCACATGATAATTTATTATTATTATCATCAAAATTGCTTTTGCTATTTTATCATTCTAGGCACTGAGGCAAATTCCGGGAAAAGGGAATTCATATTTAATGATTTGATGGCTTTTTACCACACATGCCAGCATGATTTTCTGCATTTGAAGTCTTGGAGGATAAAGCAGATTAGCAGAAAGCATTTGCCCTCAAGAATTTACTAAAACAACTGTAAAGAGCTGAAATTTTTATCTTCAAATATGATACGAAAGGTTTTCTTAAAGAAGAACCATGTTGGCATGGAAAAATATTTCATTCAGCTGCTTGGTGTAGAGGTGATGGCAAACATGAAAACTGATCATATTTAAGAAGCTCTACATGAAAAAAGGGAGAATTTTTCTATTTCTTGCTCCTTAGAAAGGGAAGGGAGGCTGGGCGCGGTGGCTCACGCCTGTAATCCCAGCACTTTGGGAGGCCGAGGCGTGTGGATTGCTTGAGCTTGGGAGTTCAAAACCAGCCTGGGCAGCATGGTGAAACCCCGTCTCTACTAAAAATACAAAGAAATTAGCCGAGCGTAGTGCCGCGCGCCTGTATTCCCAGCTACTCGGGAGACTGAGGCAGGAGAATCGCTTGAACCTGGGAAGCGGAGGTTGCAGTGGGCCGAGATGGCGCCACTGAACTCCAGCCTGGGGGACAGAGCGAGACTCTGTCTCAAAAAAGGGAAGGGAAAAAAGATATTGGAAACAAAAGGAACAGAAAAGTGGATTATCACTGGTACTACATCAGATGCGGGAGCAGCAGAAATTATCAATGCTGAGGAAGTGCCAAAGAGCCCCCAGAGGTTGCAGCAATGTGAATCCTTCTCCTTCTGATACGAAAATATTATTAAGTAAAGAAATTATTTCTTTAATATTTCAGCGTGCAGATAATATGTAATTTATATAGCAGACACCAGTGGGCACGCTACCTAAGAATAACAAACATTACCATATTTGCCATATTTATTTGGTATGTCTCTTTTATGTAAAAAAATATATTTTATATGTCTCTTTTATGTAAAAAAATAAAGAAATAAAGATATAGTTAGGCTGGCACTTTAGGAGGTCTAGGTGGGAGAACTACTTGAGCCCAGGAGTTCAAGACCAGCCTGGGCAACAAAGCAAGACCCCATCTCTACAAAACACTTGTAAAACTTAGCCGGATGTGGTGGTGCACACATGTAGTCCCAGCAACTCAGGAGGCTGAATGAGGAGGATCACTTAAGCCCGGAAAATTGAGGCTGCAATGAGCTATGATTGTGCCACCACACTCGTTTGGGTGGCAGAACAAGACCCTATTTCTATTATTATTATTATTATTATTATTATTTTTTTTTTTTTTTTTTAGACGGACTCTTGCTCTGTCACCCAGGCTGGAGTGCAGTGGCGCAATCTCGGCTCACTGCAAGCTCCACCTCTCGGGTTCAAGCCATTCTCCTGCCTCAGTCTCCCTAGTAGCTGGGACTACAGGCGCCCGCCACCAAGCCCGGCCAATTTTTTATATTTTTAGTAGAGATAGGGTTTCACCGTGTTAGGCAGGATGGTCTCGATCTCCTGACCTCGTGATCCGCCCGCCACGGCCTCCCAAAGTGCTAGGATTACAGGCGTGAGCCACCGCGCCCGGCCTCGCAAGACCCTATTTCTAAATAAATAATTAAATAAAGTTAAAGCATATTCTCATATTCTTCCCTCATCCTGCTTCCCAAGTGGAAAGTGTTATTCTGAACTCAGTGTGTATATCCCTGTAAATATTTTTTACACCTTGAATATGATTATATCCGTATGTACATATGTGTATGTATATGTAACTCAAATTATTGTGCTTAATGATCAGAATTCATATACTTGTTATACTATGAAGATATTTTACTTTTCACTCAATATTATTTTCTTATTTTTGTACTTTCATATGTAAAGGTCTAGTTCATTAATTTGCAGTTGCTCTTTAGTGCCCAATCTTATGAGTAAGCCGTGATATATTTATCCCTGATATTGGTATACTGTTAGCCATTTATTGCTTTTTAATGTTACAAACAAATTTCAATGAATCCCTCAGTATAACCTCAAACAACTTTGAGAAAGTTGCCAAGGTAGTTATCTAAAACATAATTATTTTACTTTTAGATAACTACCTTGGCAACTTTCTTTTCCATATTAATTATCACATCATCAAAGTATAATGACAACTATTCTTTCCAATTATTATCACTTACTTTTTCTCTTGTCATGTTTTATTGGCTAGTACCTTCAGTACAATGTTGAATAGACATAGTGTTAGTAATTCTCCTCTTTAATTCATTATGACTGTAATTGTTTTAAATATCTTTGACCAAGAATCATATTTGTTAGGTATTTCTGTTTATATTGTATTGATATTTCTTTCTTTCTAGTTATGTTGGATAATTTTTATTAGGATGGGAATGTTCTCATCCATTCCAAGTTTACTAAGACTTTTTATCTTGAATTAGTGTAAAATTTTAACTTATAAATATTTACGTATACTGAGATAGTCATACGCTTTTTTTCTTCGAGTGTTAAAATGTAAATAAATCTTAATATGTTTCCAATGGTAAAACATTCTTAGGTTAAAATCAACCTGCTTATGAGACACTACCTGTTTTCTCTTTAAAATACTATATTTAGGATTTTTGTTTTTATGTTCAAAAATAAACTTAAACTATAATTTTCCTTTGTCTTTGTTTGTTTGTTTGCTTTGGCAAACCAAGTTATAATAACCTCACAAAATAGTTGGTCAGTTTCCACCATTTTCCACTCTGCATAAGTTTATACGCAATAAAGTATTTGTTCCTTCAATGTTTTGTATAGCTCATAAATGAATTTTTTTAAAAAACTTCTACTCTATGTTGGAAGCCTTTGATCATGATTTTGTTGATTAAATATTCTATATCCTAATATTTGTTTTCTTTAGCAGTTTTTAAAGGATTGGGTTAAAAACTTCAAAATTTCAAAATATTATTGAATATTTTTAAGTGTCTCATTTTAATTACTTTAACTTTTATTCAGTAAATTTTAAGGTTATATTACCAGGTTCATTCAGATTTAGGATAGATATTCCCCTTCTGTCGAAAATTTGCTGTATCTCTAGAATATCCCTATTTGCTAATAATGTTCTTTTTGCTTCCAGTTTATTTTTCTGTCATGTTAATATTAATATCTCAATTTTCTTTTGATAAGTATCACCTGACATACATTTTTATATAAATTCTAAAACATCTGTTTTAGATATGTTCAATATTTAATATTGTTTACATAGCATATAGTATATTTCATTACTGTTTATTTTGTCTCCCATTCTGGAAATTGAGTTTCCTGGGGAAAGAAATTTTTATTTGATTCATTGTTTTACTAAAAGTATCTAGAACAATGCTTGGCATATACTAGGTTCTCAAAAGATACCATGAATAAATTTTTCATAATGTATTTCACAAATTGCATTTAACCAGACACCTTTATATTTTAATTCAAACTCAGGGTCATTTTCTTTTAATTTGGAAGATATTTTATTTGTTATTTATTATAATTACCAAAAATGTGGATTTATTTCTACATGTTATTTGTGCAATATTTGCCATAATTTTTAACACACTTTGTTATCCATTCTTTGTCTTTCTTCTCCCATTTTACCTGATTTTTCTTTATTTCCTTTCTTCTTTTTTTATTAATATGTAATAATTTACATATTTATGGGGTACATGTGAACATTTGTTACTTGCAAAGAATATATAATGACCAAGTCGGGGCATAGGTATATCCATCACCTTGGGTGTTTATCAGTTTTATGTATTGGTATTTTTTCAAGGCCTCCCTTCTAGTTACTTTGAAATATGCATAATATTATTGCTAAGGATAGTCACTCTAGTCTGCTATCAAACATTTGAACTCATTTCTTCTATCTAACCATATGTTTGTAACCATAGCCAACCCCACTTCATCCCGCACACACCCCCCAAACTTGACACTTCTGTAATCTATTGTTCTATTCTCTATCTCCATGAGATCAAGTTCTTTAGCTCCCACGTCAGTGAGAATATGCAGTATATGTCTTTCTGTGCCTGGTTTATTTCTTTTAACATAATGACCTCCACTTCCATACATACTGCTTCAAGTGACATGATTTATTTTTTCTGGCTCTGTAGTATTCCATGGTGTATATCTATCACATTTTCTTTATGGATTCACTGTGGAATCCATGAAGTGATGGAATCAACATACTCATTGATGGACACTTAGAATGACGTCCAAATATTTGCTATCATGAATAGTGATGCAATAAACATGCAAGTGTAGGTATCTCTTTGATATACTTATTTCTTTTCCTTTAGATAGATACCTGGTAGTGGAATTCTTGGGTCATATGGTAGTTCTATTTTAAGTTTTTTGAGAAATTGTCAACTGTTCTCCACAGTGGTTATACTGATTTACATTCCCACCATCAATATATAAGGGTTCCCTTTTTTCTACACCCTTGCCACTATCTGTTGCTTTTGTCTTTTTAATAGTAACCATTCTAACTGAGATGATACCTCGTTGTGGTTTTGATTCACACTATTTTGATGTTAGTGATGTTAAGAATTTTTTTATATACCTGTTGGCCATTGTATGTCTCCTTCTGAGAAACACCTATTCATGTGCTTTGCCACCTTGTTAATGTGATTATTTGTGTTTTTACTGTCGAGATGTTTGAGTTCCTTATATATTCTGGATATTAGTCCCCTGGTGGATGAGTAATTTGAAATTATTTTCTCTCATTTTGTAGGTTGTCTCCCCACTCTGTTGACTGTTCATTTGTTGTCAGAAAATGTTTCATTTGAGATAGTCTCATTTGTCTATTTTTGTTATTATTGCCTGTACTTTTGAGGTATTAGCCGACCTTATTGGTTGTCTAGACCAATCTCCTAAAGCAATTCACCTATGTTTTATCCTAGTAGTTTTATAGTTTCTGGTCTTACGTTTAAGTTTTTTACTCCATCTTGAGTTGACTTTTTATATAATGAGAGATAGGGGTCAATTTTTATTCTTCTCTGTATATGATTATCCAGTTTTTCCAACACCATTTATTGAAGAGACTGACCTTTCCCCAATGTATCTTCTCAGTGGCTTTGTGTAGATAAATTGTTGCTAAATACATGGAATTATTTCTGGTTTCTCTATTCTGTTCCACTGGTCTATATGTCTGTTTTTACACCAAGACCATGCTGTTTCCCATTACTACAGCTTTATAGCATATTTTGAAGTCAGGTAGCATGATGTCACAACCTTTCTTCTTTTTGCTCAGGATTGCTTTGGCTATTCAGGATCATTTTTAGTTTCATACAAATTTTAAGATAGTCTTTCTGTTTCAGTGAACAGTGACATTGGAATTTTGATAGAAATTGCATTGAATCTGCAAATCGCTTTGAGCAGTATAGTCATTTTAACAGTATTAATTCTGATCCATGAACATGAGGTGAATTTCCATTTGTTTGCGTCCTCTTCAATTTCTTTTATCAGTGTTTTGTAGTTTTCCTTGTACAGATCTTATACCACCGTGGTTAAATTTATTCCTAGGTTTTCTTTTTTCTTTTTTGTAGCTATTGTAAATGGGATTGGCTTCTTGATTTCTTCTGCTGCTAGTTTGTCACTGGTGTATAGAAATGCTACTAATTTTTATATGTTGATTTTGTATCCTGAAACTTTACTGAATCTGTTTATCAGTTCTAACAATTTTCAAGTGAGAATTTCTGTTTTTTTCTAGATATAAGATTATATCATCTGTAAAGAGGGACTGCTTGACTTCCAATTTGGATGCCTTTTCTTTTCTTGCCTAATTGCTCTGGCTTGGACTGATAGTATTATGTTGAATAAGAGCAGTGAGAGCAGGTACTCTTGCCTTGTTCCAATTCTTAGAGAAAAGACTTTCAACTTTCCCTCATTCAGTATGATGTTGCCTGTAGGTTTGTCATCTATGGCCATTATTATTTTAAAGTATGGTTCTTTTATGCCTAGTTTGTTGAGAATTTTTGCTACGACGAGGTATTGAATTTTGTCAGATGCCTTTTTGCGTGTCCATTGAGATAATCATATGCTAATATTATGTGTTACATTGATTTATTTTTGTGTGTTGAATGAACCTTTTATCCCTGGGATAAATCTCACTTGATTATGATGTATTATCTTTTGATGTATTATCTTTTGATGTACTGTTGGAATGGTTCTCTAGTATTTTCTTGAGAACGTTTACATCTACGTTTATCGGAAATATTGGCCTATATTTTTCTTTTTTTGCTGTGTTCCTGCCTGGTTTTGTTATCAGGGTAATGCTGGCCTCATGAAATGGGTTGTTTTATAAACTGAATCTGTTTATCAGTTATAAGAATTTTCAAGTGAAAATTTCTGGTTTTTCTAGATATAAGATTTTATTACCTGTAAACAGGGACTATTTGACTTCCAATTTGGATGCCTTTTCTTTTCTTGCCTAAATGCTCTGGCTTGGACTTACAGTACCATGTTGAATAAGAGTGGTCAGAGTGGATACTCTTGTCTTGTTCCATTTCTTAGAGAAAAGGCTTTCAACTTTCCCTCATTCAGTATGAGTATGAGGGTAATGCTGGCCTCATGGAATGAGTTATGGAGAGTTTCTTCCTCTTAAATTTTTTGAAGTAATTAGAGGTAGGTTGGTTTTAGTTCTTCTTTATACATTTGGTGGAATTCCACAGTGAATCCATTCAGTACTTGGCTTTTCTTTCTTGGGAGTCTTTTTATTACTGATTCAATATAGCCACTTATTATGGGTCTGTTCAGGTGTTCTACTTCTTCCTGATTCAATCTTGTTAAGTTGTACGTGTTCAGAAAATTATTCATTTCCTCTATGCTATCTAGTTTGTTAGCATATAGTTCCTCATATAGCTTATGATGATCTTTTGTATTTCTGTGGTATCAATTATAATGTCTCCTTTTACATTTCTGGTTTTGTTTATTTGGGTCTTCCCTTTTCTTGGTTAATCTAGTTAGTAGTTTATCAATTTTATTTGTTTTTTCAAAGAGACAACTTATTATTTTATTAATCTTTGTATTTTTTAAAGTTTTAATTTTATTTATTTCTGCTTATTTATTATTTCTTTCCTTCTGCTAATTTGGGGTTTGGTTTGTTCTTGCTTTTCTAGTTCCTTGAGGTGCCTTGTTAGATTCTTTATTTAAAATCTTTTTTTAATGTAGGTATTTATTGCTATAGACTTCCCTCTTAGCCTGCTTTTGCTGGGTCCCACAAGTTATGGTATGTTGTTTTTTCCAGTTTCATTTGCTTCAAAAAAAATGTTCTCATTGGTCACTTAGGAACATGTCATTTAATTTCTACATATTTGTAAAGTTTCCAAAGTACTTCTTGGGACGAATTTCTAGTTTTATTCCATTGTAGTCTGAGAAATTACTTGATATAATTTTGATTTTTTAAAACTATGTTGAGACTTCTTTGTGGCTAAAAAGATGGTCAATCCTGGAGAATGTCGCATGTGTGGATGAGAAGAATGTGTATTTTGCAGCTGTTAGATAAAATGTTCTGTAAATTTCTGTTAGGTCTATTTGGTAAAAGTCCAGTTTAAGTCTAAATGATTCTTTGCTGATTTTCTATCTCTGTCTAATGCTAATAGTGGGTTACAAAGTTCCCCATTTCTATTGTATTGTAGTCTCTTTCTTTACATCTACTGTTTACTTTATGATATGGTTTTGCTGTGTCCCCACCCAAATTTCATCTTGAATTGTAGTTCTCATAATCCCCATGTGTCATGAGAGGGACCTGGTGGGAGATAATAGAATCATGGGGGTGGTTTCTTCCATCCTGTTCTTGTGATAGTGAGTTAGTTCTCACAAAAATCTGACAGTTTTATAAGGTGCTTTTCCCCCTTTTGCTCAGCACTTCTCCTTACTGCCGCCATATGAAGAAGGATGTGTTTCTTCCCCATCTGCCGTGATTGTAAGCTTCCTGAGTTCTCCCCAGCCATGCTGAACTGTGAGTCAACCTCTTACCTTTATAAATCACCCAGTCTTGAGTGTGTCTTTATTAGAAGTATGAGAATGGACTAATATACTTTATGAGTCTGGATGCTCCAGTATTGGGTGCATATATATTTAGAATTGTTATATTATCTTCCTGGATTGATGTCTTTATCATTATATAATGATATCCTTTGTCTTTTTAGTGATTTTTGCTTTAAAGTCTGTTTTAGCTGATACAAGTTTTATCGCTTTCGGTTTCTGTGTGCATGGGTTATCTTTTTCTACCCCTTAAATTTTGTCTATATGTATCTACAGGTAAAGTACATTCAGGTAGGTAGCATTTAGTTGTTTCAGGTTTTTTAATCCATTCAGCCAGTGTATATCTCTTAAGTTAATAATTTTATTTATTTATGTTGGGGGTTATTATTGATATGTGAGGTTTTATTTCTGTGATGTTATTAATTGTTTTCTGGTTGCTTTGTATATTATCTATTCATTTCTTTTTGTCTTATTGATTGTCCTTATGGTTTGTTGATTTTCTATGGTGGTACCATTTAAGCCTTTTCTCTTCCTCATTTATGTGTTTGCTTTACCAGTAGTTTCATATTTTCATGTGTTTTCATGATGGTAATGGTTGTTCTTTCACTTCCAGATTTAGAACTCCCTTGTAATTCATATCTAGTGGTGGTAAATTTCCTTATCATTTGTTTATTTGGGAAACACTTTATTTCCCCTCATTTATGAAGGATAATTTTGCTGGAAACAAAATCCTTGGGTGGCAATTAGCAGGGTTTTCTTCTTCTTCTTATACTTTGAATATATCCTCCCATTCTCTTCTGTCCTATAAGGTTTCTGCTAAGAAGCCTACCGTTAGTCTAATGAGATCTTCTTTATAGATAACTAGATGCTTTTCTTTTGCTGCTTTTAGAATTTTCTCTTTGTTGTTAACTTTAGATAATTTGACTATAATGTGCCATGGAGAAGACTTTCCACACTGTATCTGATTTGGGATGACTGGACCTCCTGTATCTGGATGTCTAAATTTTTTGCTAGACTTGAGAAGTTTTCTTCTATTTTTTAAAAAAGGTTTTCAAACTCGTTTATTCTGTTATCACCTTTGGAAATAGCAATAATTTGTATATTTGGTCACGTTATGGTATCCCATATATCAGAAAGACTGTTCATTCTTCTTATTTTTTCTTTATTTTTGCCTTACTGGGCTATTTCTTTTTCTTTCTTTCTTTTTAATTATACTTTAAGTTCTGGGATACATGTGCAGAAGGTGCAGGTTTGTTACATAGGTAAACATGTGCCATGGTGGTTTGCGGCACCCATCAACCCGTTATCTACATTAGGTATTTCTCCTAAGGCTATCCCTCCCCTTGCCCCCAAACTCCTAACAGGCCCAGGTGTGTGATGTTCCCCTCCCTGTGTCCATGTGTTCTCATTGTTCAACTCCCACTTATGAGTGAGAACATGAGGTGTTTGGTTTTCTGTTCTGGTGTTAGTTTGCTGAGAATGATGGTTTACAGCTTCATCCATGTCCCTGCAAAGAACATGAACTCATTCTTTTTTATGGCTGCATAGTATTCCAGAGTGTATATGTGCTACATTTTCTTTATCTAGTCTATCATTGATGGGCATTTAGGTTGGTTCCAAGTCTTTGCTATTGTAAATAGTGCTGAAATAAACATATGTGTACATGTGTCTTTATAGTAGAATAATTTATAATCTATAATTTGGTTATATACCCAGTAATGGGATTCCTGGGTCAAATGGTATTTCTGTTTCTAGATCCTTGAGGTATCACCACACTGTCTTCCACAATGGTTGAACTAATTTACACTCCCACCAACAGTGTAAAAGCATTCCTATTGCTTCACATTCCCTCCAGCATCTGTTGTTTCCTGACTTTTTAATAATCGCCATTCTAACTGGCGTGAGATGGTATCTCATCATGGTTTTGATTTGAATTTTTCTAATGACCAATGATGATAAGGCTGTTTTTCATATGTTTGTTGGCCACATAAATGTATTCATTTGAGAAGTGTCTGTTCATATCCTTCACCCACTTTTTGATGGGGTCGTTTGTTTTTTTCTTGTAAATTTGTTTAAGATTCCTGTAGATTCTGGATATTAGCCCTTTGTCAGATGGATAGATTGCAAAAATTTACTTCCATTCTGTAGGCTGCCTGTTCATTCTGATGATAGTTTCTTTTGCTGTGCAGAAGCTCTTCAGTTTAATTAGATCTCATTTGTCAATTTTAGTTTTTGTTGCAATTGCTTTTTTTTTTTTTTTTTTTGTAATGAAGTCTTTGCCCATGCCGTTGTCCTGAATGGTATTGTCTAGGTTTTCTTCTAGGGTTTCTATGGTTTTACGTCATATGTTTAAGTCTTTAATCCATCTTGAGTTAATTTTTGTATATATAGTGTAAGGAAAGGGTCCAGTTTCAGTTGTCTGCATGTGGCTATCCAGTTTTCTGAACACCATTTATTAAATAGGGAATCCTTTCCCCATTGCTTGTTTTTGTCAGGCTTGTCAAAGATCAGATGGTTGTAGATTTGTGATGTTATTTTGAAGGCCTCTGTTCTGTTCTGTTGGTCTATATATCTGTTTTAGTACCAGTACCATGCTGTTTTGGTTATTGTAGTTTTGTAGTATAGTTTGAAGTCAGGTAGCATTATGGCTCCAGCTTTTTTCTTTTTGCTTAGGATTGTCTTGGCTATATAGGCTCTTTTTTTGTTCCATATGAAATTTAAAGTAGTTTTTTCTAATTCTGTGAAGAAAGTCAATGGTAACTTGATGGGAATAGCATTGAATCTCTAAATTACTTTGGGAAGTATGGCCATTTTCATGATATTGATTGATTCTTCCTATCCATGAGCATGAAATGTTTTTCCTTTTGTTGTGTCCTCTCTTATTTCCTTGAGCAGTAATTTGTAGCTCTCCTTGAAGAAGTCCTTCACATCCCTTGTAAATTGTAGTCCTAGGTATTTTATTCTCTTTGTAGCCATTGTGAATGGGAGTTCACTCATGATTTGACTCTGTGTTTGTCTATTACTGATGTATAGGAATGCTTGTGATTTTTGCACATTGATTTTGTATCCTGAGACTTTGCTGAAGTTGCTTATCAGCTTAAGGAGATTTTGGACTGAGACAATGGGGTTTTCTAAATATACGATCATGTCATCTGCAAGCAGAGACAATATGTCTTCCTCTCTTCCTATTTGAATACCCTTTATTTCTTTCTCTCACCTGATTGCCCTGGCCAGGACTTCCAATACTATGTTAAATAGGAATGGTGAGAGAGGGCATTTTTGTCTTGTGCTGGTTTTCAAAGGGAATGCTTCCGGCTTTTGCACATTCAGTATGATATTGGCTGTGGGTTTGTCATAAATAGCTTTTATTATTTTGAGATACGTTCCATCGATACCTAGTTTATTGAGAGTTTTTAGCATGAAGGGGTGTTGAATTTTATCAAAGGCCTTTTCTGCACCTATTCAGATAATCATATGGTTTTTGTCATTGGTTCTGTTTATGTGATGGATTATGTTGATTGATTTGTGTATGTTGAACCAGCCTTGCTTTCCAGGGATGAAGCTAACTTGATCATGGTGGATAAGCTTTTTGATGTGCTGCTGGATTTGGTTTGCCAGTATTGTATTGAGGGTTTTTGCATCAATGTTCATCAGGGATATTGGCCTGAAATTTTCTTTTTTTGTTTTGTCTCTGCCAGGTTTTGGTATCAAAATGATGCTGGCCTCATAAAATGAGTCCCTCCTTTTCTATTGATGGGAATAGTTTCAGAAGGAATGGTACCAGCTCCTCTTTGTACCACTGGAAGAATTCGGCAGTGAATCCATCTGGTCCTGGTCTTTTATTTGTTGGTAGGCTATTAATTACTGCCTCAATTTCAGAACTTGTTATTGGTCTATTCAGGGATTCAGCTTCTTCTTGGTTTAGTATTGGGAGGGTGTATGTGTCCCGGAATTTATCCATTTCTTTTAGATTTTCTAGTTTATTTGCATAAATGTGCAGTGGTGTAGTTTCTTTATGATTTCTTTAGCTGTAGACAACATCAGTGGGACCTGTGATTTCCTTGGTGGTTTAGGATACGGTTATAAGGGGAAGCTATGGTGAAGTTTTTCTAGAGACAGAGATGCAAGCTGGGCCAGTCTTCAGACTCTGGTGGAGGTAGTGATGGGCTAGAGCATGCCTCATCTTAGGCCTCAAGGCAGCATATGGCTCACACTGGTGTTAGTGGGACCAGCAGGCTGATTCTTGAGCCTCCAGGTGGTTTGCTCTGATGCCAGTGGTGAGCCAGGTTGGCGAGCAGATTATTGGATGTCTAGGTTGCCAGCATGGTGTGATGGCAGTAGCAGTGGTGAGATAACTCTCTGTGTCCTGGGTGATGCATACTGTTACTGGCAATGACTGTGGTGCGGGGTCTCCATCCATAGCCCCAGACACTCTCCCACATTCTGCAGCAGTGCTACAGTGCCACCCAGATGTGGGGAGAGACCTCATGCTTCAAACATAACCCCGGACATGGAGATCATTCCACCTGTGGGGATGCAGTCATCACTCACAGCCCCAGACAGTCAGTCTTTGGTTTGCCTGCCCCAGTGTCTGATGGCAGCAGAAGCAGCTATGTCTGCAGTGGTGTGTGGAGGGATAAAAGAGGTCCTAATTTCCATGCATGAGCCTGAATGCACAAGTCATTCTGTCTGTGAGAGGGGATCTCATTATTTGCTTGCAAGGCTAAGCACAGAATTTTTGCCACTGGTAGGGTGGAGTAACTTCTTACAACCTCAAATAGGGTGCCCTCAAGCTCTGGAAACATACACTTTGGTTTCCTTTGTCCCAGGGTCTGCCTTTTTGTGTGCACTGCACTGTCCTTTCACCTGGGAGTAGTACTCCCTGTGGGCTAGAGTAATGGGAACCACATAGCATCTTAGGGTCCTGCCAATGCTCTGCCGCTGCAGCCTTCTGGGTGGACACTGGGGTGTGTCAGTGGGAGCTCTCAGGATGCAGAGATATAGGGGCTATGGTTCCCAGGGTAGGAAGCAGTCCTGTGATGACTGTGCTCTCACAATGGAGCCATTTTTTTTAAGTTAAATTATGTTTTTGAAAATTTTCTGAGAACTTCTCTGTTCTCTCCTTGGAAAGTCTTATGAGAAAGATTCTATTTTTAGGTCTCTTAACTGTCCCAGATTTTTTATTCTATTTTTTTTTTTTTTAATAATTGTGTGCTGCCACTCTGGGCAATTCCCTTACAACTACCTTCCAGACTACTAATTCTAGCCTTAGCTGAGTCTAATCTGCTATTTAATCCATTCATTGAGTGCTTATATTTTGTTTCAATTATATTTTTAAATATCAAATATAGCTAATTTTGTTCTTTTTTCAATCTGCTTTTTCCAAATATTTGTATTTCTGCCTCATTTCTGTTTTAAAGCATTTTGTTCTATCTTACATTTTGTCCTTTTGTGGTAATTTTTATGCCTTCCTTTACAGTTTTACAGGTTTTATACACAGTAGATTTGTTTTATAGTCTTGACCTAGCTCTATTATGCCAAGTTTTGCTTCTCTTTGTTATAACTGATGATTCATACATGGTACATTTTTCATTGATTTCTGTTATGATCTATTTGTAATTGCAAGTTCCTCTTTAGCAAAATAAAGCTTGTATTTTTTTTCCTATACCAAATATAATACAGCCTGGATTTTAAGAAGGTAGTTCTAGAGTAGTATTACTTATTTCCAAGAGTATCTCTGGATGAGGACAACTTTTTTTTTTTTTTTTTAACCTCTGGGACTGGGTGTTTTTGCAGGACAGAGAGAGGTATAGTTACATATAATATCACCTGAGGCACAGGCTTAAGGTCTTGATTTCTCAAAGGGAGACATTTTTTCCTCACTTAAATTTACATCAGGATAAAATTTTTATTTTATTTTCTGCTGCAGCTGGAGGTCACGGTATGTCCAATATTCCTTTATCTTTTGAGAAGCCCTTTGTAGCTTCAAGATTTATTGTAGCAGTCTGTTTTAACTCACATCCCTAAAGTGAACACAGAATCAGCTTTTGCTCCTAACCCCAGCTTTTGTCCCCTTTCTGTTTGTGCCACAGGGGGTTTTCTTATCTTTCATAAGAACACAGATGATTCATCCATATTATTCAGTGCTTCCACTTGTTTGTAGGGGTAAAAGAAAGGTTTTTGCATCACTTTAAATGGCAATTTTATAGAAAGAGGTTTTGTTTTTAGTTTACTATACTAACAATGCTAGATATAAGTGAATTTTAATGGAAAATGGGGAATGTGCTCAAACACATATGTGGGTGGACATGGTGCAAAATAGAGAAAGCATGGCCAACATCAGGATTTTGAAAGTGGAAATGAACAAGAATATCACCAATATTTACAGACATATTGTAGAATTTTGTATATCCCCATAAGGCATATGATTGAGAGCTCAAGTCAATCTTCATTGCCAAGACTAAGTATAGCTCTCTAAAGTAATTAAAAAATGACTCCAAATGATGGTGCTGAATTACTGTGTTATAATAACCTACAAAAGGGAAAATAATGATTCTTATATTGATCTGTGAATGAGAAAAACAAAAGTGCAGAAGTTTTAGGAATTCTTTTAAATTATAATCCATAGTTAGCAACAGAATACAGTTAACTTGCAAGTGCTAGTACTACTTTGTAAAGCAATATTTCAATATATTTTAAAAATAGTTAAATTGAATTTTCAGTTAAAGATTGAAAAGCATAGCACTCTAATATAATGTAATCCAATTTCTAATCACTATATTGATATAATATGAGTTACCATATAAATGTGACAAACTCACACTGCACTAACTTTCATGCAACTTCATGCATTTTAAAAAATTATCAGTAATACCCACCATCACATTTTAACAAAAAATATGAGATTCATTAATTAAGCTTAGGTAATATTACCACACTGTATTCCTGTGTGGGCTATAGGGTAAATCAATCATTTCATTAGTTCTAATGAGGTGCATGTTTATGCAAACACACACATTAATCTTATAATTTTTGTGGACTTTGTAGATGAGTAAACTGAGATTAAGAGGTTAAAATTTTAAAACACTTACCAAATTACAAAATAATTCTAGCAAAGCCGAGCTACCTAAGTAGGCCTCCTAACTCTAGATAGAAGTTATTTTTACTAGACCAGTAATTCTCAGTGTCCCTATAAATCTAGGGGTCTCAGACATCCTTTGAGAAGGTCCCTGAGGTCAAAACCACTTTCATAAAAATACAAAATGTTATTTGCCTTTTTCAATTTGTTGATATTTGTGCTCATAGTACAAGTGCCATTGTGGGTAAAGCAGCTAGCACCAATCAAGGAAGTGGCTCCAGATTTTTCTAGTAGTTACCGTTTTCCTCAGTGGCGTACAGGAATTTTTTTCTTAAGTCAGTTTCATTAAGAATGAAAGCAGTAAAAATACTTTTTTTTTTTTTTTTGAGACGGAGTCTCACTGTCACCCAGGCTGGAGTGCAGTGGCGCGATCTGGGCTCACTGCAAGCTCCGCCTCCCGGGTTCACGCCATTCTCCTGCCTCAGCCTCCCCAGTAGCTGGGACTACAGGCGCCCGCCACCACGCCCAGCTAATTTTTTGTATTTTTAGTAGAGGTGGGGTTTCACCGTGTTAGCCAGGATGGTCTCGATCTCCTGACCTCGTGATCCGCCCGCCTCGGCCTCCCAAAGTGCTGGGATTACAGGCGTGAGCCACCGCGCCCGGCCAAAAATACTTTTTATATGAAGCAGTATAATCATTATCTTTAATAAAATCTCAACCTTTGAATGCATCTTGTTTTAACACACTGTGTAATTACATGGGACTTATACATAAAGTACTTTTGTTACATATCAAAGGATAATGATTGTGTCTAGAAAAAGCTAAGGTTCATTTATTTTAACTGAAAACTGAACTAACTCCCTTTCTCGGTAATGCTGTCCTCTTGAAGAAATGACTAGCAGATACCATGGCTATTGAGACTTGGGTATGAGGTATTTGGTATTCTCAAAAATGAAAGAAAGTAACTTTGTAACTCAAGGAAAACAATTTACTATAATTATTGCCAATAGCAAAATCAAATCCTTGAAGTAAAAATTTGAATTTTGTGAAGTCTGTACCCACCACTCTGAGCTTTATATGTTCCTAATACTTAAAGATTTAGGTCAGCAGTTACATTAACAAATGCGATTTGCTTTTTGATATTGTATAATAAAATGTGTCAACATTTGGAACATTGCATAACTTAGTAAATCAGTATTTTCCAAATAAAATATGCTTGATGTTACAAAATTACAAAATGCATGAGTTAAACATCCATTGCAAGATGAATTTTAATGTAATAGTTTAGGAAAACTTTATCAGTACAGTTAGAGCTTCCATATTGCAACTATCATTTGAAAAACTATCACCTAATGAATTTTGGTGAAATACCAAATAACAATATCCACAATTATCTAAAAATACTTTCTCTTTTCAACTACGTATCTGAGTGATCCTGGATTCAAAACAGTATGTTGCAGCAGACTGAATTCAGAAGCAGATGTCAGAATCCATTTGTCTATTAAGCCAAACACAAACAAGTTTTGCAAAAATGTGAAAAAACTCTTCTCATTATTATTTTTTTAATAACTATTTGTAAAATTAAATATATGATTTATTTTGCCAAGCAATAGTTTATTATTGTTGTTTTAAAATAAAATGTTAAATACGTATTTTAAATATTTCTGAATTTTAATTCCTAATGTGGCAAATCTTAAGTCTTTTCAGAGGTTTTTATCTTTTAGATTATAAAAGATGCCCAAGGCCACAAAGTTTTGGGAAGGGCTGTATAGACTGAACTCCATGCCTTAAGAGGAAAATGAAGCCAATATATTCTTACAAGAGAAGAGATACACGACAAAGCAACAACATACACCTTTCATTCCAACTCTGCTGAGTCATCGATGGTACTTTTAGATCTTAGGCGGGTAACAGCAAAATAAGGTGAGAATTTCAAATAATCAACTTTCTAAGATAAATTTATAAAAGCCCTTTTATAGCACTGATCCCCTATCTTAGTTCTTGGAAGTTAATGAAAGAGGGAAGTTTAAACAACTAAATTAATACTAGTAACAGTTAAGTTGTATGAATTAAGTGTGTCAATAGTAAGTGTTAACGGAAGAGATTGGAAAAACTGATTTTCCCAGTCACTCAAGGTGCTCAAACCGATCATGGGAACATGTAGTTTTATTTGTGTAGCAACTGATAAGATAAAATCAACAGAGACCAAAACTCCTTTCACAGTGTTATAGTGAATCATTAAACACGAAACGAGCCTCTGACCTTGCCCTGTTGGCATTTCTACTGGCCAGAGAAATACAACTTAAAGAAGAACATATAAGGTAAGTAATGTAAATGTACACTGTACTATGAAATGTATCCTGAAATGAAGTTTTCAACATCAAGATTATTTGATTTATGTAATCAGAAATGCCTGAATAATTATAAAATTATTAATTCATAAAGTTTAAATCCTATAAAGTCTTTCTGTGTGTGTGTGTGTGTGTGTGTGTGTGTGTATTTTAATTTCAATGATAATTTTCCTAGATAACAAATTGTTGACAGAATAGAGTAAAGCAAGAATAATTACTACATTTGCAGGTGTTGGGTAAAAATTTTTTCAGATAAAAAAATTTTAAAAGAATAATTACTACAGTAATTAAATTGTTGGTGATCTTGGTTGAAAACTCTTCTGTTAGAGATGGCACCATCCCAGAAAGGTTAAATCATATGTTAAAGGTCAGTATGTGACTTCTACCTGGCCCAAAGTACAATTCAAATTCAAAGAAAACAAGGGGGTAAATTAAAATTAAAAACACAGATAATTAAAAACATTTTAATCACAATTATCAAGTGCAGTTGAAAAATTATAATTAGTGAGAGTAGACACTAAGCCCTGAAGAAACAAGTGGTGAGAAACTAAAGTGCTTGTTATGGAGCCATCAATTTAGATTTCTTTTTGTCTATTAGTTTATGAAACTGGCTTTCATTTTTAATGCGTACTCCCATTTCCTATAATTCCTCCATTTTCAAATAGAATTTCAAATTCAGAAACTCTAAATGTGACACCCAGCTTCACACTGGATTTGCTACTTTAATAATGTAAATTAGGTTTCTAGAAAATACAACAGAAAAAAAACAGAAGACTTTTTAAAATATGTAAAAGGCACTTATAAACTCTAATTTATTGAACATCCTGAGGATGTTTATGTGCTAGGTATTATAACAGACAAAAGAATACCAAGAAAATTAAGACTGAGTCCCTGCCTTCCAGAGCTTATATTCAGTAAGAGAAGAAGGGAGAATTAAGCACAAGGTACAGTGTGGTAATAACTATGAGAACAGAGGGTATATTACATGAGTATAGCATAAAATAGTGATTAAAAATACATTAGTTGTCAAAATGATCTTGGTAAATTCAAAATGCCAAATCAAGCAAAATAATTTTATTCACTAAAGAAAATGTCTAGAAGAAAAATATATTTTACCCCAAATTCTATAATCTGTAACAGGATAGAAATCTAACTGCCAGTCAGTAAAGGTAATAAAATAACCATCAGCTAATAGCAGAGCCTAAAATAAAAATAAAAGAATACTAAGATAATTCCAGTATAGTGAGCTCTATTCAAACCATTAGTAGAAAATAAATTATAGAATCTAATATGTTAGATTGTTTAATAAAGTGGAATACTGGGGGTTCTTGATAAATTGCTTAAAAGGTATAATAAAACAGAAAATTTAGTAAACAAGAACTTTTTCCGTACTTTTGGTAGAATTCTGAGCTTATCTCATACCTGCTTTCTGGGTCTCAAAACTACATTTATCCAGGAGATCCACAAATCCAATCATTTTCTCTGCATTTTACGCTATCTCTAAAAGTGATTTACAAGTAAATTAAAGTGTTAATCAAATCAGGAAAATACTACAATTTCCAGCCATTATTTAATCAGGTATGTCTTAGGCACTGCCGCGATGCTATCAAGCTGCTTCCAAATGTGAAGAGTAACTAAAGGGAAGATCCAGTCTTGTCCTGGGGACACTTATAATATTTTTCTAACAATGAACATTAATCTCAGAAGTAATTCAGAAGCAATGTATGGCAATATGGAGTTAGCATAGATTATACATAATATTGGTGGCATCTTAAAAAGAAGAAGGCACAATTTTTGAAAACAAGCTTATTATAAAATATTATTTGTGAAGTCAAAGATCGAGGTTATATTTTCAGCTTTATAATTCTTTTGGGTGGCTCCAAGCAAGTTCTCTGTTCCCTCTTAGTCTCAATGTTTCAACTGTAAAGATGTATTTTTATTCACCCAATCTGTTTCACAGAATTTTTGTGAAGATCAAATGATAAAGCATGTGAACTGAAAAATACTTTAAGAGATTACGTGGGCATCTGTATCTTAGAAGCCTCAATTGAGGAATTATTGTGAGTCAGAAAAAATAGGAAAACTCGTAATAAAAAATAAACAAGGCATAGTCTATTTTATATAATTCATGTTTGGGAGCATCTCTTACTCAGAAACAACGTTCGATCCTTCATGTTTTAGAACCTCTCATTTCCAGTGAATTCCAATTTTAACTCAGTCAGCGCTGCATTTTACACATTTTGATGTCAGTGTGATATAATTAAACACTGGGAAAAAACCTACTCCGTAGTGAAAGATTTACTTACATCTCAATATTTTATCATAAAATTGTTAGATTTCCTTTGAATATTTTTACAGCATTCTGTTACTTCATTTAAAAAATCTGTATTAAAAATTACCCAAGAGTGATTTGGGAGGGAAAAAAATCTACTGTATCCTCACAAGCAGAAATAATGTCTTCCATTTTTCAATGTTCCCATCTAAATTTTTTTAAATTACACATTTTATTAATTATCATTATAATGTACAATTGGATGCACTGCATATGTAACTTACAATTTTTAAGGTTGCTAGTCGTTATACATTCAAATTTAGTGATAACAGAATTTTCCCTTTATCTAATACAGCATTATTTGCTTAACCATCTCTTTGTGGTTTGGTAATAAGATTGCTCAAAAATTTTCACTGTTACAAATCACTCTCATGCTAAAATATTTATTGTAAGTTTTTCCATTTCATTACCATATTTTTTTATTTATAAATTCGCAACTTGAGTTTCTAGAATTAGAGCACTTAAATATTTTATGGACTACCTAGAGCAATGTTACCATTGCCACTAGTCGAATATTGCACAATTTTTTGCAAAACCTCATTAGTATTGGCTTTCATGATTTTAAAATTTTTGGTAGCTTATCAAGAATAAAATATATTGCCCTTTAAAAGAAGTTAAGGTTTTAGCTGAGAAATAAATTTTAATTGCAAAGCTTTAGAAGTATCTTTATCTCAATTTGAGCCCTCCATAAGATTCATTGAGCTTCTCAGAACAGTACCATGATCATCTTTTGCAAAATCAAACCACAATGGGCAAAACTGAAGGCCAGAGAAAATCCTTAAAAGGACAGTTGGGTGCTTCCAAAACATGATAGCTGGCTGGCCTCTAGGTGGCTTCCCAATGAAGCATAGCTGGTTAAATATACCAAATTTCGGGATCAAAACTTAACTACATTGCAGACTTAGAAAGCTGATATTTTCAGCCCATCACAAGTGAATCCATTTCTCATAAGAAAACACACAGTACTTCTGGCTGTGAATCTGATGTATTATACTGAGTCCAATTTATATATTATAGATTATAATATTGGTGGTGTTTTAAAAGGTAGAAAGCACAATTTTCAAAAACAAGCTTATTATAAAATATTATTTTGCAGTCAAAGATCTGGGTTAGATTCCCGGATTTATAATTCTTTCTTGGTGGCTCCAAGCAAGTTCCATTTTCCCCTCTGACTCTCAATTTTTCAGCTGTAAAGAAGATGTATTTTCATTCACCCAATCTGTTCACAGAATTTTTGTGAGGATGAAATGATAAAGCATGTGAACTGAAAAGTACTTTAAGAGATTATGGGGGCATCTGTGTTTTAGAAGCCTCAAATGGGGAAGTATTGTAATTTACCATCAGCAATACGGCAGTCATTCAGACTGGAATTGTCTTGTGGACAGGTCTAGGACAACCTCTCCTCACCAGTAGACTTAGCTGGAGACTCATACTATAACCAAATGTTTGCTTGGCATATTCTGGTGTATAAGAAGACGAATACTATCATTTAAATATTTAATGGCAAGAGGCTATTATAACGAGAATAATTTATGTTTACATTTGAGATAGTCTTATAATTTCCCAAACTATATCTCAATGGTCTCATGAAGGAAAATCATATGTTATATAAAACATAATATGTACTCAAATTCTATAAATTTTTCTCACTGCAAGACTTCTCCCAGATTTTAATATGCCAGTGTTCATTACTGATGTCTAAGAGGAAAGTCTCCTAAGTCCCATTTCCTAAATAGAATTTTTGGAGAAATAGGCAGAACATCTATTAATATCTCTCAGAAATAGAGAACCAGGTTTGGATTATGGAATTATAATACTTAAAAGACTCCAGTTTTTTCTCCCAAGATAGATGTGTGGACATCTCTACTTTGACACACCCAACATCTATAGGAAGAGAAAAACAGGACAATTAGAGTCACTGATGAAACAGCTACGTTATCTGGGGTATGTGCCCTGGTGTTTGTTGTCGCGTGCCAGAGACATTTAGGACACAGACACACACCAAGAGTTTAGGAGTGGAGGTTTAATCTGCAGAAGAGAAAAGAAAGAGAAAGAGAAACAGCTGTCTCTATAGAGAGAGGTGTTTCCTAGCGAAGTGACCCACTGGTGGCCAATGCATAGGATTTTATGGTCTGAGGTTTGAGGAGGTGGTGTCTGATTTACATAGGGCTCACAGATTTGTTCCATCAGGTATGACGTTTACATAGGGCAGGCAAGGGGAAGGCTGGTCACTCCACCCTAATCTTACAATGCAAATGGACTTTCCAGTTGATCAGCACCATCTTGTCTGCTTCTTATTGTACATATGCCTGACAAAAGGAAGGGAAGATGGAGCCGCCATCTTGAACATGTCTAGTCCTTAGTTCCTGCCACATTCACACGTGCAAGCTCCCAGCTTGCTTCTCTGTGTCTGCCCCTCAACTTTACAGGCTGCTCTTTGTTAGAAAATGATTTGGGACTGCTTTTCATTAAAAAGGAAAGCCTTACCGAGGACTCCCATACCCTTACTATCTGCCTAAGTAATTTATTCTTAACTCCTGTACCAGTGAGAATCAAATTATTGAGAATTGTTGAGAAGCAGAAACTAACTACCTGGATTGTAAACCAAGGAAATGGTACCTGAAAACTGCCAACGGTACCTGAGAATGGAGCTGACACAGAGAAAAGCACAGGTGAGACAGGGAGAAAGAAAAACCAATTTCTGGTGATGGTATTAAATTCTGAGCTCAAGCAGTGTCTCAAGTCAACTGTACCCTTGAATTTTAAATTTCTATAAACCTAGAAATTTGTAAATTCTCTCCCTCTCTTCTCCTTAAACCAATTTGCAACTAAAATATGTTTTACCTATTAACATGGGTAGTATTTGGATAGAATTCTTCCGGGCGGGCGCGGTGGCTCACGCCTGTAATCCCAGCACTTTGGGAGGCCGAGGCGGGCAGATCACGAGGTCAGGAGATCGAGACCATCCTAGCTAACACGGTGAAACCCCGTCTCTACTAAAAAAAATACAAAAAATTAGCCGGCGAGGTGGCGGGCGCTGTAGTCCCAGCTACTCGGGAGGCTGAGGCAGGAGAATGGTGTGAACCCGGGGCGGAGCCTGCAGTGAGCCGAGATCGCGCCACTGCACTCCAGCCTGGGTGACAGAGCGAGACTCCATCTCAAACAAAACAACAACAACAACAACAACAACAACAACAATTCTTCAACTTCGTGGCTGATTTTTATACGTTTCTATTACTAACCAATGCTCCTTAAGATCATCATATTTCTTATGTATGTAAAGTCATTTATATATGAACAACACTTTTGGGTATGCCATGCTCTTGTCTTATATGTCTTTGGGGCGATTTATTTTCTCTCTGAGTGTTTTTAAATGTATTACTCAACATAAATGTGTTTTATTGGCAACACATAAAACACATAAATGTGTTTTATTTGTAGGTTGTTTTACCCTCTGTACTACTTCCAGGCATGATAATGAATTAAATGAAAAGTTTCCAAACATCTCCATTTATGCATATTTCTCTGACCCTGTAAGGTGCTTTTTTTTGTTATTAGGACTCTAGCGCATATTCTCTTTATCCTAAACACATAAAACAGTATCTGGCACCTAATAGGCTTGAAAGTTGTTGGATTTCTTCTTAGACAATATCATCAATCTGTTATTTTTCTCTTCCTATGGCATTTGCTCTTTTTGGACTGTACGCTGTGCTAGAATATCTGTTATACTTCATTCCCTGCCACCACCCTTACTCAAGAAAAGATGTTTCTAAGGTGACTGATATTTTAAGAAATAAAGTTAATAGAACTGTTAGTGACTAGGATAGCATTATGTTTTTGACCTTTCAAAGGTATTTACTGTTGAATAAAAATGATTACTTTCAGAGGAATGAATATCTAATGGTGGAATTTAATTGAAGATAGTTTGATACTATAAACTCTATTTCCAACATAAATTATATTGATAAAGTAACTACGTTTTCACTTTTTCTTTAAAATTGGTATTACTTGCTTCTCTTTCTCCCTGACTTCCACTACAAGTATTTTCCTTTTCATCCTACTCATGGTCCTCCTAGGCCCTGGTTAATCCATAAACCATGTTTCATAAATTAAATTGAATAGCACTTTAAAGCAAAGTATCGTATAAACAGCTTCCTGGCTAAGTAAGAAATAGAGCCAAGATCAATTAGTAATATCTATCATGGGCAGGAGCGACTGTTCACTACTAAATAAATTTGCTTCTCCAGATTTAGCCAAACAGTTGTATGATACCATTAATATTATTTGAACAGTATATATCTACATAGTCATTTAGCAACCAGGATTATAAATTAAACAGAAATTAGAAATTGAAAATCTTCTGCTAACTTTTTTCATTAAAAAAGTGAAAACTCAGAAATATCTTATATTTCACAAAGCTAAAATTTCAGAAATAAAACTGTCCTTTTTAAACTTTTCTTTACAAACCCATCTTAACTCGAATAAGCTTCCAACTAATAAATACTAATAGTTCCTTTTTAAAAAAAAAAAGCCTTTTAATAATATCACAGTGAAAATAATATTTCCTTGAAGGAGGTAAATGGGGGATGCCCTGTACACAGATCTTAACTCTAACTAATTGTAAGTTTAGCTCACTCAATGTAACCAGAATTAGTCAGAAAAATCTGATTTTCTCCTGTCTCAAGCAAACAAAATGTTAAGTTCACTAGTTTAGAAAATATCGACTGGAACTGCTAACAATTAGCTTGTTCTTATTATGGTGAAAATAGATTTATACATTTTATGTACTATATCTAGGTAATATAAAATGGCACATATTATGGAAGCAGGACAATTTTATTATTTAATTGTACCAACAGAAAAAAAAGTGAAATTGACAGAATTTTATTCCCAGTATAGCGGTCGAAAAACATTTTGTTATTATGAATTTGCCGTACATTATTGTCCTTTTTCATACTCCCAAAGGGAAAAAACATATTTGATTGAAAAATAATATATAGTTCTCATAAGGCATGATTTTTCTCATGTCCTAGTTCTTTTAGCCACAATCACGAGGAGCTTCTTGACATTTAGAGAAGCATTTCATTTCCAGAAGGTGGCGCTGTAGAATAGTTAAAAACGCAGGTTTGCTTTCCCTCAGAAACAAAGCAGATATTCCCTTCATTAACATCCAAGTTAACTGCAATTCTAAGAGTATTCAAATTAAATAAATGCCCTACTGCCCTTTCCTTGCTAACATTTTAAAATCACCATTTTCCTATGTCTGTGACCTAATTGTCTAGGCAAACTAGCAGTACAACAATTTAGAAAGTGCAATATTAAAAACAAAATAAGCAAAAATATTAAGGGATATGTTAGAAAAGTAGGCCAGGCTTACATGAGAAATACCAACTTCTGCTTTAACATTTAATAAAATTTATCTATAAATGCATTTGAATAGCATTTCATGCCATATAATTGTATTATACTCAAAATATACGTAAAATCAGAGAATTCATGTGCAAAATCAGATAATTAACTATAGAAATTCATGGATCTTCTAGTGATTATTTAAAATATTTCTGGCATTATTAAAACCTGAGGATTTAATAAGTGTATGGGGAAATTGAAGAAAGAGCAAAGAAATCAGAAAAGAGAGTAGAATTCCTTAATTCTTGAATTTTCTAGAGTTTTTAGAAATCTTTGCCTAGTAAAACATATGTAGCATTATATGTAATAAATTTCGACTACAGTAAATTGATCTGTTTTCTATGCAAAGACAGATGGAGAACATCTGTGATGTTGCCTGAGATTGTGAGTATTTATAGCACATTATTTATGTAAGCAACAAGAACCTATTCAGTGGTCAAATGAAAACTGTTATATTTAGAATGGAAAAGTCCACTTAAAACTGTCAACTTACAGTTTTTGGAAGAATTGGAAATTTTAGTCATAGTCATTTATATACTGGGAGCTTTTTTTTGTCTATTTGAGCCTTGTTGTTTACTACCTGTTATATCACACAAACTACAAATGCATCTCTAGTAAAACTCTAAGCATGTGATAACAGTAGACAATGACTAGAAATATATTTGAAATTCATCATGTGCAATGTATTTAGTGTAGCCTATAGTATCACAAATACATCAATGTGTCCCACTCTTACTTTTATGAAATTATCTTCACAATGCACCATGGTTTAAAATATCTGTTGAAATGGAAGGCATAGATCCATCACTTAAAATTTGAAGAGTCATACTATTATACTTAATCTGTTTTTCTTGAAATACGTAGCACAAATATTTGGATTCTTAAAAATTAATAATAACCATAGCTTGATTTTTGTTAAATTAAGGCTTTTCTATCATCTCAATTTACAATGTATTATAGAAATATGCATACCACAGTCATTTTCAGGATTTGGGAGGATGTCTGCAAATTAAGCTAGTAATTTATCTTAAGAAGAAAGGAATGAAGATACCAAAATTACACGTGACACTTTGTAATATTCATGTTTCTACTAACACACCATCTCTGAATGCAATAGACTCTACTCAAGTATTTTTAAATGTGTAAATGACACTTATTCTGTAAATACTTAAATTAGTTTTTTCCAGAAAAGACATATTCAGAAAAGGAACATTCAGTTAAAAAACTACAGGACATAAATTTTTCAAATATTCATGTTAGAAATTAAGCAGATCAAATATTCCGAGTCATATCAATATTTTTACTTCTCAGGCAAATATAGAAAAAGGTTATTACAATTCTCTGAGTATAACAACTTATGTACAGGATATAACCGAAACTATAGAACTAATACGGTGCAAATCCTTGACACAATTTTGCTCAGTGAGCAAGGTTAGTCTCTCACCCTGCTGTAATCAAGCCCAATATTATCAAATTGACGCAACAGTATATTCTCTGTCAGACAAATTACTCTTCACCCAAGACCGCATAATCCAACAAATCTATAAAGATGGAAATAATATATGACAATAATGTGGAGGAGAAAAACTAATATCTTTTCCTCACCTATCACAAGGCTCATAGCTAAGTCACCTGTAATAAAAGATTAACAAAACGCATATAAATGTATTGAATAAAAGTTTTGTGTGGTGTTGGAGCCTTCAGAAATGAAAACCCAAAGAAATAGACACTTGTATATTTTTATGCTAAATTCAATGAAGAAGTGGCTAGTCGTGCAGGAATGTAGTTGAAGGACAAAAGGATATGTATAATCTAATGGTAATAAACTTGGGGGAACCAGCAAGGCCTGTTTGTTCAAATTCGACTCTGTGTCCCTGTGTCTTCAGAAACATATACATTTCTTTTCTCTATGTATGAGGAGGGTACCTCTCCAAAGAAAAGTCTTATGACCTAGTTTGGAAGGAAGGCAGAGAATTCTTTTACAACCTGCTTCAGGGGAGAAGGGCAGGAGAAGGTCAGAGAGTAAGTTTCCTGTTTCTGCTCTTTCCTTAAATGCCAAAATGCCATATTTTGGGGTAGCATGCCCTGAAGTCCATTAATATAAATTTGGACAGTGACTGTCTCTGGGAGGAAAGGTAGCACTTGTTTTGGAAGACGTATGGGGAAACTTTCCCTGAGATGATGGAAATGTTCCATATCCTGACAAGATAAGACAGGTCTATGCACTTTTCAAAACTCATCAAGCTGTGCTCTTAGATCTATGCGTCTCACTGTGTATAAATTATATCTCAAGAAAAATGATCATATTCAAAGAATAGATTTTTTAAAGAGAACATTTTTAAAAGCTGTGCTACAAAATGTTATGGGAAAGAAGGAAAATTTATCTCCTTGTTGCATCAGCTTTGTCTCCAGTTGGCAAGAAAATGAATAAAGAAATAAATAAGTCGATAAATTAAAAAAACTTATTTGTAACACATATAGTCACGGTAGAAGTAATACAAAACAGATGTGGAAACACAAAAGGCACAGAAGCAGGATCAAGACCTATAGACAGTTGTTAAAAAAAATTGGTGCTTATTATAATCAAGAAGCAAAGGTATGTGAATAAAACACCGATTCCATATTATAGTGGGAGAGTAAAACGTGTGTGTGTATATGTATATATATGCACAGATATTATCATACGAGTCAGAAAGATATAAATACCTCAAGATTTGTTTAGATAAAGACCAATGCAATTTCAGAAGTACAGGAGAAGCTATTAAAAAGGTCTTATCTAAATAACTGAAACCTTAAAAGGTAAAAATAGGCATAAAGGAAACCAGCACAGTGACCGCCACACTCTGGAGTTGTAGCGCAATGAAACTCTTGAAGGACTATAACTATTTATGTGTTTCCCAAATGTCCACAAAGTAATTCCAGCTTGATCATCACTATCTCTTATGTTCTATATTCTAATTATCTGGCCATTATGGTAACACACAATGATTAGTGATAAAACTAGCCAATAACCCATCTGGTGGCTTCAATTATTTTTTTTTTTTTCATTTTAAGACAGCAATTAGCCAAACCTTATCTTCTGCATCTCATTCCTCAGATTGCATGTTTCAGTTTTTCTCTCACTCCAGCAACCCTAGAAGCCATAAAGCAGTGAGCATTTTCTGAGGCTGCTCCAAAGAGACAAACCTGAGTAAGAAAAAAAAAGATGCATCCTAAGAGCCTAGTGCTTAAAGTGGAGAAACATGAGCAGTTTACTTTAATCAACAGATTTGAGAATAGAAGAATATATGTTTTTCTTATTTTATTTTTAAAGAGTTAGAAGAATTTAAAAACCAACCCTCTATTTTTGTGTACTTTGTATTAGTTGTTGAATATTAACTTTACACTCACTTAATGATCTAAGGTAGACTGCTTTCCATTCTTACTGTTTTGTTTTTCTTTTCAGAATGGAACCCTAGACTTTATGAAATCACATTTCCAGAGGTCCATCTATGACCACTGTTTCTTGGCTCTTTACCAAACCATGTGGAGAGCTGTAGGAATCTCGAAGATGTGAATCTGTTTATTTAAATTAATCTAATGATTAGTAGCATTAATATTCAATAGATGACTTGTTTATTTTCATATTCTCTGGGGAAAGTTATTTATAAACATATATATTTTATTATAATTTTTTAATATCAAGTTTTTGTAATATTTGTAATATTCTCATTTTGGACCTGCACCTAAAAATAGTCAGTTTGGGCTGGGCGTGGTAGCTCACACCTGTAATCCGAGCACTTTGGGAGGCCAAGGCAGGTGGATCATGAGGTCAAGAGATTGAGACTATCTTGGCAAACATGGTGAAACCCAGTCTGTACTAAAAGTGCAAAAATTAGCTGGGCATGGTGGCATGTGCCTGTAGTTCCAGCTACTCCAGCTACTCGGGAGGCCGAGGCAAGAGAATTGCTTGAACCCGGGAGGCAGAGGTTGGAGTGAGCCAAGATTGCACCATTGAACTCCAGCCTAGGTGACAGAGTGAGACTCTGTCTCAAAATAATAATAATAATAATAATTTCTTAATTTAAAAAATTTAAATTTTCACTTAAAAATTTAAAAAAAGAAAGAGGCCTGGGCTCAGTGGCTCAGGCCGGGCGCAGTGGCTCACCCCTGTAATCCCAGCACTTTGGGAGGCTGAGACGGGCAGATCACCTGAGGTTGGGAGTTTGAGACCAGCCTGACCAACATGGTGAAACCCCGTCTGTACTAAAAGTACAAAATTAGTCGGGCACATGCCTGACCAGCTACTTGGGAGGCTGAGGCAGGAGAATCACTTGAACTCAGGAAGTGGAGATTGCGGTGAGCTGAGATCGCACCGTTGCACTCCAGCCTGGGCAATGAGTGAAACTCCGTCTCAAAAATAAATAAATAAATAAATAAATAAATAAATAAATAAACAAACAAACAAACAAATAAATGAAAGAAAAAAAGAAATAGTTTGAGTCTATTCTGATTCTATTTTCTATAAGTAACTTTTTAAGAACAATAATTACTTGAATTTATGGCTACTGTAGGAGTTAATACAGTTTTGATCTAATTCTATAACAAAAGTACCCAAAATGCAGCCGTGTAAACAAGACAAAATTTCTCTCACTTGTGTTTTTACTTTCTTTCTTTTATATCTAAGATGACACTGAGAACCTATAATACAGCTTTGCCATGTTCAGCGCAAGGTTTCCTCACTATCTCCCAACTGGTTGATGGTGTGTGTGTTGAGGGCGAGGGAGCAGACAGGAGAGCGCACAGATAATTCTTTTAAGAACACAACTAGAATAATCAGGCATCGTTCCTCTCCATATTTCACTGACTGCAACCAGTAAGGTGCCCACATCTAGTTGAAAGAAAGGCTTGAAAAGATGGCCTTTGGCTAGTTAGCCATCATCAGGAAAGAAGACGGTAAAAAATACTGTGGAACAACTTGCAGTCAATTACCCAAATATCCAGGTATACAAGAAGAGGAAAAGCACAGCTGTCATTTTTCAAGGCAATGATCAAATACCACTGGACAAGATTTTTGACCTCTTCTGCTATGGCAGTGAAATAATTTCCATGATTATCGAGGAAGAATTATGTTATCTTGGAGGAATTTATTGTCCCTTATTACTTATGGTTCCTATTTTCATTTCTCTATGAGATTATTTGTCCATTACTGCTATAGTAACCAAAACATTGTTTTGGTGTAATGTAAGTATTCAATAAATGAATTATCTATTCTAAATATGTATCCATTTTATTCTCAGAAGTATTTAATTACCCTGTAATTATTTTGTAAGAAAGAACTAGAAAATATTCTCTCTTTGGAGCTGCGCATATTTTGTGATGTATATGCTGCAAAACCAGTAGTGGGGCATGGGAGATACTTTAAGTCAAACACAGATTGGCTTCTGCAGGTCAATGCAATTCTCTGAAAACCTTAGTCTGCTTTTGATCTAGTTGCTTCCAGTCAGATCCATGGGCAAATTATCATACCCAAAGACCTAACCCAGGCAGTGTTGCTATGCACGCAGACTATCTTCTTTTATTTACTGGTTTCTTTGCTTAGCACATTCTGCTCTCCTTCGGTTTATGGGTGTCTACTTTGAAGCTACCTGAAAATATTAGTTTAGGCAGGAAAGCATCACTCTCAGCCTAACCTTCGAAACTATAAAGAACTTCAATTAACTGAGAGGTTTTAATGTGGGCACTTGAAAAAGTCAGAGGCCTATTTACTGCCGGCCCTCCTTTTTTAGAGTCACCTCTAGCCCGAGTACGTATTGTCACAGAACTTTGCACAAGAATCTTCCTCAGCAGTTCACAGAGGTTACGTGTTCTTCTGGCAAGTAATCTCCCTTTTTAAGGATTGCAAATGACAGTTTTATGAAATGCTTTATCATAAAGTAATGAGAATTACTAACTTTCTAGCCTGCAATATCTGTGTTCTCTCCCACTCTCAATCCTTAGACCAAAGCTTCATTTTTTTTATTATGCTAGAGTACACTTCTAGTAACCAAGTCATGTTTCATTTAAGATTAGATGTCATTAAAACATAGAAAGAGACCCTAAAACACAGCATTTTATACTAGATAAAAATTTATGTCTCACTAAATATCAAGTGGTAGGTTACTTGTTGTTGGCAGGACAACTCTTCCGTTCTCAATATGTCACTTCTGTCTCTGGATTCAGGGAAACAGCTTTTGCCATGCCTGACACAACTATCAGAAAGAGGGAAAGGTTCCAGAATATTGCATGCTTTAATCTTTAAGGACAAAGCCTTAAGTACCAAATATGTTCTGTTTAAATTCCATGGTCTAGAGCTTAGACACATGGTCCTACCTCTCAAAAGGGAGGTTGAAAAAGGAAGTCTTAAGTTGGATGGGCATGTGACCAGTTGAAACTCTATTGTGGAAACAGGTTAAGAAAAGATACGGGGTGACAATTCTCGGTTTGATGCAATACTGTTATTCAGAAACAAATCTAAATATTTAAAGCAGGAAAGATTCATTTAACACAGAGAATAAACTACTTTTTGCAATAATGATAGGAAGAGCCACAGTTGTGGGCTCTAGGCTGGAACACAGCACAGGAGAACTGACACACCCAGGGACTGAGATCACCACTGGGACTATTGCAGATGAACAATCCACTATAAAAGCAATCTCAGAATTAGAAAGCTGGGAATCAGCTATCACCACTACTTTTGCCACAGCTGCTTCTCAACACCAAGGGAAGTGAAGAATAGATACTGCAGTATTGCTTTGAAAAACAAGATCTTCCTTGCCAGTACACGAGAGGGAAAGAAAAAAAGAAAAGAAAAGAAAGAAGGAAAGAAAGAAAGAGAGAAAGAAAGAAGAAAAAAGAAAGAAGACAAAGGAGACAGGAAGGTGGAAGGAAGGAGGGAGGGAAGGAAGGAAGAAGGAGGGAGGAAAAAAAGAAGAAGAAAAAGAAAGAAAGAGAAAGAAAGAAAAGAAAGAAAGAAGGAGAAAGAGAAAGAAAGAGAAAGGAAAAGAAAGAGAAAGAAAGAAAGAAGATAGAAAAAGAAAGAAAGAAAAGAAACAGAAAGAGATAAAGAAATATACTCCTTGCTTGTACCTTTTACCTGTACAAATACAACTTCTTGGTAGAACCAACTCTCATCCTGACTCTCGGCTGCAAAGGCATATGGGAAGTGTCATTTTTAGATTTTCAGAATCTAGAGTAAGGCATGTCCACTTGGCAGAGGGTCAAAACATCCACCTCTGCTCCTGCTGAACAATGGGCACCACAGAAGAGCATATATTATTAAAGCCTTATTTTTTCCAAATTAATAATGAAAATGACAGATGATTGTTCAATCTACTCTTTTATATTGTATATATTTATGGTGTACAACATGATATTTTGACATATACATTGTGGAGTGGCTAAATAAAGCTAATTACTATATACATTACTTCCCATACCATTTTTTTTTTGTAGTGAAAACACTTAAAATCTGTCTTACAAATTTTCAAGTATACAATACATTGCTTTAACCATAATGACTATGTTGCACAATGGACCTCTTGAACTTAGTTCTCCTGTCTACCTGAAATTTTGGTATCCTTTGACCAACATCTCCCCAGTCTCCCTCCCACAGCTTCTGGTGACCACCATTTTACTCTCTGCTCCTATTAATTTAACTTTTTTAGATTTCACACATGAGTAAGATTATGTAGTATTTCTTTTTCTATGTCTAGCTTATTTTACTCAAGATAATGCCCTCCGGATCATCCATGTTGGCGCAAATGTCAGGATTTCCTTTTTTTTTTTTTTAAGGGCGGGAGAGGATTCTATTATATATATGTACTCATTCTACTTATATAGCAGTAGATGAATCTCTCATCTATGTTGATTCTTTGATAATGAATATCGTCTTAAAATGATTGGTTCAAGTTTAGTACAAAATGTTGAGGCTCAGGTTGTATAAGACTTAGAAAAATCGATATAAATATTTTGTTTATGCTAGACATTAAATAGTATTTTTGGAATGTCTAAAAGCTCTATCTTTATAAAGAATTTCATATTCTATTGATTCATTTTTTCCCTCTTAAAGTGAATGAATAAGCAATTTACTTTTTAATAGAGCAGCAATGCAGTTAGCACTTAATTTCTAAATAACTTGATCAAAACATTTTCCTTTCTCTGGCAGTTTCCTATATTTGAAAGAGAAATATTCAAGTAGCTGCATTATTACCTGTATCTGCCTTCATTTGTTTTTCACCCAGGTAGTAACTAGGTTCGGGTCACTCTATTAGGCAACAGGGTGGGAAGTTGCTCTTGTAATCTTCATGATAGCAGAAATCTTGTCGGTCTTTTTCACCACATTATAACCTGTACTAGGTAGCTGCTAAGTACCCAGTAGATACTCTATCAGAACTTTTGACTTAAAAAGTGAGATCCTGCTTTAAAATGGGTATATACAAATAACATTAAAAAGAGAATGAGATGGAAAATGTGGAGCATGTATGAAATATGCAGGTAGCCAGCTTCGGGGTCTGGGTCACAACTCTTTATATTAAACTTTAAAGACAACTCTGCTAAGTTCTACCTACTGGCAGAGCGAGTGTTGAAAAATCTTTCCCAGGTTTCGAGCAAGACTACAGGCAGATGAGTAAGGACACTTGTAGAACTCATCTTGCAGTGTGTGTTCTGAAAATTGAGGAATTTTGAACAAAGAAATCACATTTGCTTTAGAGTGGGGGGAAATAAGCCTATTTAGAAAAAAATAGAAGGTTATATATAATTTGACATTGATTTCTTAATGTAACAAGCAAGAAAGTTTTAGAAGGCTGTTCACCATGGAACTTAAAATTTTGACTCTTACAATAAAATGCATAAACAAAATAACCTAATTAATGTTAACATAATAGACAGGAAATCAAATAAACTTGCACGTAAACATTGATTTTTAAATAAAATTTGCATTTCATTGTTGAAGCTTGATCATTCTGTCTTAAATACTTTGCCTAAAAAACGGAGTAGACTACTACCAGGTAAGACAGAAGGCTTTGTGTGTTTAAATTTTAGACATAGGACATAGCCATGAAAAAAGTAAATTTTAGAAGAAGCTTAATTGTTCTCTGGATTTTATTTTAATTAAAAGTGCTACTAAAATAGGTAAGCGTACATGTTAAGCAAGGAAAGATAAATTATTGAAGAACATATTTTCAAAGGAAACAAAGTACAAGGTACATTTTTGTACCCTTTCTTGTTAATGAATAATGACTATCAAACTGTTCTAACCTTAATCTTTGAGTTTTATCAAGATTAGATTGTTCCTTTTCAACCCAGTCCAGCTCTCATAAGTCCTCCTGAAAAATGTATGAGCCTACTTTAATGTGTGGTAAGAGATTTGTAGATCCAAAATGTTTCAATTTTTGAAGGGACTATTTTTCTTAAATAGTGGCTCATTTTAGGAATTAATTTAAAGAGATTTTTAAGGGTTTAGCATAAATGTATTTGGAAAAAATCACTACATGTAAAGTTATTTTTAAAGTCATCTATCTCCCCAGAGTTCCAAAGCTAAGAATTGCAGCTCAGGTTATTATTAAAATATAAAGGTATGATTGTTTTCCTGTGTGACATCACCCTCCACTTCTAGGTCAAGCTCCCATTTTTCTGTGACCTCTCACACCTTTGTAGCTTTAGAACAGAAGGGGTACAAGGGTCAGGGGATGGTGTTGTACAATTGTGAACCTTCAATACTATAAATATCTTTCCATGAGTAGCCCTGAAAGTGATATAATTCTCAACTTTCTCTTCTCTACCCTTCCATGTAAGAAATCATTCTTACAGAAAACTACTATAAATCTAAAAAGAAGAAAAAAGAAGAGAAAAAAACAGCAACAACAAAAGGATCCTACGACATATTTTGGAAACAAGAGTAATCCAATTTATTTTTATTTCCTAAAACTTTCTCCCAGTAAAGCAGGCCTACTTCTGGCAGATCCTATTTTACCTGGATTTAATTATATAATTTCTTGTGTTGTCTCAGAGTCTCCACACATTGTTCAATTTCAAGAGCAGTATACCAAAACAATAAACCACCCACATCTACTTGCTAATCTTATAAATATTGTTTTATTTTGCTGTTCCTTTTCAGATGTTATTAAAAATATTTAAATTGAAATTTACTATGCATCCTAAGGCTAAACTAAAAATTAATATCTTTCTAAATTAGAAAAAAATGAACTTATTAAATTCTAATTAAATAAAGAAAATACCTCGATAGGTGAAACTCACAGAATGGCTAGAATACCTTTTTCAAGGGCTCACCTCTGCTCCTGCAAATTGAGACCACTGGTTTCACCACATCCAACCACCTCCACGTTTAAATGCATAATAACCTTAGCTGTAATTTGAGGGGAAATATGCCCACCTTACACATTTTTAAAAAATATATTTTCGTTTGTATATTGCTGATCAGTATCTTTGGCCCGAATTCTGTTTAGCACAGAGAAGCTCATTTATGGTTGGGTTTTTGGCTTAAATCCTCTATTCATTATGTCAATGCAAACCTTTTTTCTTTTTTTTTCCATATAACCCTTCAGGGTTTGATGGAAAATAGATTTCCAAACACGCCCAACCTGCCAAACAGGAATAAAAGCTTCCAGTGGAAGCATCACGTTCCCTTGAAATAGAAGTGTTTTAGCTTGTGTGAGCGTATTTGACTCTTGAAAAGAAATGAGATCGTGTTTCATTTCAGGAAGATATATGCGTCAGGTAAGAAACTAAAACAAATAAACTTCCTATACTTAACTACATAGCATGATATTTCGACTCAAATATATTATTGAGGCAAAATAGCTCTTTAATTATACTGTGATACAAAAATGGTAGATGAATTTAAAATCAGAGTGAGTTTGTGCCATATTTTGAAACAGAGATATCCAGCTTGTAAATATTCCCCAAAATCTACAACCAGAAGATAGATCTTTCCTGAATAAACTTATTCTTTCTCTCTTTCCCCCCTCCCTCTGCCTCTTTCTTTCTCTCTCTCTCCAGCTAGCTGACACCACAGATTGCATTTGATAACATACCATTTCATCAGAGCCTTGAGCTAATTATTTCATTCATGTCTACTGGTAGATTTTTCTTAGTGTACACTTTTAGTGTCTTGAATCTCGTGCCACTAGCTTGTAGACGGCATCCCCATGATGGCTCCCAGAGGAAATTCTTGTTAAATGGAAGGTGGAATTTCTTAACATATGGGATCCAAACTAGAAGCAACTCCTGCTAGGGAGAAGCTCTGTTCTATTTCCATTTCCTCCCTCTGTGCTGCGGTCCGTCTCTGCTGTTTGCCTACCTCTTTATTCGTAGCTCACTGAGGCCAATGTGAACCTATTGTGTGTCCCAGTTGCCCCCTTATGTTCTTGTCTGATGAACAATTCTATTTCTGAAGCTTAGGATTAAAGTTAGAGATAAGATATACCCCATTCTTTCAAACTAATCATAATATATAACTTGTACATAGTGATCTCCTTTTTAAATGCATTAGCTAATGTAATTATTGCATCTTAGGAAACAGACTCAGAGAGCGAGGTTAAAGAACACATACCCCTCATGTCATTAATAATGTTATTAAGAGCTTGGATTTTAATCAAGGTTTTCTTATTCCAACTCAAGGGCTCTTTCCATGACATGTTATTTATTCTCCACGCATGTCTATCTGCCATCTGAACCAGATAAAAAGCAAGTTTGTGAATTGAGCATAAGAAAATAGTGAGCATAAGAAAATAGCTAACCATGAGTGAGCTGACAAAAAAAAAAAAAAAGACAACTTCTACCTCCTATAGAAAAGGTTCATAGTAGGTGAGTCTTCACTGATTCATTAAATAAGCAAGATCCTGTGATGCCATTGTGAACCCCAAGGCTATGATTTCACTTTTTCTTCTGCCTGAGCTGGAATCATTTTGGTCGTGAGGAAGCCCTCTTCAAGTAAGCAAAACATGGTACAATTCTCTCAGAGCTTAGGAAGAAAACGTGATGAAGTAATCATTTCCAATCTAGAAAAGCATTGTATTGTATTTCTAACTAAATTCTTGCTATTTTCCAAATGTATGATCTGATGAAATGTTATACAGATAATCATAGCAAAATATGATTAAATTGTTTAGGCATAAATCCATTTTAACTGTTATCAGTTCTTAGCAATAGACCTTTTATGACAAAACTCTTGCATTTTAAATTATTATGATTTATTTTTCTGTTGGCTGAAATATTTTCAAGAGTTTTTCAGCTATAAAATAAGAGTGATGTGTATCTTTGAATTTCTTATGCAAAAATATGTATTTTTCTTGGCAACCTTATTTTTTATCTCAAAGTTTTTCTAATTTTATTGTGGTTTTTCACTGTGCAAGTTATTTAAAAATGTTTTTTAAGTTTAAAAACATGAGTTCTGTAAGTTATCTTATTTTTACTGATTTTGACTACATTGGGGACAGAGAAAACAGTCTGTACAATACTGACTTTGAATTATATTAAAATTAGCCAAATATATGATCATTTCTCATAAGCCATCTTGTCCTTATAAAGGTATAAATTCCAATACTGGATACAGTATCTTATATATGTTCATTGAATTAAGCTTGTTAATTGTATATTTTTGACTGATCACTCTACAAATGATGTGAGATTACTATTACTTCCATTATAAATGTGGCTATATCAGTTTCTCCTTGTAGCAGTATAAACTGTTGCCATTTAAATTTCAAATGAATTATTTTTAAGTATAAATCTGTGATATGCACCTGGTGAATTGACTCTTTACCTTATAAAGTGTTATTCTTTACCTCCTGAATTACTTTTTCCAATAGGTTCGTTTTGTCTTTTCAATGTAATGACATCAGTTTTTTGTTGTTGTCGATATTATTACAAATTGCCTGTGATACCTTTTTCGTCTTTTAAATTTTAAGCAATACTTATCCTTTAAATTCTGGTATATCTGTAACAAATCTCATTTAGCTTTTTTTCTTAATAAAATGTAACAATCTATAGATTTTATATGACATAACCAGACAATTCACATTTATGTGTTTCTGATATATACCTTTTCATTTCTTCATCTTAGAGAACATTTATATTTGTGCTTCAGCTGAAGATAGGACAAGGCAATTGTTTGTCTCCAGCTGATTGAAATCAGTGCCACCCTTTTCTCATCTTCTCACTTACGGAACTTCTCCCAACTTGATTGATGTTTGTTGTTTTTGTTGTTGTTTTCATTCTTTGCTTCCTACCGGTAGAAAATATACCCTCTATTATCTGAATATACATGTATTATCTAAAAATTTAACATGTATTCTTCAAAAATCAAAATTTATATCTGTACTTTCTCAATAGAAAATGTTTTTTAAGTTGGATTGCTCAACCCCAACTTACATAGTATTATAGTCTAGTATTTCATTATATCTTACTTATTTTGCTTTCCAGATTAGAAATTGTTATTATTGTTTATATAGTCAACGTTAGTCCAGAATTATCCACGTATTTACTATCATGTTCACTCACCTCCCCTTCTGGTATTTTTCAGACCTTCCCTGGGATAATTTTCCTTCTACTCTTAAGCACATTCTTTAAAAATTTCCATTAATGGTAATGTCCTAGAGATAAACAGGTTATGAGAACACATTTTTACTTTGTTCTGCTTTTCAAAATGCTGTTTTGTTGAGTATTGGCTTATATTCTTCATATTTCCACCTCCCGCTGAGATCACGTTGGCTTCCTCCTTTGTTGTGATATTTTTTGCTTAGGTTCCATTATGATTACTTTCTTGGTATTGTGCATCTTTGAATAGGAGTAATTTTTTTTTTTCTGGAGACAGCTACTTTTTGGAATATTGTATGTGAGAACAAAAGAAGAAAATCAGCTGTGTGAGCAGACAGGCTGAATTCTGATCTATTTTTCTGAATACTTTCTCATCAACACTCAACCTTTTGAGAAAACTCTCTCTGGGCGTGGGGAGAAAAACCATCTACCTGGCTCACAGTGCATAGTGTCTTCTGTAGATTGAGATCAGCATCACCACTCTTTTCTCCTCTGTCTTACCAGACTAATAACCCACTGTAGAAGCCTGCATGGGGCATCTGAACATTTGCTCACTCAGCAAGCCTTTTCCTCAATGATTTTGAGAATTCTCTTTCTTAGAGTCTTCATGATAACATTCTCTTCTCATAGTACTGAAATAATTTTATAAGCATCAGCTTGATTATTTCATGGTTGTGTGTGTTTCTATATTTTTGTGTATACATGTGCGTGGCTATTTATTCAAACTCCAAGGAGAAAAACCTTCTCCAGAATAATTAGTGGCAAATTTTTCTTTAATCTGTACTTCTGCCACTTGGGCTCTGGTTAAATCCCCTTCTCAAATATGTCCTTGATACTTGGTTTCTGATGTGAGAAAATTATTTTTCACATTTTAGGTATGTTCATTTATGCTTCATCATTTAAGGAATCATGAATAAATACAAAATTAAATGCAAAACAAATGTTTTTGTATGATTTATTGATAAACAAAAGGATTCAATCTTTAGCAGATGGAAAAGCTAAATATATATAGTATAAATGTAAAGTTAATATTAGTTAATAAATTGAGCTGGTTATAAAATTCCAGAAGCCTCCATTAATTCATCTTAAAACACACACTTTTACCTGATTCATAAATGCCTATATCTATTATAACTTATGTAAAAATTTCAATAAAATGGTCTTGATGCTTTTAGCCTACAGTTTTCTGTTACTAATATTGCCTCTCTTGCTTCATTTTGCATGTCTCTGTGTGTGTGTCTGTGTAGGTGTGTATGTTTGAGTAATATATTTGGTAATACTTTTAACTTTGCTTTAATTTTTTTATGTGTTTCTGTTACAAAAACTATGCAATAGGCTGGGCGTGGTGGCTCAAGCCTGTAATCCCAGCACTTTGGGAGGCTGAGGTGGGCAGATCACCTGAGGTCAGGAGTTTGAGACCAGCCTGGCCAACATGATGAAACCTCATCTCTACTAAAAATATAAAAATTAGGCAGGCATGGTGGCAGGCGCCTGTAATCCCAGCTACTCAGGAGGCTGAGGCAGAAGAATCGCTTGAACCCGGGAGGCAGAGGTTGCAGTGAGCCGAGATCGTGCCATTGCACTCCAGCCTGGGGAACAAGAGCGAGACTTCATCTAAAAAAAAAAAAAAAAAAAAAAAAAAAACACTACGCAATAGAAAATTTATATTTGCATAATGTTCTTAATCCTATTAACTGCTTATATTTATCATCATTAGATGTCAGTGATCCTACAGGGCCCATTCTGTTTGCTATTCTTAAAACATACTTTTAATTTCCTATATTCCTGCTGAATATAATGTAAATGTTATCACATTTTGATTCCTCTAGTGTTTTGGAAAATACGGATGGTATTTTTCTCCAACTAATAGTTCTATAATACTTAATAACTCTATATATACAAACAAATATATATGAACTTTTAAAAAAGCATTGATAGAAACAAAACAGCATATTTTATCCCCTTTCCTCTTGTAAGACAGAACACTTAACATGCCTTTCAGTTTTAGTTGAAATATAATCTAAGACTCCACCTTGCTCATTAATACGGAGTAAATTTTGAAATTATTAAAATATATTTGCAATCATTATTTAGACCTAGTCAATGTTAACTGGTTTTTAAAGAGTTACTATTAGTTCCCTATTATTGAGTTCTTATTTTGATTAAAATTTTGTGGCCGGATGCATGTTACTCATTAGAAGTGCACAAAGGTTTGTGAGCACTTACATATGTTCAAATATGTTTTAGCTGCTCTCACATACAAAAGACAAACTGAATGTTTGGTATAGAACATATTTACTTTAGAACTATGTAGACATAGTTCCATTATCTTAAGGCAGTTTGTCTTTACAAGTAAACTGTATGTCCAGATAGATTTTTCTTTCTTCTCCTCCTTTTTCTTCCTCCTCTCGTCCTCTCTCCCTCCCTCCCTTCTTCCTCCTCCTCCTCATTCTCTTCTTTTTCTTCATTTTTTTCATGTTGGGTAAATGCTTCATTTTTAAAATATCACAATACACATATATTTTCTGGTTATGTATATATGTACCATATACATATGCAGATGTAATATGCATATTCAGGGTTTTCTTTTTTTGCCATCTTCAATGTTGGTTGTTTCTACTTTTTCTGATTTATTTTTAGGATTTCCATAATACAGTGATAGTTCTCTCCTTTCTATGAATGTTACAATTGTAGTATCACATCTTATACTTTCTCTCACTTGTTCCTCTTATTCTGTATTCATAGTATTTCTCAATTTTTAATTCAAAATTTAGTTTTCTGATGTATCAATTCTGCTTTAAGGAATATTTTAAATATGTGACTGAATTTTCAGTTTCTTCACATCTCAGTATCTCATTAAGCTCCATTTTATTGGCATCTCTCTCTTACCCAATTTCTTCTTTTTTTCATTTTGTTTTGCTACTTTTTAATTTTATAGATTATTTAATAGAACACATGATTTCTTAATTTTATAGATCACATATAACTACTGTTTTTATAATAATTACTTCGTTATACATAGCATATATTTTTCAGAAGTAAGATCTTCTTTTATGTCTTGATAAGCATTCACTTTATTTCTTGCAGAATATTTGCACATCTATATTAACACATTTTTCCCAATTACTCGTCCTTTGAATTCTCTCCGTTGATGACTCATAAATAATGTCTGCAGCTTATCTTGCCTGGTTCCTCTCATTATTGACCTGTTAGAGCATGTTTCTCAGATTTTCAACTAAAGGGATGGTAAATATGAACAGACTTCATCTGATTTCTGGTCACTAGCAGTCACTTAATTTCCCTAAATTCTGGACTTCATCTATATTGCTTTCATGTCCAATTGACTATTTTGAGAAGGTATACGTATCTAGGTAATTCTAGCCAATATATAGTTCTTCTTTTGCCAGAAGTGGACTGTTTTTGTACTTTCTCATGGTATTCTTTGTATCCCAAACATTCATCCCCCGTTCCTACATAAGGCAAAACAAATGCACAGTCACCATAGATGCGACATTTTGCATTAATGCAAATTTTAGTCTTAGAACGCATGTAGAAAGCTAAGTGGCCATGTGGCCCTCGTTGCTACTGAAAGGTGTTGCTGTGCAACAGATCAACCTTTTTAGGGCGGTGGAGGGAATTGATCCGACCCTATATCTCCCAATTCAGCAGTAGCAGGAAAATGAACCATTTCTTTACCATTTTTTCAGGCTGGGATATTTATTCTCCTCCAGATACAAAGCAAGGGCCAGCCAGTACGTGTGGATTTTTTCCTTCCATTTCTGTTTAATCTGTTTTGACTTACATATGATAAAAATTTAGTTGACTGAATGGATGTGAGTCTTTGTGGCTGGTAATGCTATACTAAATGAATTTTTTTGTTTGCTTATTCAATTCATAAAATATTTGCTTAATTTTTTGAGTTATGTTACCAGCCAGATACCATTCTACAGCAAGTCAACTGTATTGATGCTAAGAACCTTGATTTTTATTGTTATTATTATTATTATTATTCTAAGATTAGAGATATCATTAAGGATATTATTTCCCGAAACCACAGTCTATTTGACCAGCTTTTAATTTCATAATTTGTAACCTTTTTCAAGTTTTTACAAAGTTTTCTGAATTTTTCTACCTATCTGTTCTTTCATTCAGCCTTCCCATACTAATTCATTTAACTCTTAGACTACATTGATTTTTAGATGAATTCCCACTGTTGTGCCTCCTATGCAGTGAATCATATGACATAATTCAGATACTTGTTTTAAATAGTGAAAATAAAATGTGACTATTCAAACAGTGCGTATTAGCCATATTTTAAAAAATAATTTTATGTGGTATTTATCATTGTGTGTGCTGTGTTCTCAGAAGCATTAAAATTACCAGTGTATTCAACTTACCATTGGTTTTACCTACATTTGCCTTCCAAAAAATTTCTAGATCTTTCTCTAAATCATATTCTTATCAAATATATCATTCACCATAACAATAACTTTGTCAAAGATTCAGTCAAAACTTAGATTTCTTTCTTTTTTTTTTTAAACGAGTCTCACTCTGTCACTCAGGCTGGAGTGCAGTGGTGCATATCAGTGCTCCAACCTCCACCTCCTGGGTCAAACAATTCTCATGCCTCAGCCTCCCAGGTAGCTGGGATTACAGCCGTGCACCAACACACCTGGCAAATTTTTTTATTTTTAGTAGAGATGGGATTTTGTCGTGTTGGCCAGGCTGATCTTGAACTCCTGGCCTCAAGTCTATCCTCCTGCCTCGGCCTCCCAAAGTGCTGGTATTATAGGCATAAGCCACTGTGCCAGCTGAAACTTAGATTTCTTAAGAACCTATATCCTCATGCTAACAATTACATTAATATTAAACATCATTAAGTAGGTATCTGTTCATATTTTTTATATTTTGCATAATTAATTCACCTATAATTTTTTTTTTGGTGAAGAACATCCACATGTTTCTAGCCACTAGAACAGCAATAGATACATTGGGGTATATGTAGTTTCTCTCCCCTCTCCTGCATCTGGGCAGAGGGCAGTAATGAAACATTATCTCCCCTAGGTTTTCCTCACCCATGCAAGTCTTCTCAAACCATGTCCTGTAAAGTGACTACCATGTAAGGAGATTTCATTTAAGAGCTAAAACTATTTACCACTTTGGTTTCAGAACAATATTAGAGTTTTGCAAAGAAGAAACTGTTATGGAATTATTTTTTTCTGCTACTTACTTCCATTCACAGTCAAATACTCATAAAAACAAGGGTAATCTTTTGCATGAGTGGAAAATTTTGCTGCATTACATTGGTAACTAACAATAATGCTTACGCAAAATGGAAATAAAGATGACAATACACATTATTTTATTATTATCAGTTAAAATACATAGAATCAGTTAAATAAAATAGACAAAAATTAATGGATTACAGGATACATCCAAATAGCAATTATAAAATGATGTGGCTACTATTTGTCAGACACTGACAAGTTACCCTTTTTTCTTTTTTTTTCTTTTCTTTTTTTTTTTTTTTGAGATGGCATCTCTCTCCGTTACCCAGGCTGGAGTGCAGTGGTGAGATCTTAGCTCACTGCAACCTCCACCTCCTGGGTTCAAGCAATTCTCCTGCCTCAGCCTCCCATGTAGCTGGGATTATAGGCGTGAGCCACCACGCCCGGCTAATTTTTGTATTTTTAGTAAAGACAGGGTTTCACCACGTTCGTCAGGCTAGTCTTGAACTCCCGACCTCAGGTGATCCACCCACCTCAGCCTCCCAAAGTGCTGGGATTACAGGCGTGAGCCACTGCGCACAGCCCGACAAGTTTTTCTTATATAATACTTATTAACACTATGGAAGGCAGTTATTAATATCTCTATTTTTATTAATAACAAATTTGAGATGTTAGAAATGTTTACTAATTTACTCAGAGTCATGCAGCTATTAATGAAGAGTGAAGATAAAACTCTCTTGAGCCCATCTTTTTTTTTTCTCTCTCATTAACCCCTGTTACCTTTGACTAAATGGTGCTGAAATTCTCCTTTAGTTTTGTAGAGTTATGCTGAACTTAGGGAATAACATTAAATGTGGCCCAAGGACTACTACTGTTTTCCAGGAAAATATGCAGTGTCTTAGTTCCCAAGTGAGGTAAAACTTATCAGTTAAACCAGTCCCAATGTTTATTGGACCAGTATTCTATAAAATGTAGGCTAGCTATACAATGATTTATAGTTTTACTCTAATTCTAGACAACTTAAAATAACAGAAAACAGTCTATTGTGGGTACTTTATGGTTAAAAGATATAATGCTTTATAAATATAAATCCTCTTAAGGAATAGTTTCATATTCTAAAAATGTAACTTTGACATGCCTGAAGTTGTTTACTAACATACCAACTCCTTCTATTATTAAAATATATAAATTTTAAAAGGTATTTAAATTAAAACTATAATTTTACGAACTACATCTGAATTGATTAATATTTTTTCTCATAAAAGCAAGAAGAGTGACAGTATCTCAATTTGTAAAATATACAGTGGGACACATTCTTTCACTTGAGATTTAATCTATGCAAGATGTTTTGCTGATTTTTTTAGGCTTCCTTTACCCTCTTTTTGTAAGGAAGACTTGGCTCTCCCTTAGGACTCTGTTCTTTTGTGACACTCTAGTGGAAGCTGTTCATAGTCCCATGCCCCTCATACCAAGGAATAGGAGACAGGCCCACCACATTCTTCTATATGGCTGTTGACTACCAGGCCCCTCCTTTTCAACACAGCATAAAATTCCATTCCTTAGAGTCCCCAGACATCCTTCGCTACTGCCCCATGTCTCTTCTACTTGCTGACCTCCTCTGACCTTGTTCCTCCGCATCTGTTAGAGACTTTCCTGCTAGTTACACTTGGCTCAGCATTTTCATTTCACACTCTAACTCCAGGCTTCCCAGAGAACTTCAAAGCCATTCAATCATGATTTTTCTAAATAAGGTCATTTATTCCTTTTAGTAATAAAATACTCATGTTTTTCCCTAGGCCCATGGCAAACAAAATAAGAGACTGCGTTTCCAGCCTTCCTGTTGTTATACATTCAGGGCAATGAGATGTGAGCAGAAGTGATATATGCAGGTCTCATCAGGTCCTTAAAAGGAAGCAGCTTGCTTTTCACTTATTTTCCTCTTACCAGGGCCACAAGTGGACAAAGTGAGATGGCAGTGGCTTATTATTTTTCTCCTACCTCTCAGACTATTCTGTACTTTTCTTTTTGGGGTCAATCCATTATATACTGATTGTCTCTTATACTGAGATTTTATTCTCATATTGATATCTCTTCTTAATCTCTTAACCGTCTTTAAAAAAGACTTATGGAATAAACCATAAGATATGTCACCTCAATTCAAGACCCACATGTAATAACTGCTTATTCGGCATCTTCACATAGATTTTGTACAAGTCCTTCAGTTTCATACATCCAATGAATCATGCTACCTAATACTCTTTAAATTGATGATATTAGCAACTACACAAAATAAAGGTACAGCTTAATGTGCTATTAGAAATTGAACAAACTTGTAATCACCTCCCATGTCTAGAAATTTCCTAACATCCAGAAAGCCCTGCTTACTCTCCCAAACACAATGCCCTTTGTCTCCCCATGAGTAAACACTCTTCTGATATCACTTCTGTACTTTTCTATATAATTTCTTCAAGCAAGTGTTTATTCCTAAATTGCATGGCTTTATTTTCCCTTATTTTGGGGAGTAGTATTTTTAAGTATTTTTTAATTAATGTATTCCTGCTCCGTTTATTTTTTTCTAGAAATTTACTTGTTAAAGAAACCATATTATTTTTTCTGTACAGATTTCCACCTGATTTAGTTTAATGTGTACCTCTGTCCTCCATATTTCCTGGGCCTTGGTAATTAAATCTAGAGGCTTAATCAAATATATTCAAGTTAGAATTTTTGGCAAGACTTCTTCATGGTAGTTTTGAATTCTTTATCAGGAAGCACAAAACACCTGGCTGCTTCTCTTCTTGTGATATTAGCAGTCACCAATGCTTGATGCCTAGTTTTTATAATTCATTAGTTTCTGTAAAATATTGATAATGCAATTTCATCACTTTCTTCATTTATTTATTTCTCTTCTACAAAGAGAAACTTTGCCTCATCTATTACTTAGTTATCCAGTGACAGCTTTATTTTAACAATGACAAAATAAATGTTTGATTGTACACTTTATTAACCCTGCATTGTACAAAGACAATTAATTCATTGTGCATGAATGTGTGTCATGTGAATTCATGGATATAAACATATTTGTATTAGCTAGTAAGAGCCTCTTTGAGTTAGCTCACAGGTTCTATTGATGTACCCTCATATTCTTTGATATCTTTCTTGTGAACTAGAGTCACAGGACATCCTAGCTCATCGTATACATTATCTGCCCAAACCTGAAATCAACTGGTCCACCAAGCAACCCTGCTTTCTTTTACTAGGTAATGATGTTCCAGTACCACAATCTGAATGTGAGGAATGCTCATTGTACTGAAATGAACATTACTTCTAGGCCTTCCAAGGAATGAAGTTATAAGAAATGACACTCACACACACACACACCCCCATCCATAGACACACACAAACACACACACACAGAGATAGAGAGAGAGAGAGTGAGAAAGAGAGAGATGCTGGGGATGCTAGAATTACTCATTTTTTAAAATCCAGCATTACACACAAAATATTATGAGGATGAAAATTCTAATACAGTCACTTATATGATTAACAAAAAGAGTTTTCTTAAAAATGCATACATTATTTTCCAGCACCATTTATTAAATAGGGAATCCTTTCCCCATTGCTTGTTTTTGTCAGGTTTGTCAACGATCACATAGTTGTAGATATACGGCATTATTTCTGAGGGCTCTGTTCTGTTCCATTGGTCTATATCTCTGTTTTGGTACCAGTACCATGCTGTTTTGGTTACTGTAGCCTTGTAGTATAGTTTGAAGTCAGGTAGCGTGATGCCCCCAGCTTTGTTCTTTTGGCTTAGGATTGACTTGGCAATGCGGGCTCTTTTTTGGTTCCATATGAACTTTAAAGTAGTTTTTTCCAATTCTGTGAAGAAAGTCATTGGTAGCTTGATGGGGATGGCATTGAATCTATAAATTACCTAGGGCAGTTTAATAAATGGTGCTGGGAAAACTGGCTAGCCATATGTAGAAAGCTGAAACTGGATCCCTTCTTTACACCTTATACAAAAATTAATTTAAGATGGATTAAAGACTTACATGTTAGACCTAAAACCATAAAAACCCTAGAAGGAAACCTAGGCAATACCATTCAGGACATAGCCATGGGCAAGGACTCCATGTCTAAAACACCAAAAGCAATGGCAACAAAAGCCAAAATTGAAAAATGGGATCTAATTAAACTAAATAGCTTCTGCAGAGCAAAAGAAACTACCATCAGAGTGAACAGGCAACCTACAGAATGGGAGAAAATTTTTGTAACCTACTCATCTGACAAAGGGCTAATATCCAGAATCTACAATGAACTCAAACAAATTTACAAGAAAAAAAACAACCCCATCAAAAAGTGGGTGAAGGATATGAACAGACACTTCTTGAAAGAAGACACTTACACAGCCAAAAAACACATGAAAAAAATGCTCATCATCACTGGCCATCAGAGAAATGCAAATCAAAACCACAATGAGATACCACCTCACACCAGTTAGAATGGTGATCATTAAAAAGTCAGGAAACAACAGGAGCTGGAGAGGATGTGGAGAAATAGGAACACTTTTACACTGTTGGTGGGACTGTAAACTAGTTCAACCATTGTGGAAGTCAGTGTGGCAATTCCTCAGAGATCTAGAACTAGAAATACCATTTGACCCAGCCATCCCATTACTGGGTATATACCCAAAGGATTATAAATCATGCTGCTATAAAGACACATGCACATGTATGTTTATTGCGGCACTATTCCCAATAGCAAAGACTTGGAACCAACCCAAATGTCCAACAATGATAGACTGGATTAAGAAAATGTGGCACATATACACCATGGAATACTATGCAACCATAAAAAATGATGAGTTCAGATCCTTTGTAGGGACATGGATGAAGCTGGAAACCATCATTCTCAGCAAACTATCGCAAGGACAAAAAACCAAACACCGCATGTTCTCACTTATAGGTGGGAATTGAACAATGAGAACACATGGACACAGGAAGGGGAACATCACACCCCAGGGACTGTTGTGGGGTGGGGGCAGGGGGGAGGGATAGCATTAGGAGATACACCTAATGCTAAATGATGAGTTAATGGGTGCAGCACACCAACATGGCACATGTATCCATATGTAACAAACCTGCACGTTGTGCACATGTACCCTAAAACTTAAAGTATAATAATAATAAAAAAAAGCCTACATTATTTTCATGTCCTCCACCTTTTATTAAAGTTGAACTACGTATATGTTGTCAGATCAGATAGCCATATTAAACTGTCTTCAATATGTCCCTCATCTGTCTGAGGTCTCTAAGAAAACATGTTATATATTTAATTCTCACCAACAGGCTTTGTGTTGATATATCTCTGTCATTTTGATTGTCTGAAGCTTATTCTCCAGTATTTATTTTTAAAAGTCCATAAGAACAATATTTTCTGAGTTCCTGCATGTTTCCTGAGTTCCGGGGTCATGACAGTTTGAGAAGCTTTAATTTTGAAGTCAGTTTATGTCCTTGGTTTAATTCTCTTTTCTTGAATATCTAAAATATATCACATTATTTGCTTCTGTCACAAGGTGTTGCTGCCAAAAAGTCTGTTGACAATTTTCCTTCCCAAAAGATTGTAAGACTACGTTGGCCTTTTTCACTGCTGTGACTCATGACCTAGTACTTTGTAACAAAGTGCCTTCTCATGTCTTCACCTTTCTTCATTCACTTCATCTTTCTCCTTTTATATTCCACATCTTTTTTATCCTCTTAATTTATTTATTTTTTTTGAGATGGAGTTTCGCTCTTGTTGCCCAGGCCGGAGTGCAGTGACATGATCTCGACTCAGTGCAACCTCTGCCTTCTGGTTTCAAGCAATTCTCCTGTCTCAGCCTCCCACATAGCTGGGATTACAGGCGTCCGCCACCACGCCTGCCTAATTTTTTGTAGTTTTAGTAGAGACAGGGTTTCACCATGTTGGCCAGGCTGGCCTCAAACTCCTGAGCTCGTGATCCACCCGCCTCGGCCTCCCAAAGTGCTGGGATTACAGTCGTGGGCCACCATGCCTGGCCTATCTTCTATTTTTCTTACTCCTGTTTTTCTCCCTTCTTGTTTTTGGCCTTGGCTTTGCCAAATTCATATCCTCTGTATGGAAACCAATTCAAAGACCTCCTCTTCCTCTTCTCAAATCTGTCAGAAAAACTGTTACTTCCTTCAAGTTAGCTTAGGAATCTTCTATTCTTGAAATCTTACCCACTCACTTTGACACACTGAAATCTTCTTTTCCTAATGACATTGCTCACAGTTGTAATGTAAAAAAATTTATCTGAGCAGCAAATAAATTATTGAAAATAATTTTCCAGTCCTCTAATTCATTACTAAAAGAACACTCAGTAAAACAATATTTAAACAGAGGAAGGGGATCTGCATATTTGTTGCAGTAGACAAAGAAAACAGCAGCTACATCTTCTGATCAGTAAGCGTTCTCATTGTCCTGGAATTCTCTTCAGGTTAGATTTGTCTGATAATAATTGAATCATTATTGTTTCTTCCTCAAATGCCACTAGGTTGTACTCATGCAGCCCCCAGCAAGTGTCATATTTCAAAGGCTATCAGGATTCAGTCTGTGGGTTTCCTTCACTCTCCATGTCTTTCCCTGAAGCAAGCTTTATTCCCACAAATCATTTACCCCAAAGTTGTTATGTGAAAATAGGAGGCTAACTTTTTATTGTCTTATTTACTCCTGAGACACACTCAGAGGCATTGAATGAATTACTGATTCAACTGCTTTATTATATTTAAGGTTGAAAATGTAACAACGCTTAGGAATCAAAACATTCTTGAAACCAGGTCTCAAGATCCTGCACAAAATTATCTTTGACATATTGCACATTCTAAACAAAAACATACCCAATATATAAACCTCAAATACGTTCTTCATGAATTTTACTTTTGCTTTTTCCAAGGCAAAATAAGCTTAATAATATTCTATATAAAATCCTACAAATAAAATGGAGCCTGTGTGTATTAAAGTTATTCCTATATTGTACTGTAATATAAATTTTTGTCTATGACCTACTTGAAGGCCAGAGCTGTATTTTATAGTTTTTGTATTCATTTTTGTATTACAAGTGTTTTGTACAGTGCTTGACATATATACTTAAAAACAGCTACTGAATAAACAAATGTGCAAATGAGTAATAGGTGTGTGAATAAATAAATGTATTTATTAAAGTCAATATCTCTCAAAAATGAGAATAAATGATGGCTTTGAATTTTCCATATGCAAGAATCTTTAGGCAGTTTAATGGGAAGTGAAACTTCTATAAGATTATAGGTGAATAAGAAAACATCAATTGTTCGCATAAAAGGGCAGCTAATCAAGACTGTGTAAAGATTAATGTTTTCCCCAAGCACCTCTTGTCTTCACTTAAATAAAAATAGTATCAGAGCTTATGTAAATAGTAAAATGTTTACCTTATCACTCGATTCCAAATTAGAAATGAGAAAAGTGAGATAATGTAAATAATAAAAGATAAATCTATCTATCTATCTACCTATCTGTCTATCTAGTTATTATCTTCTCTGAATTTATACACCAAATTGAACTGAGGAAGGTCAGATTTGTGTCTTGCTAAAATATGATTTTCTGTGTGTGTGTCTATGTAATACATACACTTGGCTCAGCAAGTGAGGAGATACTTGGGAATTGGTTGAGCAGATGAAGAGAGACTTGGGAATTTCAGAATATCCTTCCACTCAGAGCCCTCTCAGTAACCAGGTCAGCCGCCATAGTTACAGACTTCCTTTCCACCTCACTAAAAATACAGATGGTTTAGCTCATTAGACATTGACACATCCTGTCTTGGCACAATCTCTATCTCCCATGACATTTATATAAATTAAAACACTGGTAAATTGTATATTCCTAAAATTTGTTATCTGAAATAAAGATCATTTTTATTTAGTCCCATAATTTATTTCTTCCACACTCCTCTCATCTTCCTCCTGTAGATATTCTTAGTAATGTGGCCAGGACTTTTTGGATCAAGAACAAACATTCTCAGAAAGGTTCCTTTTTTGTTGTTCTTTTGTAAAATAAACATTTTTGTTCCTATTCTGAACACTGGAGTTGTTTGAATGATATTTACACCTTTATAGATTTAAAAAATAGAAGCAGCTGGCAGGGGCTGTCCTTTTTCTGATAGGTGTCGAAATTTTGTCTATACTTTCTCTTTGAAGCCAGATAAGTAATTAATCCTCAACAGAAACTGACCTCTTGCAAGTTTAACTGAATACCAGGTTATAAGCAACTGTGGTACACTAAGGAGTTGTCATTAATAATACCAGCTTTCAAATATCACTGTTTGAATTGAGCTGAACTTTCCAACCAATAATAGAGAGCTTTTTTGTGTGTGTGGTCTTCTATACTTATTCTAGTCTCTGATTTTCCAGTTAATTTAGGAAATACCTTTCAGTTCATATATTGTATTTATTTTCTATTGCTGCTGTAACAAATTATCACAAACTTTGTTGCTTAAAGCAATACATTTATTACGTTTCAGTTCTGTAAGTCAGAAGTCCAACATGGGTCCCACTGTACTAAGATCAAGATTTCATCAGGGCTGTATTCCTTTCTGGAGGCTCCAAGGTAGAGATCCCTTGACCATTACAGCCTCTAGAGACGTCTTATGTTCCTAGCCATGTGGCCCCTTTCTTCATCTTAAAAGCCAGCAAAGTGGATTTAATCCACATATCACAGCAGTCTGATCTCTTCTGCCTCCTTCTCCCATTTGAAGGATCCTTGTGATTACCCTGGGTCCAATGAGATAATCTTTCTATTTTAAGGTCAGCTAATTAGGAAACTTAATTTCATCTGCAGCCTTAAATCCTCTTTGCCAGGTAACTTACTGTGGTCACAGGTTCCAGGGATCAAAACATGGGAATATTTGAGGGGACACAGTTTTGTCTACAAAATACATTTTCTATAGTTCTGCAGTCTTAGTTAAATCAGGGACTCTTAGACATGCCTTCTCAAATATGTCACAATTGCTCTTAAACTACATGTGTAGTTCTGTTTCAAAGTCGAAGTGTATGACTTTTAATTATTTTATACATTACTTCATAATGCAAAATGCAAACATTTATTGGCTGGAACTAAATAATATTTTTATTTGTTTATAAACTAAGAAATACTGTAGCTTCTAGAATATGATGGTAAAAAGACTGAAAATTCCTAGAAATTTCTTAAAACAACCAAATTTAATATTAAGAAATGGATCTGGAAGAGGTTGTGTTTTTATTACATTTTCAATATGAAAAGATATTTCTCATTCTCCTTTATCTCATGATAATGAAATTTTTTCAGACAGGCTTCTAACCCATTTCAAGCTTGCTGTGAGAAGTACTTGAAAAAAATATTGTTATTAATAAAAATTAAAAAGTTTTTAACCCTTTTTAGTGGAGATAGTTCATTTGAGCGAATACTCTGTTCAGGGCCAAAATCCAGGCATGCTCTACATGTTATACTAGTATGTCATGTTCACCCATATGCCTCCTTTAATCCCTGCTTATAATAAATCTGTGAACATAAACTCAAACGTTAGATAAGTTAATACATTTTTTTGTTGCTCAGGTCTTTATTTGCTCAGTGGTAGTAATAATATTATATATCTGACAGGTTGAAGTGAGAAATAAACATGTTAAAACATGTGAATATCTACATATCTAAAGCATTAGCACAGAGTAGGTGCTCAAAAAATGTTAGGTATCGTTAACAATAACAAGATCGTCCAGCCTAAAGAAATCTTTAATTGCATTATCAGACCATTGATACCTTATTTAAAGACCTTCCTGTGGCTCCATAAAATTAAAAAAACTCAAGGTTTTGAAAGCATCAAAAATTGTAAAAATCACTTTAATGTAGCTACATTTGCCATAATAAACTACAAGGAGCAAGTCAAGCTAAGAAAGAGTGGAACAGAATATTAAGTTTTGTTGTCAAAATTAAAGTCACACCTGCTGACAAATTCTGAGTTCCATGATAGACAGTTGAAGGAGTACAATTTGCTCCAATGAAACATAGCTTATTCTACAAACATAAAGAGAAAAATTGCCATTCCTGAAAAGGGCATTTCAGGTAGATAATGATATAGCTATGTGACTCATGAATTCTTATAATAGCTTTAAATAATATTTTGAGATTCATTTTCTGGTTAACACTTTATACACCATTTACATACATCTCTTGAAAATCTTTCCCAAATTTATCAGTTAGTTCAGTTACTTTACTGAATATATAAAGTATAATAAATCTAATTCATTTATTCCTTAGGTGATTATGATTTTCAAAAAAATTTAAATGCCAACATAATAAAAATCAAATTGCATTGCAACAAAAGATTGATAGAGAAATGTTTGATAGTCATTACCAGAATTATCCTTTAAAAATTGTTTTTGTCTTTACCACATGCACACATAATTGTTAAGAGAATTAATAAATCCATCAAAGTGAAGCAAATACTTCACGATTTCATTTTTCTCCTAACTAAAGTGTGGTTTTAAAAAGTTTATTAAATAATACGGTCAACAAATGAGCATCTACTATGAGTGAAGCAATGGACTAGGCACTGAGTTTTAAGTAAGAAAAACCAATAACAAATATGGTCTGATGATCTAACGGAAAAGGGAAATAGTACATATGTAATTACAGGTGTAATTATTAGTCCCAATAAGAAGTGTAAACAGTAGAAAATATACAGTAGTTTTACCTTTCCCGGGCATTCAGAAGGTTTCTTTGAAGAAATAATATTTCAATTAAATCCTGAATGATGAAAAAGAATTAGCAAGGCAAGAAGTAGGATGAGTGTCCAGGATAACACCCTGGGAAAATGTCAGTTATCAAAAATCAAGTCCTTTTGAGGAGCCAGAAGGCCAAGATGATGAAAAGGGAGAGAATGAAACTGAGTAGCATAAGGTGAACCTAGAGAGTGTGTAGTGTCACGGGTCGTTAAGGAACTTCCAAGTCAACTGAGGAATTATAAATGTTATCCTGAGATAATGGGGAACCACTGAAAAACTATAACCAGTGGAGATATTTGGTTAGTGTCTTAAATAAAACATACATAATTGGATTACTGTATAAGGCACAAAAATGAATTGCAGAAAATGGAAAAGGAGTCCCAGAGTCAATACAATATTTCAAGTGAAAATATGAAAGCTTTAAATGACAATTATGGTAGTGATAGACAGAGAGGGGAAGATAGATTTAAGATATATTTATGTAGTACATCCTACAAGGACTGGTGGATTATTGGATATAGAAGAAGAAAGATGAGGAAGGGTTCAAAGGTGAAACTCTGGTTTCTGGTTTGAGCAGCTGCGTGAATAATTGGGTCATTTTTTTGCCCCATAGAACACTGGAATAAGAGCAGATTCTTGGGTGAATTATGATTGGTTTTGGACTTTCACTTGGAGACTTAAAAAATATCCAAATGGAGCTATTGATTAAGTAATAAGAAGAGTGGCCAAGGTTAAAGTCATTGACAAATGGATGGGATGGTAATTTAAACCACAGGAGGTATGAAATAATTTACAATAAAAGAATAACAGGGAAGAAAAAAAGCCCTGACAAGGATAAGATGGAAAATGCATAATAGGCAAAAAAAAAAAAAAAAAAAGCCAGTGTTTGAGAAAGAGCAAACACAGAAAGACAGAAATTCCAGTGTCACGGAAAGCCAAAGTGAGAAAGCAAGAAATTTTAAGTATGGTGAACGGTATCAAATCCTGTGAAGAGATAAATTCAAAAAGGATGGAAAACTGTCTTTTGAATTTACTAACATAAAGTCAGTTGATGAATTTAATGTTAGTAGTTTTAGGGAAGTATAAAAGGCTCTGCAATTATTTCGAGTTTTTTGGGGGAAAAAAAGTTTAGCTAACCATATTAAGGTGATTAGTTGTGGTGGGTAGAAAAGAGTTAAAACTGTGTCTATGGATGGGGTAATTGCTGGTCAAGAAGAGACTGTTTAGCTAATATGAAAGAGACTTTAGCATGCCAACATGCTTATAGATTTCCCTCTGTAGTCAAATGATAAGTGGATATTCAATAGAAAAAGAGAATATTGACTTTGAATAGACTCATGAAACTTTCATTAAAATTGACGTGAACTTATTTTTCTATCACAGGAGTTTTGTCAGTCTATCCAAAGTCAATACTTTCCTTTCAGACTTATAATGTTGTAAGCCCTGATAGAGTTTTATAGTACTTAAGGAATTATTTCACTTGCTAAAAAAAAGCCCACAAAACAGTTAGTTATAGTTATTTATCCTATATCTGTCTTACAAGCTCTTTTCTTTCAAATTCAATATATTTTCTTTCATTTTATGCTTTTTCTAGGAAAATTTCTATCTTCTTTTGTATTATCAAGGAGATATTTGGAGCAGAGTCAACCCTCTCAGTTACATAAAATAAAAAATGGCATATTCTTGGCAAACGGATCCAAATCCTAATGAATCACACGAAAAGCAGTATGAACACCAAGAATTTCTCTTTGTAAATCAACCCCATTCTTCTAGCCAAGTCAGTCTGGGTTTTGATCAGATAGTAGATGAGATCAGTGGCAAAATTCCACACTACGAGAGTGAAATTGATGAAAACACCTTTTTTGTGCCCACTGCACCAAAATGGGACTCAACAGGGCATTCATTAAATGAAGCACACCAAATATCCTTGAATGAATTCACTTCTAAAAGCCGTGAACTCTCCTGGCATCAAGTTAGCAAAGCACCAGCAATTGGTTTTAGTCCTTCTGTGTTACCAAAACCTCAAAATACGAATAAAGAATGCTCCTGGGGAAGCCCCATAGGAAAACATCATGGTGCTGATGATTCCAGATTCAGTATTTTAGCTCCATCATTCACAAGTTTGGATAAAATTAATCTAGAGAAAGAATTAGAAAATGAAAATCATAACTACCATATAGGATTTGAAAGTAGCATTCCTCCAACAAATTCATCCTTCTCAAGTGACTTCATGCCGAAAGAAGAGAATAAAAGGAGTGGACATGTGAACATTGTGGAACCATCTTTGATGCTTTTGAAAGGCTCTCTTCAACCCGGAATGTGGGAAAGTACATGGCAGAAGAATATAGAGGTAAGTATAATACATGTCAATGTAAAAATATGAATCTGAAAGAATCATTCAATAATGTATTGGGTTAATTTGGTAATGAAGATAACTAAACTTAAATAGGGAAATCTATTCATCTTACTTTTGAAAAAAATTTTCACAAATGATGTGTTCTTGTATTAATGATTTTTTTTCTGAGAAAAAGGGAAATTAAAAAAAAAATCATCTATAAAGTTCCAGTTCCAGTTTCATCAAAACTATTATAAAATTTTACTTGGTTTTAGTTATGGTACCTTCATTTCATTGATAAAAATAGCAGAGTTGAAGGTTTAACTGATAATATTTTCTGTTTTTTGTTTAATGCACATACACAAACACAAATACGTTTCATTACATTATATTTTGAGTCACATTGTAATGATTTGAAACTTTATATCATTATTGGTAGGAAAAAATGCCCCTTTACCCAGAGTCTCCTAATTTATACGATTGGCAGGCAACTTCTATTGAGATCATTCCAAGGGTAGGAAATTAAGTATTCATTGTGTGACTCATCTTAATGCTTTTATTACTAGCTTTCCAATCATTTTAGTAACCAGAGTTTTTTCTGTATTTGAAGATTTCTCTACTTATTTCTCTGCTTGAGTCTAGACAAAGTAAAATCAGCAGTAAATAATATTTATTTCCGACTTAAAAAAGAAGAAACATTATTGCAGCTGCAGTTTCCTGGGTGAGGCAGAAGGGTTCTTTATTTATTCAACAACTATTTATCAAATCCTTAAAACATATTGTGATATGCTATCCAGAATGAATGCAAAGAAGAAAAGATATGATACTTGAATTCAGGAATAGCATATTGCTCATGTTTACTTGCAAACAAATAATGGCAACATAGTAAAATAACAGGTGGAGTAAGTGCATAGGAAAAGAAACATCTAATTCTACTTCATTTGAATTCACTTGCAAAAGAGGTAGCACCTCAAAGGATCTAAATTAAAATTCAGTAAATCTTAGGGCTGTCTAGTTCTGATCACAATAGTGTAATAACTACTAAACTTTCCCTACTCATCAAAACAACTATACAATTAGACGAAATAAGTGAATCAGGTGATTGAAGGTGTTGAATAGGCAGTATGGAACATAAATCCTTGAGAAAAGCAAGCCCTGTGATCATCTCAGTCTGTGCCTGAGGGTAATTTCATGCTGCTATGCAGGCTGCTGGAGCCCAATTTGAGCAGCAGTATCACTGACTGCGAAGACAGTGCCTGCAGTTCCAAGTTGCAGAAGCAGCTGTGATTTGACAAGCAGAGTGCTAAAGAAGAGGTAGCTATGAAATGGGTATGGGTCAGAAGTAGAGAGAGGACTTACGGCTTGGCCAAGTATTGGGATGTGCTTGCAAGCCTTAGTAGATAATGTCAGCGTTTGGCTGAGAATTGGATAGGATTGTGTTAATTACACAGACTTGAAGTTACAACGCAGAAATTTGGGCCAAATTAGAGAAGAGACTGAGCTGAGCGCTTCAGGCATTCAAATGAAGCTACAAAGCCATGTCTTAAGAGTAAAACTCATGCTCTAAAATCAATGCTACATCAACCAAAATAGATGTGGCCTAACAACAACAAAAATTCAGAATCATAAGGCAAATAAGACAAGGATTTTAACTGCCTGCCAATGAAAAAAAAACTTAACGATTCATAGTGTGCCATCTACAAAATTCAACATAAAATAAAAATGCATAGATATGTAAAGAAGCAGGGAATTTTGGCTCTCGCTCAAGAAAATAACTCTACCAGTCAAAAGAGCCTCTGAGATAATCCAGATGTTGGAATTAACAGATGGGAACTTTAAATTGGTTATTAAAAGTATGTTCAAGTAGATAAAGTTAAAGAAGTTCATAATGGCTAGCCTAGTGATGATCTCAGCAGGAAATTAGAAACATCAAGAAACAAAGGAACAAAAACAAAGGCCAAGTCCAGCGCTGGAAACAAAACATAGGCAATAAAAAAGTAACTGGATGTGCTTAACAACAGATAGGAAAGAACAGGGGAAAAAATAATAATTTGAAAGCAAAACTGTAGAAATTAGCCAAACTGAAGTACAGAAAACACAGGGATCACATAAACATGAGCAGGGATTCAGAGACTTATGAGACAAGAAACATAATATGTGGACAACTGGAATGCTAACAGGAGGAAAGAAAAATAGGGAGCAAAATTAATTTGAAGAAATAATGGTCAGGAAATTATTCAAATTTGATAGAAAATATCAAATTACAGATCTAACAAGCTCGCCACAACCCAAATAGAATAAATGCAAAGACAGCCACATATAGACATTTTATACTCAAACATCTGAAAATTAAAAGAGAAAATTAGGGAAGGGGGCAAAAATGTAAGAAAAGATTTCACACAGTGGAACAACAATCTGAATGAAAGAAAACTTGTCACTCAAAACAATGGAAGCCAGAGACAATAGAATGACATTTTTAAATTCTTTAAAAGAAAATAAAACATACTTCTATATCCACTGAGTATAAGTTTCAAAACCAAAAACAAAATAAAGACATTACCGTAAACAGATGCTGAAAGAAATTAGTCAGCTAGCAGGCACATGAGAAATGCCAAATTAAATACTTCTGGTACAAGGAAAATGACACCAGATGGAATCTAGGAAAGAGTGAAGAGTGATAGAAATAGTAAATATGTTGAATAATACAAATGACTACTTTAAATTTTTTGAAAGACAATGTACCAAGCAATATAATAGCATGTTATTGTAGGATTTATTGTGTATGTGGATAAAAACTATTTGACAATAATAACATAATGGGTGGAAGGGGTTAAATGTTATTTTGCTATTGTAAATTCTTACATATTAAATGCAATGGTACAATAGTAGTTCTAAGTAAACTGAGATATATTAAGGGTGTATATTGCAATTCCTAGAGCTAGTACCATGAATTATAAAAAAAAGAAAAATAGAAGAAAATCTAAAAATGCAGCAAAGGCATAAAATAAAATAAACATGTCAGGAGAAACAGAAGAACAGAATAAAATAGAAAAGACAAATAGAAACAAATATAAATAAGACAGTCTTAAATCTAACAATTTCCATAAATATACTAAATGTAAATAGAATAAACATTCCAAACAAAAGGCAGGAATTGACAAATGAGATAAAAAAGGAAGGACTCAATTGTTGTCTACAAGGGACACAAGAAACAAAGGCAGAGATAGATTGAAAGTAAAATAAACAAAAAGACAACATTCAATCAGAAAAAAATGCTTGTATGATTATTAATATCAGAAAAAGTATATTTCAGGGCTGAGTACTATTAGAGAAAAAAGGGATCATTTCGTAATGCTAAAATGGTCAATCAGGAAGAGATAATAAATTTAAATGTGTATGTACCTAATAACAGTTTTAAAACGCATAAGGCAAAAATGGTTTCTTTAATCCTACATGCACTCACTGACCAAGCTATTCATTCATATATTCCCAAGCTATTCATGCATATATTCCCAATAAATGAAGCATGCATTCACATAATTACTTGTATATGAGCATTAATAGTTTTCTTTACAATACCAAAAAGCTAAAAACAACTCAGAGGTTCATTAATAGGAAGATGACTAAACGAACTGTGGAACAGTTACACAATGGAATACTACTAATCAGCAATAACAATGATAAACCTTTGATATGTGTGATAGCAGAAATAATTTTAAAACATGTGTATCATTACATAGAAGCCACAAACAAAAGAATGCATATACATTATTTATGGTGATATAAATCTAAATAACAGTAGTTACCAAATAGATATGCAGATGGATATAAAAAAGACATGGGGACATTTTCTAAAATGAAAGAAATGTTCTATATTGTCATTGGGGTACTGATAGTAGAGTTTTATGCCTTCCACAGAACTCAAATTATATACTTAAGATCTGTGCATTTTTCTATGTGTAAATATTACTTCAATTTTTAAAAAATCTAAAAAAAATTAAAAATGAAGTCTGAATGAAACTTCAAAACAGGATAAAATTGTAGAATTATTTAATAGTTTCTCTTCTCCAAATTATATTAATTTAGTAGATTTTATTTTAAGTCAATAGGTTGTTCCATTCAGCTAGTGGAAGTACCTCAAAGCAGCAATACGAGTCTGGCCTCTTTTTGCAACAAAGTAAAAAAGTGAGTACTGGTATTTCATTAAACTTTGAAATTTTTGTGCCTGAATAAATTTGTGTATTTTGACATCACTGAACTGATTAATTTTGCATATAAAAGTCAAAGTCATGTAATTTCTGAACACACTAAAAAATAAAATTTTTTGACAAATTAGTTCAATAATCAACTTCTGTTAATGTTTTTGTTGTTTATAGTCAAATAGATGTTTTTCTCTTAAAAATTTGGTTAAAGTTAAATGTTTTATAAATTTGGACATGCACTTGTTTGTTGGTGGTTTGGTTTGCAGTGAATTTTTTTTTTTGTTTAATGACGTAAGTGACTAACTCCTCTGGCTAACCCCCAAATTAACACAAACTTATCCTCCCTACCTGGGACAGTCTATTTAGAATCATCATAGTTCAATCTTATCTTGAGTGGATTGGCAGAATATTGAATAAATACGTGTGTGTTAATGCATTGAGAAATGAATTTGATCACTGGCAGATATTCCAAAAAAATCACTGATATTTTGTTAATCTAAAAATGAATTTATGATATAAACATAAATGCCTTCTTTAAGGCAAATTTCATATTAGCAATTAAAATTTATATAGTTCTACCTCTTCTGTTGCTAGGGTTTCTGAAAGTTTTGAAAAACTAATGCATTCAGTTGGGCGCGGTAGCTCACGCCTGTAATCCCAGCACTTTGGGAGGCCAAGACAGGTGGATCACTGGAGGCCAGGAGTTTGAGACCAGCCTGGCCAAAGTGGTGAGACCCTGTCTCTACTAAAAATATAAAAGAAAAAAAAATTGCTGGGTGTGGTGGCGTGCACCTGTAACACCAGATACTTGGGAGGCTGAGGCAGGACAACTGCTTGAACCCGGGATGCAGAGCTTGCAGTGAGCTGTCACATCATTGCACTCCAGCCTGGGCGACAGAATGAGACTCTGTCTCAAAAAAGAAAAAAAAAATAGGCTGGGCACGGTGGCTCACGCCTGTAATCCCAGCACTTTGGGAGGCCGAGGTGGGTGGATCACTTGAGGCCAGGAGTTCGAGACCAGCCTGGCCAACGTGGTGAAACCTCGTCTCTACTAAACATACAAAAATTAGCCAGGTATGTTGGCAGGCGCCTGTAATCCCAGCTACTCGGGAGGCTGAGGCAGGAGAATCACTTGGACCTGGGAGGTGGAGATTGCAGTGAGCTGAGGTCGCGCCACTGCACTCTAGCCTGGGTGACAAGAGGGAAACTCCGTCTCAAAAAAAAGAGAAGAAGATAAACTAATGCATTCATATTTTAATTCTTTAGTTTTAACTCAGTTTTGGCTATTGTTTGAAATATAATAACTATACATTTTTATAAGCTTTCAGTTTCTACCAAATGATTATTTGAAATAAAATGTTTGAATCATTTATTTAATCATTCATTTAAAGTCTGTTTCATTGTCTAATAACTAGCTTATGCATGAGAGATACTCAAATTTAAAATAAACAAGTAAACAAAAAAGCAAGGTCCCTGCCTCATAAAACCTATAACCATAAGAAGGATTGAAAGGCTTACACACAAAGATACAAAACAAATCACCTCAAGTTCACGAAAATGTTCAATCTTTAATTAATTTCTTGCTCCAGTTTATGGGAAAAAAATTCTAAATAGTACTTAGGATTCCTAAATTAGGGTCTTTAATGTCATCAACATTTATTCTTTCAGGAATAAGCTACTCACTGTGACAATATGATAAGCATAGCTAGAAACTTGCTACTTTAAGTCTAAAATATGGTTAATTTTTATTTTACCTTCTAAGCATGGCAAAGAACTCTCTTCATACTTTAAGATATCACTCTTCTGAATAACTCTACTCACAGACCACATTATTAGCTCCTCCAGCAATTCTCTTTTTTAAAACACAATTTCTTATTCTTGGATGAAATATTTTTGTGGATGCACTAGTGACATCGAAATACTTGATGTGATGATTTTCCAGTGACTTATAGTGCATTTTCCAAGCTCTTTAATATAATTTTTCTAAATAGTTTATTTCATAATAGTCATGAAAACTAAAACATACACCAAACAATAACTTTAGAGTAGTGAAAAGAAGCCATAAGTTATATTCACACACTCTTTCCTTGTTTTCAATAATTTGTTTGTTGGCAAATATTTATAAAATGATTAAATGTATACATGCATAATTATTTTGTACACAACAGGATATTTACTCAAAAATAAGTATGTTTGAGGACCTAGTATGTGGCAAGCACCCTTAATTCAAAAGAAGATCAAATGGAATTTGAGAGCTGTTTCAAAAGAGGTTCTCCAAAACTTTGATTTCTCATTGTAACATACTTTAAAGCCACATCTTTCAAAAAAAATGCCATATTCTTGTAACAAATATGGTAACATGCCATAACATATGAAAGAAGTTTCTGGCCCATGGTAGATGCTCAGCAAAAGTTTAGGAGAGAATGAATCATGAATTTGTATTTTAAATTTAATTTCTTAAAATGGTAGAAGCTGAAATCATGGACGCATTGAGGAGTGTCTTATTATATGATAAATGCTAACTCATAAGGCTCCTCAATCCCTAACTGGACTCTAGACCTTTATGGTAGAGTATAACAATGAAGAGTGGCCCATGTCCTTATTCTGAGCAGTGGCTCTCAAACTGCAGTTCCAGAGCAGCAACAGCAGCAGCTTACTTGGAAAATTGTTAGTAGGACAAGTTTGGGGAACCCTCCACAGATCTACTGAATCAGAAACTAAGGGGATGGGATCCAGAACACGAGTGGATACAGATGCATGCCAGGCCATTGGGTGAATGTGTATTTACTTACCCATTTGCCAGGCCCCTGATGGAGGAGATGTTTCCATGGAATAAAGCTTTAGTGCTACAAAAATAGCTATTAGGTTTGTGCAAAATTAACTGCAGTTTCTGCAATTTAGGTAGAGAACCATGAGGTTTAGATGTCAGCATAGTTAACATAAAAAAAACAAGATTTCATATTCACCCTCAGAAACATTTTAAATATCCACTTGAAAATATCTTCATGTTATGTTCTACATGTGGGCATAAAACACTGATCACAGGGAATCAAGCTATGGTAACATATAATGACAATTATACTTTACATGTGTATATTGCTTTATAATCTGTAAATCTTTTACATGTCTTTTCTATTGTAATAGAAAACCTTTGAGGTAGATATTAATATCCACCTCAGTAAACCTTTGAGGTAGCTATTAATATCTTTACTTGTTCAAAAAAATTGGTCAAATAACTTGCCTCTGGCCATAACATTACTAAATGAAAGTGCCAGGATTCAAAGTCAAGGCTTCTGGCTCCAAGGATAAACTGTTTTTGCAATTCTTTGACTCATTTATGTGTAAGCAATTGTTCAGAATATAAGAATTACTTTTAGGCTCCAATATTTGTGTAAAATTCAAGTAGTTGTGTAGTATCCAAAAATTTTAAAGAAAATGGAGAGACAAAAATAGTGTTTACAAACTTGACAAGAACAAGAGAATTTATTTGCCAAAATTTCTAAATCAAAATGAATGACTCGCAGCTTGACAAAATTAGGCATGAAAGAAATCCAAGAGGAAGAACTCTGACATCAAAAGCAATGTAAATGAAGCAAGTAATAATATTCAGCGTGAATCCTCACGTTTCATGTTATGACAATGAATTCTTAATTATTTCAAATGAGATGCTCCTGGGAAAGCCTAAAGAACAGTCCTTTACACTTGTTTTTGGTATAATTGCAATCTCTACCAATCTGGACTAGCTAAATGCACTGCATCACAAATCAATTACTGATTGCTTTCATCTTTTAAGTCTTTTATAGCAAAACACTACATGAAGTTTCTTAAAATTACATTGTGGGCAATATGTTTTAAACTGTGTCTTGCAGGTCTTGTCCTAAGTATTTTTCTTAACATATGTTTTTCAGAATCAGAGAAAGATATCATGCAGCTGATGTTAATTTCAATTCTGGGAAGATCTGGAGCACTACTACAGCATTTCCGTATCAGCTCTTTTCTAAGACCAAGTTTAATATACATATTTTTATTGATAACTCAACACAACCTCTTCATTTTATGCCATGTGGTAAGCAACCTTGCAAATAAGTCTACAAATCTATACAAAGCTGGTATTGGCGACGTAGCCTTGAATTCAAAGTCTGAAGTTATTAAAAAATAATATTAGCTACTGTTTTTCTCTGAAGTGAAATAAGAAGAAAACATCAGGGATCCATTTGTTAATACTTAAGGGAGGAAAGCAAAACTATTTTCTTCAAGAAGTATCTTCACATAGCTCACCCGATAATATTTTATCTTCCTGCTATAAAATGCTTAATAGCAAGTATAGCAAGTTTTTAATATATTAAAAAATGAATTTCAAAAGATTCTAGATAAGGATGGTATTAAAGTAAAAATGGCTGCTTCTATCTATTAGGAACAAGTATTTCCTTGAAATATAAATAAATTGTGAGGTAGAATAGGCATTGTTACACAGAATCTCTATTTCCTTAATGAGGAATCTAGTAGCATGGTATAACATACCTCCATCAGAATTAGCAAACCTACTGATTCAGTCTCTGGGGATGACACCCAGGAATTTATATTTTATCAAATTCGCCTGAGGATTTTTACTTTTCTAAAGTTTTAGAATATCTGTAAAGTTATTTAGTATCTTACTTCATTGTTATAGTCCACTATTTTGCAAAACAGTATTAGCTCTTTAAACATTTAGATTGCTATTAAGTGAGTTTCTACATATCAACAGGAAACTATTTCCTGGCACATAATGATCCATTAAATATTTTCTTTTATTTATTAATTATTGTTATTATTGTGCTTCTTTCTTACTCTATTCAAGGTTCTCAGCTAATGCAGATGACTCCAATCATAGCAGTGTTATATTGGTATATTAGTTAAGACCCTCTTGGTTGGAAATGAAAAGAAACCAATTCCTGCTAGCTTAAGCAAAAAAAAAAAAAAAATTGTTTTAAAGAATATAGGGGCTGGGCACAGTGGTTCATGCCTGTAATCCCAGCACTTTGGAAGGGCGAGGCAGGCAGATCACCTGAGGTGGGGAGTTCGAGATCAGCCTGACCAACATGGAGAAACCCCATCTCTACTAAAAATACAAAAAATTAGCCAGGTGTGATGGCGCATGCCTGTAATCCCAGCTACTCAGGAGGCTGAGGCAGGAGAATTGCTTGAACCAGGGAGGTGGAGGTTGCAGTGAGCCGAGATCGCACCATTGCACTCCAGCCTGGGCAACAAGAGCAAAACTCCATCTCAAAAAAAAAAAAAAAAAATATATATATATATATATATATATATATGGATTTATTATAGAATTCAAGTATATGAATTTCAGCAAACAATTAGGAATATATGAAAAACACAAATAATCAAGCAGCCCAGAATTCCTGTATGCATCTCATTTCATTTCATATAATTGCTTCTCATATTCCTCTCACTCTCTGATCACTCATTTCCTTTGCTTATCTAAAACAAGTGGGAAGCCAAGCTACTAGTCTAGCTATCTACAGACAGTTCACTATCTCTATGGGATCCAGCTCCCAGTTCCTAAAAGCCAGATTCTGATTATTCGGCCAAGATCAATGATGCTGCACCTTGATCCAATCAGAAAGACCATAGGTTGGGTCATGTTGTCTTCAGTTGCTGGCCACTATTAAATAGCATGTTCATGTAAGAGCTTAAAAGGGAGGATTATGATATGTGAATATGAGAAGACAAATGACTTTACCCTATAGCATGTCTACATTTTGAGTTCCAAAGGAAAAGGTGGAGAGAGAGAGTAGATATTCATTAAAGTTTCTATAATATAGCTGTTCAAGCTAGAACCTTGAGTAATTACTACATGGGAAAGGAAGAAGAACCAACGGTGGATTTGGAGTCTGACAGATCTTGTTTAGAGTCTAGAGAACAACCAACTGTGGAGACTTACAGTCATTAAGGGCACAGGCCTTGGAGTAAACAGATATTGTTTAAGTGTGACACTTAACACTAACTGTGTAATCTCTACAAAATTGCATAGCTTCCCTGAAAATGAGTCCATTCATCTTTGAAACTTGGGATATAATACCTATATAATAGGTACAATAATCAAGAAATGACATGTAAAGCACTTAATAGAGTAATTGCTCCGTAAAATATAGCTATTATTAATATTAATACTAACATTATATCCCAGAGTGAATATAACCTGTATAACACTTTTAAATTTACTGGCCACGTTTGTCTATTTTTTTATGATAGCTTCGCACCAGATTCTTGAAGAAAATAAACTGTGCTATTATAAATCCTATTTAACAGATGAAGAAACTAGGTCAAAAAGGCGAAATAACTTGTTTACATAAATCAACTAAAAAATGAAAAATCTATATTATTTCCATGTCTCAGTGACAGAACATTGATAAGAACATCTTAATGATCACAGAATTGTCTTAATGTCATGGCATGAATATGAATATTAACTAGTGTAAATGCCCTGAAAATATTTATTGCAGTTAATTCAGAATCTTTTATCTTGCTGATACCCTTAGAAGGAGCAATATGTCTCACTTTGGTTGAAAATGGAAAGAATCAAACACCCCCTGGAACTTTTGCCTGGCTATACCCAAGTTCCTGAGTGTATTTCCCAAGTCCCTAAGAGAAACTGCAGTAGATTTTTATGCAGAACTGCAGTGTACCAAGGGCTTTAACATGAGAAACACAATACCTAGCTTTGTTATATCACATGAAAGCAGAACTGATCAAAGGAATTGCAAACAACATTTTCCCCAAATATCTTTAAATCTAACCAGTCTGATAAGTCAGATGAATCTCAATTTAATTCCCCTTGATGAAGCTAGACAGTTACAATCCTTCATAATGTGTTGGTCATATTTTGTGCTCAAAAACTTTTCCTAGTCAGTATATGATACACTTTTATTGACTTTTATTATTCCTCTTTTTCTTTAGCTAATTATCTTGTCAAAGATCTAATTGCAGAAATTCTGCATTTTTGCACAAATGACCAGCTACTCCCCAAAGATCATATTCTAAGTGTATGTGGCTCTGAAGAATTTTTACAAAAGTAAGTATTTTATGAAATTTTGGTTGTATTATAATCTGTAAATATTAAGTTACCACTTGTTTATGGTTTTGTTTTAAACAGACTTTACACAAACATTATAGTCTTATATAATTAAATCAATTTTACCCCCTTTGCAGTGAATTTGAAATTTTCTAAATCATATTAACAATCTTATTCTTGATTTTATATTATGACTACTTATGAAAACAAATATTTAAATGACCTGTGACTAGGGTGACCAACCATCTCAGTTTGCTTGGAGGTAGCCCTCAGGATGTAGGAATTTCAGTTTTAAAACCAGTAAAGTCCCAAACTAGGACAAGTTGCTCATCCTACCTGTAATAAAGCTTATTAGAACTGATCACAGCTAAGTAAATAAATTCTTTGGTGATAAGTAATTTTTTGGTTAGAATAATACTTGCATGTTGATTAAATACTGATTTTTTTTTAAATCACAGGGGCCTTAAGTATAAGCATTATAACTTACTTTTTATGGAAGAGTAAGTTCTAAACCACCATTTCTTTATTGAGGCAGCTCATTAAAAACAATTGGAAAAGCCTGTCCTCAGTATATCAACTTCAAATACTTATTTGATAAAAAAAAATCATCTTTTAGTTTACCAAAGTAACCATTTGCCTGAAATTCCTACAGACCAGTCTTGAACAAATAATACAGCTTTAAGAAAATAAATATTTCTCTGCTGGTATTGCATAGTTATTCTAAACAGTAAAGTATTAAAGACTAAAACGTTTAATACAGTAGATCCCTATTTATATATCCCCTTTGCATCTCTACAAGTATCTAAAGATTGAAAACATCTCATGGAAGTAAAAATGTATTTCCTTTGAAATTCTCATTGTCACTGTCATTATTATTCCATCATGAATGTGCTTGAAATTATCTTTTGGGAAGTTTGATAAATTTGATGACATTCTTATTAGTAAATCCAGTTCTTTACTGTGCAGTGTTAACAGTGAATGGCCTTAAGACTATTTTCCTTTTTGTGGGAAAAATAATATTTCATTATTATTTATTATTTTAATAACAAAATATATTGTATTAAAATAATATTTCAATAGCATTTTTATAATTATTATTTTATAATAAATAATTATACATAAACAAAATAATAAATATTTATATGAAATTACATATGTTTTGTTGCACTAAGCTCACAGATATTCCCTTTTCCCTTTTTATTTGAACTTATTAACACACTCATTTACTAGTCTGCTACCTTCTCCCAACATACAATTTTGACAGTAAATCCAATGAGCACAGGAAAGCATTTTAGTAAATTTAACCTTATATTGAATACTCATTTAAACTCATCTTTTGAATGTGTAGTTTTCCAAATGTACATCTAGACTTTTCTTGATGCCAAAACATTATATCCAAAGAGCAAAACATTGTCAAATATTTGCATTAAGTTTTAGCAGTAGAAAATGCCATCCAGAAAGCAATTGTATTAAAGAGACAGAAATTCGGAAAAGTATAATGTGGAGAAAATTTACACACCTTGATTTAATCATTGTTTTAAATAGGTAAATTATTCATAAGTAGATGGCTCAATATTTAACTAATAAATGTACATGTTAATGTTTTCATAGTCATTTAATCATATTAAAATTTATTTAATTGGGTTTTATTAAGATAGGAAAGTTGCCAAATATTAATATATGTAAAATATAGTCATTTATTCCCTAATGGACATTGAAACATTTGTGTATGTCAAGGATTTGCATATTATTTAAGAGTAATAGCCTATTTGTATTGACAGAACTTATTTTAATGTGCAGAATATTTACTACTGTTCTAGCATCTAAAGGAATATATATTAGTCATTCAAATATTACTTTTAGTGTATTCCTGTGTAACTTGTCTAAAAAATATGTCCTTAAAGACATGGAAATCTGTTCATAAAGCTCTTCTTTATACAGAGAACACAGGTAGCATGTAATAAGTTAACAGTGCAATAAGTAAAAATTTAGACTCTAAAACTTATAGAAGTACACTTCATTTGGAGTATTCAGCTGGGGAAAATGCTAATTTTCTGATAATACTTCAAAATAATGGTCAAATAGATCATGAAACATATGACTACAAACATAGCACTGTTATATTGCTATATTAGTTAAGACCCTATATTTCTCAGGGTTAGTGAAGTATTACATAAAATCCTGAAAAAGGGGAAATGTAAATAAATATGACTATGAACCCATATAATGCATATAGAAATTTCAAAATTATTCTGATATTAACACCGTGTTCTCAAACTTTAAAGTGTCACCTGAGGATGTTGTTAGAAAAAGAATTCTGATTTCAGTTCGTCTGGGTGAGGCCTGAGGCTGTCCATTTCTAACAAGCATCTGGTGATGCCTATGCTGCCGGTCTACAGCCCACATTTCAAGTAGTGAGATATTAGAAGCCAAGAATGGTAATGACTTAAGAACTTAGACTCTCCAAAAATTATCCTCTTTTCCAGAACAGTACGTGGTATAAAAACTAGCTCTAATCAACAAAGTAATAAAGACATTTTTACCTTGTACTATTGCAAAATTAAAAAGATGATTTTCCTAGCAAATCAAAATTTCCCTTTTCATATATCAACTATACTATTTTTGCAAGTTATTTAACATTCATTTTAATTTAGTATCAGAAAAGCTTTTCTCTCAATTAAAATATCCCGACTCACTCATTCTTATTCTCACTTTCATTTTCTCTCTCTCTCACTTTCTTACTCTCACTCTCCCTGTCTGATTTTAAATAATACAATATATAATGAACACAGAGCAAATTAAAGAATCAGAACATGAACTATCAATTTTGTCATACGTTCATGGAAGCTTGATGCAAAATTGTCAGCAATATGATAAATAATAGAAGAAAAGAAATCATCTGCTTCATTCAAAAAATATTAAAATCTTTCATCATGTTCCTGTTCTTTAACTCCCGGTTTAATTACCATGGAGCAAGGAGTCCTTGATAATCCCATTTTCCATGCTCTTGTCCAATAGCTTGATCCCAGTCAGCCTTTCCAGTGAGCTCAAGGACAGGAATTATATCTTTTCTTTCCTATTGAATGTAGCACAGATATGAGATCCTAGAAAATGAAACTATTTCCTAGACCGTCCCTGCATCTCTCTTTTTGACAGGGAGTAACAATTGTACCTTCACCTATACTTGTAACCGTCTCACATGAGTATTTTTCTTCATAAATATATTGATAATATATGAAGTATAATGCTTCTTCATAATTTTTTCTCTTATTACTCTCTAGCCAAATATTTACTAGGAGCGCAGGTTTTTCTGTTTCTCAATCCTAACCAAAAAACCACTCCAGTGATTTGTTTTCTCTACAGCTGTGGTTTCTTTGTGTGATATATTTTCTTATTGATACATTGTAAATATTCATGAGGTACATGTGATATTTGGATATCTACATAGAATGTATAATGATCAAGTCAGGATATTTAGAATATCCACCACCTAGAACATTTGTCATTTCTTTGTAGTAGGGACATTTCAAATCTTCTCTTCTAGTTTTTTTGAATATACAATAAATTGTTGTTAACTGTAGTCAAACTACTGTGCTCCCAAACACTGGAACTGATTCATTCTATCTAACTATATGTTTATATGTATTAACCCACCTCTCTTCATCCTCTCCCCATCCCATACCCTTCCCAGGCTCTTATAACTATCATGCTACACTCTAACTCCGTGAGATAACCATTTTTAGTTCCCACATATGAGTAAGAATATAGAATATTTTGGCTTGTTTTACTTAATGTAATGGCCTCTAGTTCCATCCATGTTGCTGCAAATGACAGCATTTCATTCTTTTTTAAATAATTGAACAGTATTCCATTGTGTATGTATACCACATTTTCTTTCTTTCTTCATTCATTGATGAATACTTAGGTTGATTCCGTATCTTGGCTAATGTGAATAGTATTTCAATAAACATGGAGGTGCAGGTATCCCTTTGTTATACTAATTTCCTTTCTTTTGGATAAACACCCATAAGTAGGATTCCTGAATTGCATGGTAGTTCTATTTTTAGTCTTTTGCAAAATCTCCATACTGTTTTCCATAATGGTTGTAGTAATTTACATTCTCTCCAACAGTGTATAAGAGCTCCCTTTTCTCTGCATCCTTGCCAGCATTTGTTATTTATTTACTTATTTTTATAACAGCCATTCTAACAAGGGTAAAACAATATCTCATTGTTGTTTTGATTTGCATTGCTCTGATGACTAGTGATTTGAACATTTTTTATATACTTCTTGGCCATTTCTATGTCTTCTTTTGAGAAAGGTCTATTCAGATTGCTTGCCCACTTTTTGATGGGATTATTTGTTTGTTCATTTTTAGTTTGTGTGTTTTTTCTTTTTTTTTTTTTGCTGTTGAGTTTCTTTTATATTCTGCATAATAGTCCTTGTTAGATTAACAGTTTGCAAATACTTTCTCCCATTCAACAGATTGTCTCTGTTGATTGTTTTGTTTGCTATGCAGGAGCTTTTTAGTTTAATATAGTCCTATTTGTGTATTTTTGTTTTTGTTGCCTGTGCTTTTGAGGTATTAGCCATAAAAAACTTGCCTACACCAATGTTCTGGAACATTTATCTTATGCTTTCTTCTAGAAGTTCTATAATTTCCGGATTTAGGTTTAAGTCTTTAATGTACTTTGAGTTGATTTTTATACACAGTGAGAGATAGGAGTCTAGTTTCATTCTTCTGCATATGAATACTTGGATTTATCAGCACCATTTATTGGAGAGGGTGTCTTTCCCCTAAGGTTTGTCCTCAACATCTTTGTCAAAAATCACTAGGCTATAAATAAATGAATTTATTTTAGGGTTTTTTTTATTCTGTTCCATTAGCCTATGTGTTTGTTTTCATATCAATATCATTTTGCTTTGGTTACGATAACTTTGTAATGTATTTTGAAGGCAAGTAGTGTGATGCCTGCAGCTCTGTTCTTTTTGCTCAAGATTGCATTCACTATTTGGGCTCTTTTTTACTTCCATACAAATTTTTGGATTCTTTTTCTATTTCTGTGAAGAATATTATTGGTAATTTGATAAGAATTGCTTTGAATCTGTAGATTGGGTAGTATGGTCAAAACAATGTTAATTCTTCTGATACACGAGCATGGGATGTCTTTCCATTTATTTGTGTGCTGTTCAATTTCTTTCACCAGAGATTTGTAGTTTTCCTTGCAGAGGTCTTTTACCCCTTTGGTTAAGTTTACTCCTAGGGTTTTTCAGTGTGTGTGGCAGCTGTTGTAAATGGGATTTCCTTCTTAATTTTTTTCCAGTTAGTTTGTTATGGGTTCATAAAAATGTTATTAATTTTTGTGTGTTGATTTGATATCTTGCAACTTTATTTAATTTGTTTATCAGTTTACAGAGTTTTTTGGTGGAATCTTCAGGTTTTTCTGAATATGAGATCCTGTCATCTGCAAAGAGGGACAACTTGACTTTCTCTTTTCCAATCTGGCTGCTTTTTATTTATATATTTTGCCCAATTGTTGTGTGTAGGACTTCCATTATTATGCTGAATAAGAGTGCTAAAGGTAGGCAACCTTGTCTTGTTCTAGTTCTTAAAGAAAAGACTTTCAGCTTTTCTTCATTCCGTTTGATGTTAATGGTGGGTTTGTCATATTATTATGTTGAGGTATGTTATATTTATACCTAGTTTGTTGAGCGTTTTTATTATCAAGAATGTTTAGTTTCATCAGATACTTTTTCTGTACCTATTGAGATGAGCATTTGGTTTTTATTCTTCATTCTGTGGTCATGATGTATCATGCATATTGATTTGCATATGTTGGACCATCTTTGCATCCCTAGGCTCTTACTTGATCATGGTGTATTACCTTTTTAATGTATAATTGGATTCAGTTTGCCAATATTTTCTTCAGGATGTTTGTGTTGATGTTCATTATCAGGACATTAATCTGTAGTGTTATTTTTTGTGGTGGCTTTGTCTGGTTTTAGTATCAGGGTAATGCTGGTTTTGTAGAATGAATTAGGAAAATAATCCTCCCTCTTCAAATTTTGTGACTAGTTTGAAAATAATTTGTGTTAGTTCTTCTTTATAAGTTTGGTAGAATTCAGCAATAAAGCCATCTCATCCTGAGTTTTTCCTTGCTGAGAGACTTTTTATTACTGATTCAGTCTTATTTATTACTCATTATTGGTCTGTTCAGGTTTTCTGTTACAGCCTGAATCAATCTTGATAAGTTGTATGTGTTTATTGGATACATATAAATATGTATGTACTATTTCACATATAAAGAGAATAGTTATATGCTCTTGCTGAATTGATCCCACTGTTATTGGAGACAAACCTTAGTTGTCTCTTTTGTATTGTTTTTCACTTAAGTCTATTTTATCTGATATAAGTATAGCTACTTCTGCTTACTTTTGGTTTCTGTTTATGCAGAATATCTTTACATCCCTTCACTTTCAGTCTATATGTGTCTTTATAAGTGACATTTCTTGTAGACAGCATATAATTGGGTCATTTTTTAAAATCCATTCAACCAATCTGTATCTTTTAAGTGGGTAATTTAATTTCTTTATATTCAAGGTTATAATTGATAGGTGAGGACTTATTCCTGTCATTTTCTTAATTGTTTTCTAGTTATGTATATCTTTTGTTCCTTTCTTTCTCTCTCATTATTTAGCACTGCCACTTGGTGGTTTTCTGCAGGCGTAATATTTTAGTTCTTTTTCTTTCTCATTTTTGTGACTGCTCTAACAGTAAGTTTTATACTTTCATGTGCTTTCATGATGATAGATATTGTTTTTTCACTTCCAGATGTAGGCTTTCCTTAAGCATTTCTTGTAAGTCTGGTTTAGTGGTGATGAATTCTCTCAGTTTTTGCTTTCCAAGGAACAACTTTATATCTCCTTCATTTGGCAAGTATAACTTAGCTGTGTAGAGTATTCTTGGTTGAGAGTGGTTTCTTTTTTTCTTTCTTTGAGCATTTTGAATATATCATCTCATTCTTACATGGCCTGTAAAGTTTCTGCTGATAAATTTGCTGTTAGGCTGATGGCGATTTCCTTCCATGTGACTCAATGCTTTTCCCTTGCTCTTTTTACAATACTCTTTGTCTTTGGCTTTTGACAGTTTGGCTACAATGTGCAATGGAAAAGACCTTTTTGGGTTGAATCTATTTGGGGATTTTTGAACTTCCTATATATAGATTTCTAAATCCCTAGCAAAACTTGGGAAGTTTTCAGCTATTGTTTTATTATATAGGTCTGCTATGCCTTTGCCCATCTCCACTCTTTATAGAACACCCAAAATGTGAATATTTGGTTGCTTTATGGTGTCCCATATGTCACATAGGCTTTCTTTATTTTGAAAATATTGTTTTACTTTTTTTTTGTCTGACTGGGTTATTTCAAAAGACCTATTATGAAGTTCTGAAATTCTCTCTGCTTGAGCTAGTCTATTGTTAAAGCTCTTTGTTATATTTCTTATTTCATTCACTGAATTCTTTTGTTCCAGAATTTTTGTTTGTTCCTTTTTTATTATTTTTGTCTCTTTTTTTACTCTCTTATTTAGATCCTGAATTGTTTTTATGATTTTTTGTGCTGTTTGCTTGTGTTCTCTTGTATCTCACTGAGTTTTTTTCATATCATTATTTTAAAAAGTTATCTCATATATTTTCTTTTCTTTGGAATGAAATTCGTGGCTGGAGAGTTTTGTGTTCTCTTGAAGATTCATATTTCTTTGCTTTTTATATTTCTTATGTCTTTACACAAAATATATATGCTATTAGTGTAATAGTCACTTCTTCCAATTTTTTTGGATAGGCTTTCATAGAGGAAGACTTTTTCCTACAGATACATCTATAGTGTGGGTGGGTATACAACTTCAGCATTCTTTCTAGGCAAATACAGCAGTGATTTCTTGTGATTCCTTTAGCTGTAATCAGCATCAATGATTTCTGTAATTTCCTCAGTGGCTTAAGCTACAGTTGTTAGTTCAGGCAGTGGTGAGGCTTTGCTAGGGACAAGGATACTGGGTGAATTAAACCTCAGCTTCCAGTGTGGTAGTGGTGGACCAACCATGGCTGTCTTTGGGCTCCTGGGTAGCCTATGTGGGCACTGGATTTAGCAGGCTCAGGTGAACTGATGCTTGGGCTCCCAGGTGACTTCCTTGGGTGCCAGCAGTGGCAGCAGAGGGCCGAGTGGATAGGCAGGTTTTGGGGCCCCTGGCAGTGCGCCTACAATCAATGATGAAAGTAGCAGAGAAGAAGCAACACTCAGGCTCCCAGGAGGCTCACACTGGTGCTAGCAGTGGCAGTGACAAGGTGGGCAAGCCAATCCCTAAGTCCCCCAGTGGCTTGTGTGAATGGGTTCCAGCAGTGGTGGTGGTGCCATGCAATTCAGGCTTGTCCTCAGGCTCTATGATGGTGTTCACAGGAGTAGAATGTTATGGGTGGGCAGGGCGATCCTCAGGACTCTGGATAAGGTGCTTGGGCACTGATGACAGGCATTTTGGGCCTGTTTTGCAGCTCCCTGATGGTGTTCATGTGCACCAGTAGAAGCAGGCAGAGCAGCTCAATCCCCAGGTCCCCACCTCGCATGCTTGGGTCCTGGTGGGTCTTTTGTCAGGCCATCTGATGTTTTGCTGGTGTGTTTCAGGCATAGACAGGGTGGCATGATTCCCAAGGACCTGGGCAGTGTAGTTGGGCACTAGAGGTGTAGCACTAGATAGGGCAGAACTGTCCTCAGGGTCCCCAGTGGTACTTAGGAGTACAAGCTGTGATGGGCAGGATGCAGTGATTCCCAGCCCCACGGATATGTTTGGGTGCTATGTGGCAGGCAGGCTAAGTCTTTTGTCAGGCTTCCTCTTGGTGCACATGCATGGCTGGGTGGCAGACGAGGCAGGGTGATTCCCAGGGTCCCAGACGTTAGGCTTGAGCACGGGGTGGAGGGGCAGTGCAAACCAGAGCAGGCCTGTCCTCAGACCCCCCAGTGGTACACACAGATGCAGTAGGCTGTGGTAGATGGGCCTAACCTATGTGATTTAAGTAATTTCTTTTTCTTTTCTTTCTCTTTCTTTCTTTCCTTCTTTCTTTCTTTCTTTCTTTCTTTTCTTTTCTTTCTTCTTTCTCTTTCTTTCTTTCTCTTTCTCTCTCTTCTTTCTTTCTTTTCCTTTCTTTCTCTTTTCTTTCCTTCTTTCTCTCTTTCTCTCTCCTTCCTTCCTTCTTCCTTCCTTCCCTCCCTCCCTCTCTCCTTTCTTTCTTTCTTTCTCTTTCCTTTCTTTCCTTTCTCTCTTTCTCTCTCTCTCTTTCTTTCTTTCTTTCTGACACAGTCTCACTCTGTCACCCAGGCTGAAGTGCAGTGGCATGATCTTGGCTCACCGCAACCCCAGCCTCCCAAGTTATAATCAATTCTCCTGCCTCAGCCTCCAGAGTAGCTGGGATTACAGGCACGCACCACCACGCCTATCTAATTTCGAATTTTTAGTGGAGACAGGTCTTCACCATGTTGGTCAGGTTCACTCCTCATCTCCAGTGATCAGCCCACCTTGGCCTCTCAAAGTGCTGGGATTACAGGCATGAGCTGCCACACCCAGCCTAAGTAATTTCTTATCTCAAAAATCTTACTCTAAGTCTTTCTGTCTAATTTAACTTAAAAATAATTCTTATTAGCTTCTATGTAAAACAATAAAATTTACTGTACTTAAAAGCTTTTGCTGAATAATCATTGCATTGTCAGTAGTAAACCATAAATGCCTCCTGAGTAAATACTAGTCTTTTTTAAAAATTCTGTTTCGGCCAATTGCTTACAGGATGGTCAAATTTTATATGTTTGATTTAAATGAAACAATTTTTTTATTATTTAATTGACGGTTGTCAAGGAATGTTAGAATTGAGTGCTGAAAACATATTCTTAAAAAAAAAAGAAATTCTACAGTAATTAAAAATTTTACTTGGAAGTAGTTATATATTTTAAAATCAAATTAAGAAGGTGGTATTTACCTCTTTTTTCATCACCCACATTGATTAGAATGATCTTCTTATCTACTTGAGAGTCTTGTTTTTCTCTCTGGGACTCTCCTAGTAGAGACGATGCATTCCTTTTATTAGAGTACAAAAATAGTTTTACAAAATTAAATCCTTTTAATTAAAATTCTAAAATAATCCTTTTCAAAAAACTTCTATATTTTAAAAAAGTTCTAACTAATCTCATGACAATTTATATTAATTTGTTCATTTTTTTTGAGATGGAGTCTTCACTCTGTCACCCAGGCTGGAGTGCAGTGGCACAATCTCGTCTCACTGCAACCTCTGCCTCCTGGATTCAAGCAATTCTCCTGCCTCAGCCTCCTGATTAGCTGGGACAACATGTGCATGCCACCATGCCCAGCTAATTTTTGTATTTTTAGTAGAGATGAGGTTTCACCATGTTGGCCAGGCTGGTCTCAAATGCCTGACCTCTAGTGATCAACCCGCCCCGGCCTCCCAAAATGCTGGGATTACAGGCGTGAGCTACCTCGCCCGGCCCAATTTATATTAATTTGTTCATTAAACATTTGATTGTAAATTGAAATAGTCTTGTACTCAGAGTAAAAATAAAACTATTAATTACCAGTGAGAAAAAGGCTAAGTCATAATATATACAGTTTTAAGTAATAGATTACATTCATTAGCAGTAAAACTGCATTGTATATATTGCTGGGGAAGAAGAGTCTTTTTTCTTCTCAGTGAAGTTAAGGATTTCACTTAGCAAACCTGAACGAATTGATTACTTCCAGCAAATTTGTTACAGCCTAAGACTTCAAATATTAAAATTCCTTCCAACTTTTAAGACTTACTTTGAGCAAAGAAATAGATAAAGTGCATTTCTCTTTTACATAACTCTACTCCTCCACTTATAAAATCACAGAACCATGTGGGAGGATAGAAAGGAACATATCATAACTTTGAGCTATCTCACACACAGTAAAAAAGTGTGTTCTGTTAATAAATCATTCAATTAGAGTTTCTTGAATGACTTTAATTTCTTTTTTAATCTCCTTCATAGTGCTTCACCTAATATTCTATAATTAACTTTGGTTTACATCTTCAGTAAATAGCTAATGACCACAAAAATAGCACACCATACAAACCTGCATTTGGTCTTAATTCAATAATTCTGTGCTAGAACAAATGTCCTCATATGTAGATACTCTGTATATACCTTCACTTGAGAGTGAAATCCCAAAGAAAGACCTTGTGCTAAATAAAGTTTGTTTATTATGATTAAAAGCTACTTGTAAAAATGACAGCATATTTCAGCCCCAAGTTTTTTAAAAAGCTGAATTGCACAAGCATCATTAACTAATAAACTTGGTCAAAGGAATCTCGAAGCTGTTGCAAGAGTGTTCCAAGAAGACATGGCAAATTACATGTGAAAGTAGGTACATAATTTAATATTATTGTAGATGTATAATACCAAAATGCAGCTGTCACATTATTTTTGTTACCCAAAAGCACTGTCTATTTTTCAAAGCTAAGAATTATTAAATCTTCCTAATTTTCAATTGATAAAAGTTTAAATGACCCAATGCTCCATTTTTCTTAAATAAAGTGATTAGTTAGAGAATTTTTGAATTACATATTTCTTCAAATTAGCTGAAATCACCTTAATAAGACAAAACATTACTCATTTATTGTTTTTTATTTGTAAAGTCTGTAGTAGGATGTTTCTCCTCTGGAGATTTTGTGGGAAAAAACAATAATAAAACCTTAGGATAGAATGAAGTCTGCATATTTGATCTCCTGGTATAATTACTAAATTTTATAAATTTCACATACCATACCCCCCACAAAAAGAGCTCCTTGGGGCTCAGTATATATTTTTTGTGAAAGAAAGAAAGTTACAGTTTCACCATTGTTATCTTTTTTTTTTTTACCGACTTTCTTAGTAACTTCATTTATATAGTTATGTTACTACTTGTCTTTTGTGACTGTGTTACTTAGTAGGGAGAGCGTTGCAAACTTGAGAGTTGTTATAAAACTTTTTTCCAGATTAAAAAAAAACCTCTTTGCAGAATGTTCCATTTTTTGAATTTTAAGAAATGCATATGTACTATATGTACGAAGAAAAATAACCATATTTGAGTGAGGAGGCATTAGGGATAGTTGCCTTTTTATAGGCTTGTGGGAAGTCTTAAGAAAAATAGGGCATTTGAATAGAAAGTTTCAGATCTCCTTGGTCCAAATCCCTCTTGAGTATTAGCTGTTGGTATCAATTTATGTCCCATACAGGATTTTTGTTCAAAAGCTTGACTCTCCTCTACTAACCACCTCATGCCTAAAAGCCCTAGTTTTAGGATTGAACCTATTCTTGTCTCTTCAAAAGTCATAAAGTTTGACTTTTCCTATTGGTAGCTCACTTGAAGACAAAATAACAATAAACTCAAGAAGCACTGGTTTAGTGAAACAACGTATCACTGACCTTTATCTATGCTGAGTCAGCTCCAAATACCACTTTGAGCACAAAATCCAGGGCTATTTTATTAGTTGCAAAGACCAGTTTACTCAAATTAAGGATATGGCAGATTTAACATTGTAGAAATTTTGAAGGGGCACATACCAAATGTGTGTACATGTGCCAAGTGTGCACATACACATAACTAGCTGAAAAATACTCTGAACAGTACTACAGTACTAATATTATTTTAATATTTTGTTATATTCACCTTACATTTCTGACTTAGTTATCCCAAAGATTTTAAGTCCAGCTTAGTTACTGAATTTTCTTAAAGAAATACCTTCAGAAGCTGTCAGCAATCCTGGTTTTCAATATTTACAAAATCAAATAGAAATCGTTTATTTTCTATACATGAGTTTAATATTTCACAATACACCTCTGTGACTACTTCTTACATGTAAGAATAAAGAACATTTTAGCTTAATTCAAATTATATAAAACAAGCGTAAGTATTTATTCCAATGAAAGAGCATCGCTTTTAAATGTGGGTTTCCAAGGAGCGGCTAGGGCAATGAGAATCAATATTCATAGTTTGAATGTTATCTAGGATGCTTACTTGCTCATAAGACAAATTTGAGTACTTATCACTTTTTGGTGTTAAGGTCATTAATCTCTCTTTATATAAACATATTGCCTCAGAAATACTTTAAAATAACATGAGCTATTTAGGAATAGGAAATAAGGGTAATTATGGTGCTAGAATTCAGCCTCTTAGTGTTCATCTTAAATGACAAGTATACTCATAATAGTTCCTAAGATAGTAACTAGCAGATAGATAGAATCAAATATGTGTAGAGAGAATAAATAATTAATATACAGAAAGTTTGATTTCCTAGGATATGGGAAGAAAAAGCCTAAACTTTTTATTGTATCACAGACATTCAGTTCATTTAACAGCTGAAGTTTTATAGATGATTATTAAATAAAACATAGGTAGTGCTCATATTTGGAATGTTACCAGACTGAGAAAAACACCTGGTGTGTACAACCTTAAATGGATAATTCCTGTGCTCATGTTATAAGCATTGTAATTCCCAGTGTGGCCTTTTCTTAGAGCACAACCCTTCTCTCCACACTACCCACCTTATGGTCCGTGCCTTTCATTTCTCTTTCTCTTGGTATGGTAACCTTTCTTCTTACCCTTTTTGATATCTAGAACTCTCAAATAAAAATTCATTTTTTACTGCACTTACTTATTAAATTCCCACCCTTCTTTCTATTATTTAATGCTTTTTCTCTCTTTTCTTTTTCATTTTCTCTACATAGCACCATTTAACAAATTTATCACGTAGGCCACAGAAGAGTTTTAAATTTTCTACTAGCCACACTAAGAAAATATGCAAAGAAACACATGGAAATAAATTCTAATACTACAGTTTCTTTAACTCAATATACCTCAAATATTATCATTTTAACATGTAATCAAAATAAAGAAAATCATTGAGATGTTTCACATTATTTAATATGACAAGTCTTGAAAATCTAGTGTGTATTTTACATTTATAGCATATCTTAATTAAAAGTAGCCTCATTGCAAGTGATTAGTAGCTGCTTGTATTCACTAACCGCTATACTAGACAGCATAGCTCTATATCATTAAACACAAACTGATCAAAATTGTGGTCTTGCCACGTATAATGGTAAAACGAGTAGTTCACAGCTCTTAGAAAGTGTGACGGTTATTAGAAACTCTAACGTCCTTTAAAAAACAGCAGAGATTTAATCTTAACTGATAATTCTACTACAATATTATATTATGAAAATAATTTGACCTAGAATTCTGGAACTAACAATAAGCCAGCATTCAAGGACAATGTAAAAATAGACATTCTCAGAAATAAAAACATTTTATGTCCATAAATTATCTCTCTAAAAAATTATGTGAAGATGTACTTCAACAAAATAAACAATGAAGCCCTATGGAATATAGATCAATGGTTAACATAATTACTTAAAAAGCTCTAAAATATAGTAAAAAAAAAAGAAAATAAATTAGTAGAGGCTCCTTTATCTATCTCTGCTTGCTTGACTTGCTGTATTAACACTCTTTATTTCCTTTACAAAACAGAATGATTAAGGCCCAGAATTCATTGTTTGTTCTAGAAGAGTAGTTATCAAACATTTTGGTCTCAGAATCCTTTAAACTCACAAATTGTTGAGTACCCCAAAAAGAATTTGTGTGGACTTTGTCTATCAATATTTACCATGTTGGAAATTATAATTGAGAAATTTTTTAAATATGCATTTATTATTTGAATTAAAAATGATAAACTTATTACACGTAAATACACATAAAATATTTTTATTATAAATACTATATATTGCAAAACAAAAATAATTTGTGAGGAATGTAGCACTGTTATGTGTTTAGAAATCTTTTAAATGTCTGGTTTAATTAAGACCATTGACTGCTCTTCCATTCAGTCTGTTGCACTATGATGATTGAGTGGAAGTATATAAAGAAAATTTGGCCTCACACAAATATGGTTTGTGGAAAAGATAAATATCTTAGTAGTCTTTTCAGATAATTGTGAACATCTTTCTTTGATACTACACCAAAATCAACAAGTAATAGTCTTTTAAAATTTAGATACAATGTGGAATATAAAAAAAAATCAATACTTTTCACACTAGGCTATTTAGAGTCCATTGGTCTGTCTTGCCCTATTGATAAATCTTTTTTTACCCATGCAAGATTTGAAGCATCATGGATTGTCATTTAGACAAATATGTCCATTGGATTCTGCAGATCTTCCAAATGTTGCCATACTTTACCATAAAATATCAAAAAGTTCATTTTTTAATATTAGCATTTTTCTCATGAGAAAAGTCTATAAGTATTGGTTAGCCAGCAAGCTCATAGTGGAAAATATAAATTTTACAAAATCCTTATTTCTGAAGTTGTTTTCCTTAAAAGTGACAAGCTTAGCTTGTTCATTTTTGACTGCCAAACACCTGTCTGAATAACCACAGTTTGCCTGTAATTCTCTCATGTAATAAAATTGTTTCATGAAAAAAGTTACTTCTTTATTTTGCCACTCAAGCAAGTACAAGAGGGCTTTTCCTGAAGACAACTTCTATATTATAGTATGCAGAAGTGCTTTAACTGTTTTTCCTATATGTTCATATAGAAAATTAAAGACACATGTATTTAAGGATTTAGATTTAACAAAATTAATAATTTTTACCATTTTATCAAGGATATTTTTAAGTGACACTGATTTTTATTTCCTACAAGTGCATGTACACCCTGGAAGTGTCTCTTGTAGCTCCAGGGTTTTGTAGACAACATTTTGATAACTACTTCTCTAGCATAATAGTTTACTATAAAGTATATTATGCCCACGCACTTTTGCTTCTGTAAGTTGAGTTGTAAACGTACCTAGAGTCAGTTGTGTTTATTCCTGAACCTTTTTATGCCAGTTCTATTGTTATTTTATTTAGGTAAGTAAATGAAGTATTTACAGAGTGATGAAGTATGAGTGAAGAAAGAAAGTCAGTGTTTCTATGAAAATGAAGTTGAAATTTTTAAAAGATAATTAATAAAGGAGAGCCATTAAAATCTATTGTTGCTGAATTCAATGTAGAGGAAACAACTTAGACTAGAAAAATAATTATAAAAATCTAAAATGATTTTCCATTCAAGTTTTTCTTTGACTCTAAGAATTTGCTACACATTTAAGAAAGTACAATAGGCAATTAAAGATAATTACTTATAGATTTGTTTTATATCAGAAAGATGACACAAAATTGTTATCAACTGACCCTTCATCCAATAGCAAAGACTTGATGCTAATATCAGAACTTTGGCTAGTGAGAGGCTACGTAGTTACGTTTAGTTTAAAAATAAACTATTTTTAAGAAATCTGTCTTCTTTATAATTCCCAACTTTAACTTTTTTAATCAACTAATCTACTACTTTTTATATTTCATCAAGTAAGTGATAAAAGAATCTGGAGCTAATATTTGAAGTGATCTCTACTTGAGCAGTTGTAAGGTTCTAAGAGAGAACTGAATTGAAGTCATATAAAGCTCTAAATTTTATTTGAGTGTCTGTCACATAGTAATTAAATTGAGATTGCAATAGAAAAGCTTTAAGATATGTTTCCTTTTCTTTAAAAAAGGTGACCACCAGAAAGTAAAAATATGTTTATGAATGTCAAGGCTCTAAAGATAAATAGAGAAAGAAGAGACTCAAAAATGGCTCAAATAAACCCAACAAATGAAAGGAAATAATTCTAAAAGAAACAATATAGTTAATATAAACCAAAAATAATATAGCAGAAGGCATTACTATAACTTGGATAGCTGAGACTTCTCTGATTAAAAGTCAAAGACTCAAAAATGAATTAAAAGGAATTTATAGGCTAGAGACATGACTAAAATAAGATAGTCTCATTCATAACAGAAATACGTGTGTTACCTATTTATTTCAGCCCTCAAAGAAAGTATAATAAGCTCTTGGTAATTGTTTTTCCAGAAAAAGGGAAAGGGAAGAATTTTTCTTATCTCTTTTATTTTGTAGAGTTGAGTAAAATTTGGATGTATCCCATGAGAATATATTCCTATAATGTAATTTGAAAAAAATCATAGAGGAAAAAGACTGTTTCAACATCTGTTATTACCCCAAATCTGATAATTATGGTGCCAGATTCCACCATATACACACACATACAGACACACACACACACACGAGGACATACACAATGAAGCAAAGGTAAGGAAAGAACTAAGACCTAGTTTTTGAAAGCAGTAAAATTGGCAGATGTAGCAAATAAAAATATAGAATATCCAGTTTTATTTCAAAGTCATAAATATTTTTAGTATATGTTTCATGTAGTATTTTATATGTAGTTATATGAAAGGTGTATATATATACACACTCATATACACACACACCTAAACAGTATTAAGGTATTATATCTATGTATCTATCTATATCTATATATCTCTATCTATATAGATAGACACACACATATATACACCTATATGGTATAAAGGGGTGTGTGTGTGTGTGTGTGTGCATGAAAATACACAAAGAAACAGGTGAAAATAAATTTTAATACTACAGTATATGTGTACATACATGTATACACACACGTTTAGTGTAAATATGTATCAAATACTACATGAAATATATACTAAAAATATTCACTCATTGTTTCTCTGTAATTTATAGATACTAGATGTATTAGTCAGGGTTCTCTAGAGAGACAGAACTAATAGGACAGATGTGTATATATAAAGGGGAGTTTATTAAGGAGTATTGACTTACACTGTCACAAGGTGAGATCTCACAATAGGCCATCTGCAAGCTAAAGAGCAAGAAAGCCAGTCCGAGTCCCAAAAACCTCAAAAGTAGGGAAGCCGACAATGCAGCCTTCAGTCTGTGGATGAAAGTCCAAGAGTCCCAAAGCTGAAGAACTTGGAATCTGATGTTTGAGAGCAGGAAGCATCCAGCATGGGAGAAAGATGTAGGCTGCGAGGCTAAGCCAGTCTAGTCCTTCCACGTTTCTCTGCCTGCTTTTATTCTAGCCATGCTGGCAGCTGTTTAGATTGTGCCCACCCAGATTAAGGATGAGTCTGCCTTGCCCAATCCACAGACTCAAATGTTAATCATTTGGCAACACACTCACAAACACACCCAGGAACAATGCTTTGCATCCTCCGATCCAATCAAGTTGACACTCAATATTAACCAACACACTAGACATCAAGTATATTATCTGGCAATTCTAGGAAGAAGTATACACGCAGGTGGATAAAATAAAGAAGGTCAGTTTAAGTAAGCACGCAGTAGCCATGTATGAGGCTGAAGTCATTGCACTGGTGTCCAGAGTGCAGTATCAAGACTTCAACATACAGAGAAAAGGAATCTTTGAAAGCAAGATGGGTCACTATTCTTAAGTCACCTCCCATAGCAGGAACAGGGAAACAGAGCTCTTAGCATGGAAAAAAGAGTTGAGTAGAGGGAGATGAAAGGACAGGAACTTGATTACATGTGATAGATTGTGAGGCTGGCCCTTGAAGCAAACCTTTGGGAAGGAGGAAGGAGAAATCAGTAGTTCCAAGAACAAGTGAAGAAAAGCAGTGGCCATGACTTTTGTCTAGATTGGCTGTGAAAACAACTCAGCGAACAGTGTAAGAGCCCTATGGATACCCCAGGGACAAGAATCTAGATTAGACTAACAGTTGGGATAGGAATAGGCACTGAACATATGTCATGAACATACTAACATTCACCATTTTGGCTAGCAGATAGGTACTAAGTTTTTTAAGTATTAAAAACAACGTTAAAATAGAAACATTTAAAAAGAATTTACTATATAGTATAGTAAATTCTATATAATTATTCTACATAATTCTATACATTTTTGTTAATTCATTTTACAGATTAATGGTCTATTTGTCTGGCATTGTTGGCAACAAGCTATGCCAACTATTTACTGAATTTTCCATATAAGTAAAATTATCATCTTAAGGATTACAAGTATCTAATATACTTTTTTCCTCCTGAAATCCTTCATATTTAAGGTCCTTTAAACAATGTGCATTAACATAACTCATCCTTTTCTCAATGACTAAAAGTCACCAGAGATACCAAAATTTAAAGCTGTAAAGGGACTTATATAGTAGAAGCCCTTCATTTCACAGAAGAATCAAATTGTATTTATAAGAAAAATGTTGCAAAATAGTAATTCATTGTGCTCTTCAGTTAATTTGTGCTTGATAAATATTTATAGGCAAAAAAAGAAAGAGAAAGGAAGGAAGACAAAGAAATATAACAGTGCCAGTAGAAATTTCTGAAATAGGTATAATTCTTTTGTTTATTCTGCTTGCTAACCCTTTGATGTAGACATTACTATTCCAACTCTAAAAGAGAAAATATTGGGTTTCAGATAGTTTTAGTTTAATTGGCCTTCCTAAGGTCATCGAGCTAGTAAATCTGTCTCTAAAGCTCGTGACATTTTCACCACATCCCAATGCTTTCTTGAGACAAGGTCTCCACACAGACATAATGGCATCAGTTAGACCACCCAGAAGCATGCTGTCATCAGCTTTGAACCCTGAGATGGCTGGGTAAAACTAACTTAGAATATGCAAAGTCTTATTTGTTAAAATTTATTGTGATAATTCTAAAGGTGTCTAATCATTTAATCATTTTCTAACTTATTAATGCACATAAAAATTTCACATTTCATCATTTATATCTATATATCTATATTTCCTGTCATATTATTCATTTATACACAAAAATATGTAATGCATATATATTCACACACACACACACACACACACACGCACACACACGCACACACTCAGTTTTTACCAAACTAAGTTCCAAAAATAAAAGAAAATGAAGTCAGAGAGGAAAACATGTATTTGGGAATATTATGGGAGGATATGATTGTGTTCATTTTTTCCTCCTTCAGCGACCACTGTTTGGGGAGCCACAAAATGTTTCAAAAAGATAAATCTGTTATTCAGCTCCACCTGCAGAAAAGTAGGGAAGCTCCAGGAAAGCTATCTCGAAAGGTAAGACTTTCTTAGCATTGGTTTCAATTGGCAAACTGACAGTTTTAAGGACAATATTTCTAATTTTTGAACTATTGCCAACTTGGAATTATATAGCTTAATTAATACATGTTTATTTAAATATATTCATTGAAACATGATGAAATATCTTATCTAAATATAAATACCTGTTAATGATTTGAACTGATGCAATAACATGAACACATTACTGCAATCTTAGTGTTATGGACTGAATGTCTGTGTCCCCCCAAAATTCATAAGTTGAGGCCCTGGGTGATAGTATTAGGAAGTGAGGTCTTTGGGAGGTATTTAGGTTTAGATGAGGTCATAAAAGCAGAGCCCTTATGATGAGGTGGTAAGTGCCCTTATAAAAAGTGTTTAGAGCGTTCTCTCTGTCTTCTTCTTTCTCCCTCCCTCTCCCTCTCTTTCTATCACTCTCTCTTTCTCTTTCCTCTCACTAGGTTAGGACACAGCAAGAAGGAAGCTGTCTGCACACAGGAAAAGGGCTCTGACCCTGATTATAAACTTTGCAGCCTATAGAACGAAGAGAAATAAATGTATGTTGTTTAAGCCACCCGGTCTCTGGTATTTTGTTATAGCAGCCCAGGCTGACTAATACACTGAGTATAACAAATCTGTTGGTTTCTTTCAAAAATCATCTGTGAGACACTTATTAAGGTTATCGTATTTATACTTTTCACATATCTTCTTAGAAGTAAATGAAATAGAAAATGTAAAGGGGAATCACTGAAGGCAAAAAAATAACTTGTTTTCTGTGAAGACTGTTTATGTCAACACAGCTTAAATTAGGACAGATAAACTTTCATAATATATATAATAAAGCTACCTAGAAAAGGATGACTGTGCTTTGACGATACAGTTTCATGCTGTTAGATGCGAATTTTATTCCCTGTGTCATGTTGTGAGTTACTTCCAATTCAAACTGCACAGTATGCAGTGAACTTTGGTATTATGGCAGTTTTTATCTGTAGAATCTTCAAATTACTTGCTTTAAGCAAAAATCCTCTCACCCTGTCATTTATATTAAGTAACAGATTTCCAGTGGATGTTTTCTTTTTTTTCTAGTATGAAGTGTTTCATCATAAGAAAATTTCAGGTAGTACATTAGGTTGCAACATATCAATGTGGAACATAACATAATGAGGCCAAAAGACAGTTGTTTAGAAATATCTTTTGGATCTTGTGCTCAACTTAGCTGCTGTTGACAGCTCCAAGGCTATACATCTGAAATCTCCAGGAAAAAAAATGTTATAAAGTGCAACTGACCCTGTCAATATTAAACTTAAGATTCTTCAAATTGCCCTCAATGTTGAGAAAAAAAAAGCTGAAATCATCATAGTTCATTGGAGCATGGGGGAAGAAGATAAAATGTATGATTCTAATTTGGATGCTGCTAAAATAATAACTTATCGGTAGTAATTAACAAATCACTAACATTTCAGACTCATGTAAATTAAGGTCTGTTTAAAAACTCTTGTAACTCTATTATTCTGATATAGGGCATACATACATGTCTGAGACTTTAACATTTCTATCACATTTAATCTTTTCAATAATTCTATAAGGTAAACACTATTAAAAATAAGGAAACGGAATCACAGGGAGGTATCAAGACTTTCCCAAGATTAAAATCATGAAACTGACGAGCAGAGAAGTACAGATTTGAGCACAGTCAGTGGGTCTTCAGAGCCCATGCATTCCTACCAACTTAAATGGGAAATATACTCAGAATTTGCAGTATATTCTCAAAGGTTTTGGATGTGTGTTTCAAGGTAATTGGTCAAAAATTCTAGCTTCATGCATCCACGTGTGTGTGTGTGTGTGTGTGTGTGTGTGTAATTTTTTTCCACAGCAATATCCATGTAGCTCAAAGTCTGGGGCATGATCGGTGATTAATAACTAACCATATTATATATGGTTATATATTATATTATGATGGTATATATTAGGTGCCAAGTGATGTTCTTAGTCCTTTAAATGAATTAATTGACAGTAACCCAAGAGCAAAGAAGTAATAAATACAACTATTTTTCTATCCTATAAAAATAAAAGAACTGAAAAGTTAAGAGATTATTTAAATCATCCAAAGTTGCACAGCTAGTAAATAAGGGTGATGAGATCAGAGCAAAACTATGTGGCTACAGATCACACTATATGGTAATGTCAGCAAGCGCAGTTACATAGTGTAGCTGACTCCGTCAATATTAAACTTAAGATTCTTCAAATTACCCTCAATGTTGAGAAAAAAAGGTGAGATAATCATATTGCTGTCATCACCGTTGTTGTCATGTCCAGGGACAAGCATATTGTTATCTCTGGGTGTATAATGTGTAGTTCTCATCAGAAATGCCAGTTTTTTAATATGCCATTTGAATCACAGTGGGAATTAAGTTACATAGTTCTTTTTGATGCTTCATGGTTCAACTTACAAGCTTATCCATCCTACAGTAAATATCACCAATTCTTGGATAATTCAGCAACTCATAGGCAAAGAGTATAAATGCCTTTTCTCATCCACAACTTTTGCTAATATTGATGCTGTTGTTTAAAATGGATAATACTTGAACCCGAGAGGCAGCGGTTGCAGTGAGCTGAGATCGCGCTACTGCACTCCAGCCTGGGTGACAGAGCGAGACTCTGTCTCAAAATAATAATAATAATAATAAAATAATGGATAATACACCTGATGGCAAATGTATTTGTATATTTGTATATCCTCCATTTATGCAATAAGTATTTGCTATGTAACTGCTGTGTATTAGGCCCTACACTAATGCGTAGAGTAGTGAGCAATAGCAATAAGATCTCAGCCCTCAGGGATTCAGGGGATGCAACTGACACTGATTTCCAATTAAAAAGCAGGGGTAACTTCCATGCAGAATATGAAAAAGGCATTCCGTATCCCCATCTCTCTAAGTCTTGATTCTTTTTTTTTTTTTTTTTTTTGAGACGGAGTCTCGCTCTGTTGCCCAGGCTGGAGTGCAGTGGCGTGATCTTGGCTCACTGCAACCTCCGCCTCCCGGGTTCAAGTGATTCTCCTGCCTCAGCCTCCTGAGTAGCTGGGATTGCAGGCACGTGCCACCATGCCTGGCTAATTTTTGTATTTTTAGTAGAGACGGGTTTCACCATGTTGGTTAGGCTGGTCTCAAACTCCTGACCTCGTGATCCACCTGCCTCAGCCCCACAAAGTGCTGGGATTACAGGCATGAGCCACTGTGCCTGGTCCAAGTCTTGATAGTTTCAGGATTTTTTTTTTCGCATTACATTTCAAAGGGGAAGATATTACATTTTATTAAAACTTTAAGGATTTACTTCCAGGAACTGGGATAAGTACTTTATACAGTATATACAATCTAGTAACAATTGATTAATTTAACAAATAAAACTTGTTACATGCCGTTCATAGTACTTGCCTTTTCTAAAATGTAGAGTTCACATCCTAGTTGAGAGACAGACAATAAACAAATATATATAATGAAGTCCTATGGAGATATGTACTCTGAAAGAAAATATGGCCAGCTCTAAAAGTTGAGAGAACCACCTAATGCAGATGGGTAAGAGGGGCTAGTGATAGTGCTTGTTTTTCTGTCTAAATCCTGGAGCACATAGGCCTAGCTCTGATCGTTAGAAACGAGGAATATTAAATTTGTTCATTTGGCCTTCTATAAAAAAGCAAAAATTCTGGTTTCATATTGCTGTATTTCAAATGTTCACTTTTAGGCAAATTGTTAAATCTCTGTTTAATTTCTTCATCAAAAAATGTGAATAATAACAGTTCTTACTTAATGTGGTTATTATGAGAACTCAACTGAGAAATATAAATGAAGAGCTTAAGTCAGTGCCTGCACTTAGTATGACTACCTAAGCAGTAGCTATTGACGTCATAAAATTGGATGTTTCACTGTGTGCTATTTTGGCCCTTTACAATTAAAAATTCTAAAACATTATTAACATTAATTTGCATTAAAACATTTAGAAATTTACTCACTGTGTTGGAAATATTGAGAGAGATGGACATTTGTGTGTTATGTCAAAACAGTATATACACTGCAGTATCATGACTTTTGTTGATATATCAACAATTTTAATATATCACAATTTTTCTTGTAAGCTTTCATACTCATAGAGCAGGATAAATTTTAGTCTTAATTGAAATTTCTATATGTAACAAGAAAGTAAAAGTAAACTGGTTTGGTTTTGAGGTAAGCTTTATAAAATTTTCTTTCTAAGATGTATATGATTTATTGATTAACTTAATATAACTGAAACAGTTTATCAACTTGTGTCTCATCTTCATTATCTGAATTGCCCTATTTTACATAAGTAACCCTTGATTTGTATATTTAATTTTATATATACATCATAAGAAGATAGCAAATGTTCTCTCAGTTTTATTTTTTATAATGGTGTCAAAATTCTCTGTGATTTTCAGGATTTCAGCTGTAAGTAAAACATTTATGAACAATTATAATCTTTCTAATAAAACTGTAAAATTGTCTTGATAGTATTTTTTTCACATAATACTAGGAATATGACTATCATCATTATATTAAATTTATTGATACCATTACCTCGCAGTAGATACTTTAGAGCTTTCTAATTGTGCAAAGCTCAATTCATCTTAGATAATATTTTTATTTTAAACTTGATAATATTATACTGAAATAGTATAATTTAATCCTCATTTCAAGAGAACAAGAAAGTTGTTCTAAAAAAAAAAAAAAGCAGGCCAGGAGCAGTGGCTTAGGCCTCTAATCCCAGCACTTTGGGAGGCCGAGGTGGGCAGATCACCTGAGGTCAGAAGTTTGAGACCAGCCTGGCCAACATAGTGAAACCCCATCTATACAAAAATAGCCAAACCTGGTGTTGTGTACCTATAATCCCAGCTACTCAGGATGCTGAGGCACAAGAATCGCTTGAACCCGGGAGGTGGAGGTTGTAGTGAGCCGAGATCACACCATGGCACTCCAGCCTGAGCGACAGAGCAAGACTCTGTCTCAAAAAAAAATAAATAAATAATAAAAAGCAGGTTGATGATCTTTAGAAATCATCCAAGGTTTCAAAATTTTAAAGCTGCTACCTTGATTAGCTATGAATAACTTAATATTTTTAAATTGGTTTCCCTTTTTGTCTATCTCAAATTTGGTCAAAAGTATGCCAACGTTGTAGAATCATAAAATCAAGATTTTCTTATAGCTCAGGGGAACATTCACGAACATTTACAGCAATAGATTTTTGTATGAGAAAAAAAAATTTTAACTTTTTCCTTTTTCCTTAAGGCCAAGGTATGGCCTCAGCTTTAAGGAAAAGTTAAGTGCACACTATCTTTCATGGACAATTACAGGAATTTTCCTCCAGCTTTTGTTTTTTTTCAAGATCTGTTAATAATTGTGACAAAAAAAGTTTCCAATACATGTATCTTACAAAGTTATTTTTCCTCCAGCCTATGAAGGTATTTAAATTAAAAAATTTTTCTAGCAAAAGGTACTATGACTAATACCGAAAATATTTCTGGAAACCAAATAAATTGGTTTTTAAATGAATATGATTATGCTTCATAGAAAGATGTAACTAAGTATATTCTTTATATTCTTGCTTTGGTTTTAACTTCTGAAAGAAGACAAGTGCCAAATATTACAGTTCAAATCTTACTTATTTTTACTGTTTTTCACTTTCCTATTTTCCCTCTTCTTTTACTGTACTTTTCATGACTACAGTTTAGCTTTCTCTGTCGCAGAAAAAAATTGTCTTGTCACCATCACACTTTTTATTTTAGCTGTCCCAGTGACTCTATATGTAAATTTCTAGAAAGTAAGACTCACATCTTCGTTTCTCAGTCATTCTACATAGTGTTTCTTTTTCACAGCATGTAGTCAAAATATTGTTTTATAACAGTGACCTTATTCTTTCCACCTAACTTAGCTTCCTTCTTCCTCTTCACAAAACAAACCAATATAAAAATTAATTTACCTTTGACATTGGGCCATATGAAGGTTTTCCTTCTGATGTTTTCTGTCCGAATTTCTAATAGTCAGTTTTAAAAATAGATTGTGTGTGTACTGACACACAAGATTACATACACCCTAGGCATTAAGGGACCCACTCAGATCTCAACCTTAATGCCACCGTGTGGTGAAATAGTGCAATTATGTTGAGACATACTGCATTCTCTGCATACTTGCAAAGGGTTTTCATGAATGCCCTGTTGCAGGAGAGCTGGTCAAGAAGTTAAGGTATGCGTGTGTGTGTGCGTGTGTGTGTGAGCACACACATATGGGCCATAGGCATGATATTTTAAGATAAGTAGTTCATGCTTATGTAGGAAGAAAACAAAATGCCAACTCCTAACATTTATACCTACCAGTAATTGTCATTAATTAGCATAATTTAGTGCTCATGGAATGGAAAACTCTCTTACACTGACATTTTGGCGGCAAGATGTGGTGAAGCTGAAAAATGAAGGAGTTGATTATGTGTCTGCCCGCCCATCTGGCAAAATGTCAGGCTTTACACTGCCATGGCACTCATGGCCTAAATGTGAAAACAAAATGTGCATGTATGTGGGAGAACTGGTGGCAAAAAATCTGCCTTCATACTTAGTAGAAGAATTTAATGTTTGACCTTGCTGATGCCACGATGTTTTTCAACTATCTTTCAGGTTTATTCTCAACAAAAGCCAAGCTTTCTGTTTTACTTTTGAAAAGGCTTATATAGTTAAGGAGAGCCTTTTAAGGTCTTTCAGACAGAATATAAAAGCGATGAATGAGGTTTATCAAAATAGGTGAATAAAATGACAGCAGGAAGTTACGGACCTATTTTTATCTGGTACTCATTCCTATTCACTCAATAAATATTAATATATTCTGCTGTCTACAGCATGAAGAGGACCACAGTCAGTTTTATCTGAATCAACTTCTAGAATTTATGCATATTTGGAAAGTATCCAGGTAAGATATTTTATATTTGTTCCAAGACTACTTTCTGATTGAGTTCTCAAATGTCAAATCTCAGTATTTTTCAGTTGATTGTAAAAACTGTCCATTCACTGGGACTGTGGAAGCTATTGTACTTTTAACAGGCAAATTCTGTTAATAATTATCCATTCTTCAAAGTTATTCAGACATATTTGAAGAGCTGCTAACACTTTCCAGAACATTCTAACATTCATTTAAAAAAATCTCTGCTGCTGGTTATTACATTTTCAAGGACTTGTTTTCCCGATTCATTTTGTGATTTTGGGTTTGCATATGTCACTTAAGCTCTTTGTAAAACAATTTTAATACTTCGAAGGTAACCATCTCCTACTTGTTTCTGAAACTCCCTGAAAATAAATGGTATATCATAAATACAGGAGTGTAAATTCAAATTGGAAAACTTGATTGACAACAAATGAACATATCCTACTTCATTCTTATATCTAAATGTATGCATGTATTATTTGGAAGAACAGACTTATTGCGTAGCTAAACTGGGAGTTTGGGTGTATCTGCAGTTAAGGTTGTTGTGAGCTGAACCAGTAGAAAATGTAGTGTGGGAGGTACAGGTCATAAATCTCTAAAGTAAAGGCTGATATAACATATCAGCTAAATTTACGATAGCAAAGACATGGGATCAACCCATATGCCCATCAGTGATTGACTGGATAAAGAAATGGCACATATACACCATGCAGCCATATAAAGGAATGAGATCATGTCTCTTGCGGGACAGAGATGGAGCTAGAAGCCATTATCCTCAACAAACTAACATAGAAACAGAAAACAAAATACCACACATTCTCACTTATAAGTGGGAGCTGAACAATGAGAACACATGGACACAGGGAGGGGAACAACACACACTGGGGCCCATCAGAGTTGGGGAGGGAGAGCATCAGGATAAATAGCTAATGCATGCAGGGCTCAATACCTAGGTGATGGGTTGATAGGTGCAGCAAACCACCATTGCGCACGTTTACCTATGTAACAAACCTGCACATCCTGCACACGTTTCCCAGAACTTAAAATAAAATAAAATTGGCCAAGTGCGGTGGCTCACGCTTGTAATCCCAGCACTTTAGGAGGCCTAGGCGGGCGGATCACAAGGTCAGGAGTTCAAGACCAGCCTGGCCAACACAGTGAAACCCATCTCTATTAAAAATACAAAAATTAGCCGGGCATGGTGGCATGTGCCTGTAGTCTCAGCTACTTGGGAGGCTGAGGCAGGAGAATCACTTGAACCCAGGATGTGGAGGTTGCAGTAAGCTGAGATCACGCCACTGTACTCCAGCTTGGGTAACAGAGTGAGACCTCATCTCAAAAAAAAAAATAATAATTAATTTAAAAATAATAATAAAATAAAATTAAGTTTAAAAATAAATAAAAATGTGAGCTAAAATTGTTTTTAGTGACTATGTTGGGTAATGATTTTGTGAAGTTATTATATATTTACATATATTATCTCATCTAATTCTTTCTAAAACTCTGTGATAGTATATATTATCCTGTTTCAAAACTAAAGAAACTGAAGTTCTGAGAGGCTAAATAATTCACCTAAGGCCATTCTAGTCATCAGTGGCAGGACTAAAATCAGGTCTGCCTGAAATTTACAAAGGACATTTTCTTTCATTAACTATTGTGTTTTTCCATTGCCCTTCTCTGCCACCCTTCCCCCTAAAAACATCCATCTTCACTCCATAAAATCATAGAATGGCTAGGACTAGAAAGGATTTTAGACATAATCTAATACAAATTTTCGTTTTATAGGTAATTACATGATTCCACTATAGATTTCTGTTGTATAACATACAAACAAGGTCTGTAGTTTCCTTTCTCCAAAATAAATCTACCCAGGGGTGGGGGGAACAGAGAGAAAGGGAGAGAAACACACATACACCTCAAATATGGGAAGTTTTTCAAAAAGCAGGATATCCTTGGGACACAAAGGACTTTGCTGGGTTGGTGGAGGGTTGTTGCACCTTTTAAGTCACTGCTACCTGGGGCACAGAGAGGCAAGCCAAGGCTGTGAGAAGAGAGTGAGAGAAGGAGGCTTTCATTCTGTTCTTGTCTTACCCCTGCCATTGCCTGCCCCCTAGCAGATATTTGATGGCCAGTGTGCAGTTGCAGGGGTCCAGAGGGTTAATTCAGGGCAAAGCAAAAGTTCTGCTGTAGCAAGGGTAGAGGAAACATGTCTGGGACAGCCTAGCTTCAGACTTTACTCCTCCATCCCTCCCTCCAATCCCAGGGCAGTGGATTACAGTCTGGGGTGATGCCATCTCCCAGTGCTATTTTGTCTGTGGTAAGGAAACTAAAAACAGAAGTTCAAACACTTGGCAACCATCACACAAATATTTAATCCCATAGCCATGACTAAAACCAAGTATCTAACTCTGAATCAGTGCTTATTCCACTTCCATTATGTTCTGACCCTTCACCCCTTATTTTTCTCAAAGGGTATCTAACACAGAGACATTCTCAGCTTCATAAAGGCCACTGTAGAACTTTACTTTTGGGGATACAATGCTTCCCTGCCTGCCCTCCTCAGAACACCGTATTGGATCACAGAGACATTCTCAGCCTCATAAAGGCCACTGTAGAACTTTACTTTTGGGGATACAATGCTTCCCTGCCTGCCCTCCTCAGAACACCGTATTGGATCATCAAAAAAATCAAGCACTGGATGGCAAGGGCTTTGATTTCAGCCCTTCTCTTTTATGACTCAACTTCCTCTTAGAAGTTGAGCAAATCACTCACCTTCACTACTTCCCAGTGGTTTTTTCTATAAAATAGATACAATATCCAAAAACAAAGTGCTGAAGTGGGTGCATTCTTGGTGGTACTAATAGTTTCAGGTTTTATATAAAGACACTGCCATTGGCCGGGCGCGGTGGCTCACGCCTGTAATCCCAGCACTTTGGGACGCCGAGGTGGGCGGATCATGAGGTCAGGAGATCGAGACCATCCTGGCTAACACGGTGAAACCCCGTCTCTACTAAAAATACAAAACATTAGCCGGGCGTGGTGGCGGGCGCCTGTAGTCCCAGCTACTCCGGATGCTGAGGCAGGAGAATGACGTGAACCCCGGGGGGCGGAGCCTGCAGTGAGCGGAGATCGCGCCACTGCACTCCAGCCTGGGCGACAGCGACACTCCGTCTCAAAAAAAAAAAACCACTGCCATTGCCCAAATCTTTAGTTATTATTTTCCTCCCCTTTCACTGACTTTTACATATTCTATGCATTTTGTCTTTGAACTGACAGAGGGACTCCAACTAAAGTGATAATGTAGAAAAATGAGAATGCAGCTACTGTAAAAATAATGGTGTTTGTTTTAATGTTGCGTTTCTGAGTTGTGTGACTTATGATTCAATTTAAGTCAGGAGTTTTCAAGACAAATAAGAAGGTAAAGTCAATAATGTTTGGGAAAATAATTTTTGAACAGCGAAGCTCAGAAGAATTTCTGCTCAAATTGCATGTCTTCTCCCTAAGCATAGATAAAGCTGGAGCAGTAAGAGAAGCTTAGGAAAGAAAAATGCAGAGGTTTGGTGTCAGAGACAACCCCATCTATTATAAATATAAGCCATTAATTCCAAATGCAATTCTCTACAAGATATGCCATACTTAATATTTCTTGATGTTAATATATGCCATTATCTGCTTATGAATCCCTTTGCAACTTACGGTTTGAATTAAGAGTAGTTTTATATAATGATCAGCCTTTGAGAGGTTTGGTTAATTTATCATGAATTCTTTGGAGTTCTAAGACTTTCAGATATGTTTGTAGTCTATCAAGTTATACAAACTTTATAAGGCACCCTTCTGAGATGTTTTTAAAATTATGTCAACAATAATCCTTTTTATACCATGCCTACGATAGTATCATGGGCAAAACAATTTGTGATAAATGTTTGTGCTAAAGGTAATATAAGTTTTCCCACCCAATTTTAAACAAAGTTTCTATTTTTTATTTTCCAGACAATGTCTCTTAACACTCATCAGAAAATATGACTTCCACCTGAAATACCTATTGAAAACCCAGGTATTGACTTTTGTTACTTTATCCATCAATTCAGTAAGCGTTTTTAACGCATCTACTATTTTTCTAAAACTTTGCAAATTTTGAAGATGACAAAAATGAATAAAACAGAGGATCTACACTTGAAAGGCTTTCATTTCAACCTGGAAAAATAGACAACTAGAAAGGCATATGCAGTAAAGTGCTACAGCTGCTGAGGAAAGACTGTATGTACACAAGATGCATAAGAAAGAATGGTCAGTTTTATCCATTTGAGCTGAATGTTGACAAATGTTGACTGTATGTGTCTCCCAGCCAGAGACGGGCATTGTGAAGGAAGGTGGGGAGTAGAGATAACTTTCGGCAAAGAACAACATGAACAGAGGCACTTTGGGAGTCCGAGGTGTGCAGATCACGAGGTCAAGAGATCGAGACCATCCTGGCCAACATGGTGAAACCCCGTCTCTACTAAAAAATACAAAAATTAGCTGGGCGTGGTAGTGGGTGCCTGTAATCCCAGCTACTTGGGAGGCTGAGGCAGGAGAATAGCTTGAACCCGGGAGGTGGAGGTTGCAGTGAGCCGAGATCGGGCCACTGTACTCCAGCCTGGTGACAGAGCAAGACTCAGTCTCAAAAAAAAAAAAAAAAAAGAGAGAGAGAGAGAAAAGAGTCAGGAACCAGACTGCTGTGATTAGGAAACTATGACATTTGAAATGGCTGCAGTTAGTGTTCAAAGTTAGAGGCTGGAAAAAAAATCAGATGAAAGAAGCAGACAGGGGCCAAATTATGTAGGATCTTATGGACCTTTTATGGCCAGTTTTATGATGTTCTACTTTGTCAGCTGATGACATGGAGCCATTAGGCAGAGTAGTAGAATGACTGATGGATGATTAGAAGGACATTTCATTAGCCCAAAGAGATGATGAGGGCATGGACAAACACTCTACTATAGGGATGATATGAGGGGACAGATTCATAAGAAGTGAAAATGTGCAATTTACATGATTTGGTGAAATTATGTGCCTAGAATAACTCAAAATTCTGGACTGCTGACTGACTCTGTGGAGACATCAATTCACTATAATAGTGAAGAGAGAAGGTAGCATGGCAGAGGGAATGATGGGTTCATTATAAGGCCACTGAAATTTGGTCACCTATTGGGCACTGAAGTTGTGATCTCCATTAGGCAGATTATTTCTTACAGCTTCTTCTTCCAGGGAAGGTTTAGCCTTCCACAGATAACACATCATATTATTACAGAATATTGTGAGTCAGGGAACATTTTTTAAACAAGTGACTTCTTTCTTTCTGTTAAATAATTGATTCCTGATATAAATAAAAGGGTACATAACTCAGATAATAACTATTTGTAATATCAATAAACACTAAATATATCTGAAAATAATAAATTCTACTTATTGATGTAGATACTGAAATCATATGTGACTTCCACATAAATATGTAAAGACATGGAGACTACAAATACAAGACTTAGGTTTCTCCCTAAAGTGTAATCCTCTCACCCTAATTCTATTTTTTCTGCTCCAGCCTGGTCTGAGTCTGGAAGTTTAAAATGTGGAATGTGAAAAGAATCCACAATTAGCTTGTTTTAAGTCTCATAAAAGTGTTTTGGTTAGTACCTCTAATCAGCCTTGTGAGAGTCATTCTTTCTCATGTAGAATGTGAAACTTACCAGGTTACCAGGATATATTAAGACTTAATTCCTAGAGTATTTTTGTCTCTTTACTATGTGTAGAAATACTTTTGAGGTTATGGTAACCTACTTATGAATGAATTTTAGTTATCTAAATGTCTCAGCACTGCTCACATATCATAGACATCTTTTTTCACACACAAATTATTAATAATTTATAACAGTTCTTAATTTCCAAATTCAGAAGTTTGATCTTATTACTTATGTATGAAGCCTCCTATATTTCTAGTTTGAAAGAAATGATTGACTATTGTAAATTTTTCTAATATGACTTAAAAGTTGGCAAAATACCAAAGAAATGCTGTCTTTCCATTATCACTGGCAAACAGCAATCATCACTCGCAGCTAAATTATTTTATAAATAGGTCACAGTGTATGTGATTTTCCAGATGAACTCAATCCAAAACAATGAGTTCTTTAATGAGATTTTTGCCTATGAAACATCAATAGTAAATATCTTAGAAATGAGGACAGACTATGATATTATCAGTTCACAATTTTGCGCTTTCTATTCATTTGACAAGTACATTAAGTAGCATTTCATCATGTCCAAAACAGTGTCAATTGGAAAAATAATGTTTTTTTCATATTTCCCAAACTTGGATTATTACACATGATTTGAAAAAACAACAAGCATGCAGCTGAATAAGTCAGACATGAATATTATTGAATAATATGAATATTTTAAAGTACCAAATATTTTCTTTCTTGACAATTATTATTTCAACATATTTTAGATGATAACAATTTTAGGCCAGGCATTCTGGCTATTATGTCAAATGGCTAGTTTTGTATCTAATTTACAAAGAGCTTTTTCACTGGACATTTTTTCCTCTCTTCTATTCCATTAAAACCCTGAACTATAGAGAATATTTTTGAATTCATTCTGTATTCTTAATTTTATAGAAATTGAATAATATGAATTCAATAGGAATTTCAGAAATATTAAGAATGGAAAAAAGAGAATCCTCCCCCCCAAGGTATCACTGAATGCTTACTTCATGCAAATTATGAAACTGTTTACTCACTGAAACCAAGAGAAATGGGAGTTCAAACCATACTCTGAAGTTGTCGATGATCTAGTTGGAGAGACAGCATATCCACATAAATAATATACACAATGGTGTCTATACAGAGCAAAGCAGTATAAAACTAAATCGTAGCCTTGGAGAAAGAATCAACTTCTGATTTAAAATCACTTCTTCCTAGTAGTCTCTAATATGTTGTCTCCAAAATTCTTTATTAAAATGCCAGTGAGGATCATGGTAGGAAGTCCCTACCATGAATGACAAATTTACACTAGAATCTAGTAATTGTTGAATTTATTGTAAATTAGATGAACCAGGGTTGAGGAAAAATCAATTCATGCTTCAAAATGTGGTTTAGCTTCATGAAACATCGATCTGGTCAGAAAATAACTGAGAACCCCTAAGTCCTTCTACCATCTAGCCCATGACTCAGAGGCTATACCAAGTAGATAACCAGGAGAATATGACATCTCTAGTGTTCAGGTTTAAGTAATTCAGTGAGGAGGGCAAAATAATCTTATTTAACACTTGCTCAAGACCAAAATCTAACTGTATTCATCTAGAGAGAGAAAGAAAATTCCATATATGAGTAGAAAGAAAGAGGACACATAGGGATTTTATATTTAGCTTCTTTTAAACTGAAGCTCTCTTGGTTACAAGCAAATCTATTGTTAGACTTTCAGAAGTTCCAATTTCAAACATAACTTAAGCCTAATGGTAGTCTAAAACAAAATTTAGGAGCAGAGATTCCAAAGTCAGATAAATGTATAAGTCAACCCTCCACCACTATGGAAGTTTTGTATTCGACCTTCCTCAGATTTATATGATTCATCACTAGAGTGAGGATAATAAATATAATATAATGATGTTTTAAATAATTAATGAAACAATGGATATAATGGGCTTAGTATAATATAGTGATGGAAGATAAAACATTTTTAAGAAAAGGTGAGTACCCGTGTTACTTTACTGCTACCGTTTCTATCACTATTATTCAAGTTGAGGATTGTATAGAATCCAGAAGAAAATTTTCACAAAATTGATTTGCATTCAGAATAGAACATAAGTAAAGGTGGGAAATGAGCAAAAAAAGTGTAAGAAAATTGGATAAAATTAAGAGGTAACAAGGAGCAGTTGCAAGGTTGCAAAAGAAGTCAAGGAAATAAAGGCAATAATTATTTATTATTATACAGCACAGGAAAATGAAGCACAACTGCAGAATTGAAACTGACCTTAAAAGAAATAAAGGGCAGATTGTACTAAAAGTCAAAGCTATCATGTATAGAACACTCTCAGACTTGAAGAAGTATAAAAAAATTAAAAGTAGATTATCAAAATAGAAGATAATCACTAGCCAACATAATCTGTGTTGCTAATGAGATGGAGAAAACTAGAGGGTTTTGTGCGAAGGAATAACATGATCTGACATTCTACTAGTGATTTATGTACTAAATTATATAATACATGAAGAACACACAATTAAAGAATAATAATAGAAAACCCACTCTTATTAATAAATTAAGGAACAAAATATTTTTGGTATCACACACCTGTTTGCCACTTCATGTCTCCTCTCCTCTATGTAAAAGGTCCTATTTGATGAAAAGGATTTTGTAGACTTTCTTTATCATTTCATCACCAAAGTTTGCATCTACTAGCAATATAAGGTGTTGATTTTCTTTCTAAGGTCTCCATGAATGGAATCAAACTATATGCACTTTTTGAGCCCTGTATCTTTCACTCAGTATTATTTGTGAGATTTATCCACCTTTTTCCATGTGGTTGTTATTAGTTCATTTTCATTGTTGTGTAATAATTCCATTAAAAGACTGGACTTCAATTTATCTATCCCACTTGTTGGTGTATATTTGAAATAATATCACGAGGTTTTCTAGAGCACATAGCTAGGGACATAGATTTACAAGGCAACACCAAACACTTTTCTAATGATGTTTTACCTTTTACCCATTCACAATATATGAGAGTTCCTATTGCTGCATTTTCCCACCAACTTATAGTACAGTCCAAATTATAAGTGTTTGCCAACATTAGGTATATGTAATGCTATCTTTGTATTAACTTTAATTTTTCTGACTCACAAATTCATACTAAACTCATAAATTTGTCTTTACCTTTTTTAAAAATGTACTATTCAATTGCCCTCTTTCATAACTTACCTGTTCAAACTTTTGCGGATATTTCCACATTTCTGTAGATTTTTCAAAAAGATTTATGGGAGTTCTTTATATATTTACCCTTCCTTCAGTTATGTGTATTGTAAATGTCTTCTGCCATTTAGGGGCTTTTCGCTTTAATTATAATGTCTTATTTATTAAGTCACTTTTCTTAAAGTTTAATTTATATAAAATAAAATGCACCCATGTTAAGTGGGTAGTTTGACTAGTTTTCAAAATGTATATAATTAGGTAACAACAACTGGAATGAAGATACAAGATATTTGCATTACAAGAGAAAATGCCCAACTGCGTCTTTACAGTAAATCTCTCTCATCCCAGATTTCATACACCAAAAATTTATTTGCTCTCAATTTGGTTTTATTTTGCCTTGACTTTTATATAAATGGAATCTCATATACAATATAAGAGTTCTTGTGGTTCTGCATCCTCACCAACACCTGTTATTGTCAGTGTTTTAATTTTAGCCATTCTAGTGACTATGTGGCAATATTTCCTTCAGTTTTTAATTTGTATTTCCTCAATGGCTGATGATGCCGAATTACTTTTCATGGAATTATTGCTCATTTATATATTTTCTGCTGTCAGGTGCCTGTTCAAATCTTTTGCCTATTTTTAAAGTTGAACTATATATCCTCTTGTTATCAAATTGTGAGGGTCCAGAACCTTACCTGGGTATCAATGAGAGGCCAGGGATGAGGAGCAGTAAACTCCCTCCTGCACACGACTAACTGCAATTGTAATCATTCTAATATGTTCCAGAAGAAAGTTCACTGTGAGGTGTAGGACATATGTATTGAAAACTTTGTCTCCCTGTCTGTGACTGGTTGTTGGTTCGTTCGCTTGCTTTTTTATTTCACTTACGTGCCATTCAAAAAGCAGAAGCTTTTAATCTTTGTGAAGTCCAGGTTTATTTTTACTTTACAGTTTATGCTTTCTTATCATATTTAATAAAGATTTGCCCACAGAAGTTTGCATACTATATTTTTCAATACTATTTTTAGTTTTAGCTGTTCTTTAGTTCTATGATCCATTTCAAGTTATAGTTGTAGTTCTAGACCCCCTGTTCTGTTTCATAAATCTATGTCTATCCTAATACCAGTCAACATTACCTTAATTACCATACGTTCATGGAAAGTCTTGGTATCAGGCAATATAAGTTCTCCAAAATCATTCTTGTTTAAAAAAATATTTGGCTATTCTAAGTACTTTGCTACGATTGCGTTGAATATATAGATTGATGTAAGGAAACTTGATATTTTAAAAAATTGTATTTTCTAATCCATGAGAGATCAATTTAATCTGATCTATTTCTTCACCTACACAGGTTTCTTAAATCACTCAGCAATGCTTTACAATTTAGCATAGAGATTATGCATAGTTTATTAAAGTTATTAGTTCATGTTTTTGTCTAATATTTTAAATAATATTTTTATATTATTTTCCAGTTGTTTGTTACTAATACGTGGGAGTGGAACTCACTTTCATATATTGACCTTCTATACTATGTCTTCTTGAAATCACTTTTTATATCTAAGAGTTATTTTTTGGATTCCTTAGGATTTCTACATATACAATCATGTCATCTCTGAAATAATTTTATGTTTTCCTCTTTAGTCTATAGCCCTCTTATTTTTTTACTTGCCTGCCTTATAATTTAACACTTACTGAGTCTCCAATAGGATTTTACAAGTAGTCATAAGAACAGAATCCCCGCCTTGCTATTTTGAGGGAGAACTTTACAGTCTTTTATCATTAAGTGTAAAGTTATTTAGAGGTTATGTTATAATATAAAAAGTTAGTTATATTTTACTGGGTTGAAAAAGCTTCCTTCTATAGTTTACTAAGAGCTTATTTCTTGAATGGATTATGAGTTTTGTCAAATGCTTTTTGTGCATATGTACAAATGCACGTATGGTTTTTCTCTTTTATTCTTTTCAAATTTTAAAAATCTTTTTATTACTGGTATAATTACACTTACTAAGAATTTATAATCTGTTTCATATATTTCTAACTTAAATTAACTAATATTTTGTTAAGGATATTTGCATCTATATTTATGAGGGACATCAGTTTGTGTTTTTATTTTCTTATAATATGGTTAGATTTTGGCATAAGAGTAATGCTGGCCTCATAAAATATTAGATAAGCTATTATTGTCTGAGCTTACAGTGGAGCCTGTGGTACCATGACATTTCCCTCCCTGTAGGATCCTGCTTCATCCTCAGCTTTGACAGCTCCTGCTTGTCTGTGCCAAAGAGACAGTCTCTCTAAACACTGTTGTCACTCTCCCAGCGGTACTCCACCCTTGCTTATTTATTACTCAATGCTAGACCTATTTTGGCAGTGGGGACAAGGAGAGTTCTGTGTTGTAATGAACCAGTCACAGCCTTAGGCAGACTCTGTGTACTTGAGTCTCAGGACTAGGACTCTTGGAGCATTCCTGCCCCTCCTCCACATGGCGGCCAAACTCTGCCTTATATCTGTGTCGTTCACAGTAAACGAGAGTTTATTGCTCCTTATCCCTGACCTCTAATGGGTATCCAGGTAAGATCTTGGACCCAAGACAACTTTCCTGGCCTTTCCCCAGAAGCAAAGGCCTTTTGCTTCTACCCTTCCTTCAACAGCAAAGGAGCTTCTCATCTATGTCCTACTTCTCCCCCAGAGACAAGACTATTTTGCTTTTTACTTCTCCAGAAGCAAGGGGTTTTTGCCTGGGCTCAGGGAAATGCAGGGTTTGCTGCTCCTCCTCGTGCAGCTTAGAGTTTTGCTTCTTATGCAAAAAGGATCCACAGAAGTGGACAGAGCGCCGTAACTGTCTCCCAGAAACAGCTGATTACCTACACACCTGAGCCACCGAATATGACTTCAGTTTCCTGCACAGCCTTCAGTATTTTCCCCGAAAAGCTGGTAGGCGTCCATGGAAAAGAGCTTGCAGGAGACTGTAAACTCCCCATGTGTCTTGGGCTTCCTGATATTCCAAACTGACATGCTAGCTCACACCTGGCCTTTAAAAAATCTGTTAAATTTTAGCTAATTTCTTAATATCTTCTTACTCATGGATATGGTGACCATCTCTTTCTCCTGTGCTCTGCCAAAGTTTGAACATTTTGTGTGCCCCATCTCTCTTTGGAGCAGTTTTCACTGTGTAGTTTGGTTTACTTGGTCACTTTATGACCTTAGATCTCAGCGGGGTTCAGAAAAAGTTATAATTTTGTATATTATCTGGATTTTTCATTGTTGCAGAGAGATCGATGTTCTATATTTTCATTTGTTTGTTTGTTTGTTTATTATACTTTAAGTTCTGGGATACATGTGCAGAACGTGCAGGTTTGTTACATAGGTATACACGTGCCATGGTGGTTTGCTGCACCCATCAACCCGTCATCTACATTAAGTATTTCTCCTATTTCTCTCCCTCCTCTAACCCCCCACCCACCGACAGGCCCGGTGTGTGATGTTCCACTCCCTGTGCCCCTGTGTTCCCGTTGTTCAACTCCCACTTATGAATGAGAACATGCGGTGTTAGGTTTTCTGTTCCTGTGTTAGTTTGCTAACTAAGAATGATGGTTTCCAGCTTCATCCATGTCCCTGCAAAGGACATGAACTCATCCTTTTTTATATTTTAAGCCAAGCTGCATTTCAAAGCTGTTTTTAATCTTTAAGGAAAAAATAATTCATATTGGCACTAACTACTGAACCTGGAATGAACGGCATTCTAAATTCTCAATTTGTCTCCAAACTCATTAATTGAATTTGATAATTTTCACTGTGTCTAATATAAATAGAAACTCATGAAAGTTTATATAAAATCTGGAAGATGGTAAGCTGTTACATGGCTGTTTAAATGCATACTGCTTTGGTCTCCATCACAGCTAAATAAGAGAGGAGAATAATCAACCACTTATGCCGTTTTGTTTGGTTTTCCAGAAAGATGCAGGGGAGACAAGGCTGTTACCCACCTTTTCAAATGTTCAAAACATTTTTCAAGTATGATTAATTAATTCTAAAGTATTAGCATATGGCTCCTTCAAAGTCCGGGACACATCCAATATTTCCAACGATAAGCTTAGAATATACTACATAAAATAACATCATAGTGCTGTTTTCAGTTTTCATTAATCCAAAGAAATTAGAAAGAATTTAGAAGCAGTTTAGTCTAAACTCCTATGCAATGCAAAAATCTTCTCTAAATATCCCTGATTGATCATATACCTGAATCTGGAGCACCTTTCTACTCAACAGGCAGCCTACGCAGTTTTTGGACAAATAATTTTAAGAAAAATTTTTCTTATATTGAGTCAAAAGAACCTTTCTAGGTGTGCAACCATTTGTTCTCATTTATCATCTTAGAGCTACTTACAATAAATCTAATCCTCTTTTTACCTGAAAGACCATCAAATACTTGAAATGGTTATAATGTTTTATTTTTCTTCTTTTTTGCCAAGCTAAAATTTTGTAATACCATCAACTACCTTCACGTTGATGTCTATTAAGCTGTAGTCTTCTGGCTTATGTCTCCACACTAAGTGCTCCATCTGTGACCCAAACTTTCTCCTCCATCATTAAAATATTAAATGTTCTGAAATGTTATGCACCCAGTGTTCAACTTTTTTTTTCTCTGTCTACATTCTCTCTC